>NT_187606.1:0-300000 GCF_000001405.40 Homo sapiens | reverse complement strand
GACTGGGTGTTAACAGTGTTAGTTCAGTAGAGACATGAGCAAATCACTCACTTCCCCTTCAAGATAACACTTTAAAGGTGCCACCATTTGCAGAAGAAAGCAGTGATTTAAAGCAGCTATACTAGCACAGTTTAGAATACTTACACTAGCTGATGGAGTAGATACATTCTAGAAATATTTACCTGTAGTGGGAGTTGAACAGTGAGAACACACGGACACAGGGAGGGGGGAACATCACACACTGGGGCCTGTTGGGGGTTGGGGGGCTAGGGGAGGGATAGCATTAGGAGAAATACCTAGTGTAGATGACGAGTTGATGGGTGCAGCAAACCACCATGGCACGTGTGTACCTATGCAACAAACCTGCACGTTCTGCACATATACCCCAGAACTTAAAGTATAATAATAAGAAAGAAAAATAAATATTTACCTGTTAAGGACATTTCTGTGTATTTTATTCCATCTTTCCAATAGTTTTCTTATGAAGAGATTATAGTAAACCTTTGAACTTAACAGATTGAGGGTAAACCTTTAAAAAATATATTTGGTCACACTTACAGACTGAGGGTAAAAACATTCCTGACAAAGCTAGGCGAAGACACTTGGACTTTTTTTTTTTTTTGAGACGGAGTCTCGCTCTGTCACCCAGGCTGGAGTGCAGTAGCACGATCTTGGCTCACTGCAACCTCTGCTTCCCCGGTTGAAGCGAATCTTCTGCCTCTCCCGAGTAGCTGGGACTACAGGCACACGCCACCATGCCTGACTAATTTTTTATTTTTAGTAGAGACGGGGTTTCACCATATTGACCAGGCTGGTCTTGAACTCCTGACCTTGTGATCCACCCGCCTCAGCCTCCTAAAGTGCTGGGATTACAGGCATGAGCCACTGCACCCGGCTGAAACTTGGACTTTTGATGTTTCCTTCTTTTAAAGTTAACATCTAGCACTTGAATAGACTTGGTTATTACTGATGGGGACAGGCATCCATTTGGAAGTAGCTTCCCTCTCTCTCTCTTTCCCAGGTTAGGCTGTCTTACTGCTGTAAATGGGGAGAGAAGAGAAAGCCGTGGGTGGAAGAAAGTGTTTCATGGCCTGGTGCGGTGGCTCATGCCTGTAATCCCAGCACTTTGGGAGGCCGAGGCGGGTGGATCACTTGAGTTCAGGAGTTCAAGACCAGCCTGGCCAACATGGTGAAACCCCGTTTCTACTAAAAACAGAAAAATTAGCTGGGCATGGTGGCGGGCACCTGTAATCCCAGCTACTTGGGAGGCTGAGGCAGGAGAATCACTTGAACCCAGGAGATGGAGGTTGCAGTGAGCCGAGATTGCACCACTTCACTCCAGCCTGGTCGACAGAGCGAGACCTTGTCTCAAAAAAAAAAAAAAAAAAAAAAAAGTGTCCCACTCAGTTGCCCAGGCTGAAACGCAGTGGCAGGATCACTGCTCACTGCAGCCTTGAACCAAGCGATTATCCCACCTCAGCCTCCCAAGTAGCTGGGATCACATGCATGCACCGCCATGCCTGGCTAATTTTTTTATTTTTGTAGAGACAGGGTCTCTCTATGTTGCCCAGCCTGGTCTCAAACTCCCGGGATGAAGCAATCCTCCCACCATGGTCTCCCAAAGTGTAGGGCTTACAGGCGTGAGAGCCTGCTGGGGTTTTTGATTGACATTGCATTGAAACTGGAAATCAGTTAGGAGGCAACTGACATTTTAATAATGAGCCATGAACATGGTATATCTATTTATTTAGACCTTCTTAGATTTTTCGTCAGTGTTTTGTAGTTTTTAGCAGTTGGATCTTGCTTGTATTTTGAAATCTTACACATTTATTTCATGTTTGTGGTACTGTTGTGAATGATACTTCTCAATTTCCAGTTGGTGATTGCTAGTATATAGGAAGGTGATTTTATGTTATATGCTGACCTTGGATTCTACAACCTTGCTAAACTCATTTTTAGTACTAGAAGCTTTTTTGTAGATTTTTGGAATTTTGTGCATAGACAGTAATGTCACTGGCAAATAAGGGCAGTTTAATTTCTTTGTTTTCACTTTGTATACTTTTATTTCCTTTTTTTTTTTTGAGACGGAGTTTCTCTCTTGTTGCCCAGGCTGGAGTGCAATGGCGTGATCTAGGCTCGCTGCAACCTCTGCCTCCTGGGTTCAAGCGATTCTCGTGCTTCAGCCTCCCCAGTAGTTGGCATTACAGGCGCCCGCCAGCACGCCTGGCTAATTTTTGTATTTTTAGTAGAAATAGGGTTTCACCATGTTGGCCAGGATGGTCTCAAACTCCTGACCTCAGGTGATCTCCCCGCCTCGGCCTCCCAAAATGCTGGGATTATAGGTGTGAGCCACCGCTTCCGGCCTAAGAGGACACAGTTTCTTTGGCTTATTAAGAGGTATTTGGTTAGTGTTAGACCGGGGGTTGGTACATTATAGCTTGCTGACTGGATGTACCATGCTGCCTCTTTTTATAAATGAAGTTTTATTGGAACACAGCCACACCCATTCATTTACATATTGTTTAACAGAGACCATATGACCTACAGACCCTAAAATATTTACCACTTTGCGCTTCGCAGGCATTTTGCTGGCTACTGCTGTGGACACCAATTTTAATTTAGGTAGATAAACTTTTTTGTAGCTTCTGAGGTTTTGCATTAATTTGCTCAGGCATATAGGTTGGTGGAAGTGCTTTCCGTTCCTTCTCCCAAACCACTCACACAGCCATATAACTTCATGCCTGAGTTTCTGTGTGGTCCTCTATGGTGAGTGAGTTTTTACATACTTCTTTGCAGCAGCATGAATTTCAAAAATCTCAACACTTTTGCTCTTGCTAATCTTTGTAAACTTTGCACACCCAGTGCTGGTACATTCTGATGATAGTGCCCACACTGCACTCTATGAAGAAAAGACTGATGATTGTTTATATTAAAATGCAGGAAGAGAATTGTAGCGGCAACTTTTGCTTCTCTAATCAGCAACATCATAAGAGACTTACTATGTGTGGGCAGGGGGGAGAATGTTAATTTATACATTGAGATAGTTGTATTAAAATTGAGTGACTCTTACTGTGACATAAAGTGAATGTGTCTCTCTTATACAGCAGAAAACTATTAAATTTGTTTTTTCTCAGCAGTATAAAATAAAGTGGAAAATGTGGGAAGAATACAAATCCTTAACTTCTGTGCTTCTGCTTATTTCACACCCCTCAAATTTCTGATTGCTTTCAACTGTAGCTGGCTTTACTACTGAGTGGTGAAATTGCTGAACATACTTAAAACTACATCATTTAAGACTTTGAATTTTGACATCTCCTCCTCTTCACAGTCTTTCAAATACTAGGCAACCTGTAGGGTTCCACTGTGTCTGTCATGTGTTGTCCCTGTGTTACATGAAAGCAGCCCCAGTGAACTTGTGAATTTGCTCAGTCATTTCACTGGCTACTGGGTGAGGAAGAAGTAGGATTTTCTCTCTTAAAATTCCTTGGTGAAATCATTGGATGGGCACGGTGTGTTTCTTTAATTTTCCTTTTGGTCAAAAATCTGACAAAGCAAAGACTTTCAGTTGTTCTTGGTCTTTCAATAGGTTTAGTTTTTAAGTGTGTCTACTCTGACCAAAAATTGCCTTCCTGTAATATGCTCCTTCCTTTAGAACACAGTTCTTAAGTAGAGTTTGTTTGTTTAAATGTATAAAAATAAGTTAATGCATTCTATGCAGCGAGGTTTTGCATCAGAACCCTGAGTTCTCAATGTGGCAGGTTTAAGTGTCTAGAACACCTTTTACCTGTTTTTTCTATTACTTGCTTTTTTATTTTTGGGGTAAATGATATCTTTCTCAGGGAGGCCTTCCCTCAGCACCATGTTTAAGAGGGCATCTCCCTCATTTGCTATTCCTTCTTCTGTTTTATTTTGCTATATGGAATTTGCTACTATGTGAAAACTATTTTAATGTTTTATTTACCTGTGTTACCCCTAGAATAATATCTATGAAGGTAGGGATTTTTATCTGTTCCTTCTGTGCCTACAGAGTGTTGAGGAGTATGGTGTCTGGCACGTTGTAGGTGCACAGTGACAGCTGAATTAATAACGTCAGGGAGAGTTTGTAGGATGGGGCTCAAGGTGTAGGGCAAGTCAGTTTTTAGATTTGAGGTTATTAGCAGGAGACGATGTGGGGGGAAAACACATGTTTTAATGTCAGACTGGGTTTGAATCTGGTCTCTCCAACTTACCCTTTGACCTTGGTGTTAAATAATTTAACCTTTGAAAGATCAACTTTTTCACTAGTGAAACGGGAAATAGTATCTTTTTAATGGGGATTAAATGTAATATCAAATATAATGCTCTGTAAATGTTAGTTTTGTCTTTCCCCTTGTGTGCCAGCATTGTGGAAGTCTGAAAGCAACCTGAATTTACCAGTCTGTTTCTGGAGCCTTCTGGGGTCATTACTTTGATTACTTTTGACAGATACATTCTTTTCAGCAGCCTGCATTGCCAGCATAACAATGACCTGTCCCTTTGACCAGTGTGGGGGACAGACACTTTGTCATCCCTCTTTTAATCCGTGTATCAGAACAACTCCTACAAGTTCTGGCTTTGAAACATGTTTAGAGGAGTTTATAATTCCGAACAGTTCAGATGACATCAGCCCTTTCTTAGAGTCCTCTGAGTTTGCTCAGCTTCCTCATTCCAGTGTGGCGGGAACCATTCAGTTAAATTGATGTTTGTGGTCTTTACACATAGTCATCCTAAGTTTCTTGCAAATCATGAGCTATCAGAGGGCTACTAAGTCACTAGTTTGTCTCTGTAGATTTCTCTAATCCAAGCTTGTCCAACCGCGGCCTGCAGGCTGCATGCAGCCTGTGAAGGCTTTGAATGTGGCCCAATACAAATTCGTAAACGTTCTTAAAACATTGGCCGGGCACGGTGGCTCACACCTGTAATCCCAGCACTTTGGGAGGCCGAGGTGGGTGGATCACCTGAGGTCAGGAGTTTGAGACCAGCCTGGCCAACATGGTGAAACCCCGTCTCTACTAAAAATACGAAAATTAGCTGGGCATGGTGGCACACGCCTATCATCCCAGCTACTCGGGAGGCTGAGGCAGGAGAATGGCTTGAACCCAGGAGGCAGAGGTTGCAGTGAGCCAAGATGGTGCCACTGCACTCCGGCCTGGGTGACAGAGTGAGGCTCCACCTCACAACAAACAAAAAATTATGAGATTTTCCTTTTTTGCAATTTTTTTAAAGCTTAGCAGCTATTATTAGTGTTCGTGTATTTTATGTGTGGCGCAAGACAATTCTTCTTCCAGCGTGGCCCAGGGAAGCCAGAAGATTGGATCCCGCTCCTTTAAGTTTTATGGATTAACAAGGGGTTAATTCCTGTATCAGTTTCACTGATGTTTCTTCTGCTTGATGCAGGAACACTTGACAAGTTAGTTAAGGTAGATTGGTCCATAAATGTATAGGTTCTTTCATTCCCATGTCCTAGGCAAGTCTGAGCAGGACCTGGAAAGCTGATTAAAAGGCCAGTGAGCACAGTGAGCTTAATTGTAAATTAAATGGATATTTAATACATTAAGAAGGCACTCAAGCCTTTCAATCTTTCATTTTCATCCATGCTTGCTATTTGAATCTGATGGGCTTGATATTGACCTTGTTCTTCTTGTAAAAATGTTGGTTATTGCTGCCTTTCTCAAGCTTGGTTTTCAGTGTGGATTTCTGCAGATAATTTTTGCACCTAAAAGTACAAAGTCATTAAGTGAAGGCAGTCAGGAAGGAAAGAGTGCCCTGAGCCAGGAGGTCTGTTATAGCACATGGGGTGGGCAAGAAAATGAATGGACATGGGCATGGAGGTGGTTCAGTCAGTGTGGGAAGGCCACCTGCTTGTCAGCTTTCTACTGCGTTGTCCAGCAGAACACGTTGAAGCTTGGGGCCTGCAACTCGTGTAGAGATGATTGCATTTAGGAGGCTGAGGTAGATTTTTTCCCTCTTAAGTGTGTGCTCACTGCTTTTTGGCGAAGTCTTGACCCGAGACATACACAGCTTGATCTGTGAGGATTTTAACATCGAGATGGTTCTGTTATTTGAGTTAGGCATGGCTAGGCTACCAAGGCATTGCTTTTCAGTCCAAACATTTGGTCATTTCAATTTATTGTTAGTGAGGTTTTTGCGATTTGTTAGAACACAGAGTTTGGGATTTTGTCTGTTTTTTGCATGTGTGAATGACACTTGATATTGTTGTTTATATTGCTGGTTAGTATGTGCCTTCATTTACCTATTGTGAGTAAGAAACTTCCTCAGATCAAATTATAGTGAAGTCGCTTGGTTCTGTTTCTCTGACTCTTAAGAGGATGAGATCACTTTATACACAAACTCAAGCTGTTTGGTAAAGGACCTACCATTCTGAGCATTCATAGCCTAGATGAAGTCCTGGTCCAATCACCAAGTTAAACTTTTAAAAAACATGCTGTTCTTAATGTTCAGGAATTCAACCCTGGAAGCCTTCTCTAAATCTTAGTGAGAGTTTTATGAGAATTCATTTAGTGAAAATATCTATCAGGGAATCCGGCTATTAACTTTGAGGAGGGTCATGCCTTTTAGTGGTTAGAGAGGCAAGCTGTAGCCTCCCTTCTCAGAGAAGGGGAATTGAGGAAGAGGGTTCTAGTGGTCCCTTGCAATCCTCCCGTCACTTTCCAGGCTCCCTAGTAAGACCGGAAGAAGTCCCTGAGTAAACAGCATTTTGTGAGTTTGAGGGACTATGTAAAAATGTAAGTGAACATACAATGGTTTTGCTTTGATAACTGTTTTAAATATCCTGTTGGTTGTTGAAACTTCTGTGACGGTGAAGCCTTTTTTGCCTTTATTTTTCAATCGGAAGATCTTTCTTCCCCACTTGAAAAGATGGAGTCTGGGGTCAATCCCTGACCCCGCTTCCTTCCTAAATCTCTTAGTGTATAGCATACAGCTGGGCATATGGTAATCTCAGGCACGGGATTGTACTCATAGAGCTATGCTTGACACCTAGGTCTTTAGATGGCTTCTATATTTTTGATGACAACTTTTAATTTTATTCTCATTTATTCCATTTCTGTTTCAGTGTCCTGGGTCATGAAACTTAATCCACAACAAGCTCCCTTATATGCGAGTAAATCATACGATTTCTTTTCATTTTGTATTTATTTGTTCTGTTTACTTGTTATAATAAGCCACACTCTCACATGATAGATCCTCAAGGAAAATTTTAACCATATGTGCATGAATATATTGGTGTAAGACACTTCAGAAATTGAGTTTGATTTAGTAAGTACTAAATGGCTAATCTGTGCATGGAACTGAAAACAAATAATACCTGTAAGACTTGCGAGTTAATTTAGTCAGGGCGATAGTATGCACGTATGAAACAAATTGTCCTGCCAAACAGTACTGTAGCTTCTTATTTTTTACCTGCAGTGCATTCCTGTAAAAGTAGTGTGGAGATCCTTCTACTGCCACTGTGATTTACCTTATGTTGCCACTAGGTGGCACTATGTCATTGGCAAGAGTGCTGTTTTCTTTAGGACTCTGGGTGAAAGCTGATATATCATCTCCCTGAAGTGAGGGACTTTGAAGATAAAATTGATAAATGATTGAATCAAGGCTGGAAAAGGTAGGCTGTAGGCGACTATTCTTCATTATTGTAAGAGTGAATTAATTGAATTTGGGTGGTGAAAAGTACCCGTTTGATGAGAAGCCAGCTTAGGGTTGTGGATGGTTAGAGCTGTGAGAGGCCAGTAGATGCTGGGTTGCTATGCTCTGGAGAGGGTGAGAAAATATATTTGTAATAGGACTTGATTCCAGCCTTCAAGAATATGGATCATTTATTTGGACAAAACGTCCCCAGAATTAGTTGAAGACAAAAGGCAAATGGTCAGGAATGGGAGGCAGTGAACATAGTGTTGGATGAATAGTCGGGGGATGGTCAGTGGAAACTCTGGCCCACCCAAGTTTGTGTCAGGTAATAATGGGAGATAAGCCTGAAAAGGTGGATAAAGCTCAATTGTGAAGGAAGACAAAGGTGTGAGGATTTTGTTTTGTGACCACCGAGGAGCCATTGATGGTGTTTATTTTAAGGATGCTTTTCCTTTTATGCGTTTGTACATAAAAACATAAATGTACTTAACCATTCTGTATTAATAATAGTCATTTACCTTTCCAACATAAAATGTTCATGTAACTTCTGCATAGCTGATTTTTACGTTAAATGTAACATGTAAAGAAATATATGTGTGTTTTTAGAAGACGTCTTATGTGCTCATTTTCTTTCTAGATTACTTGGAGATAATTTATGTTTACCAGTGGTTTTGCATGTGAACTGGGTACCTTGGGTTATTTATTATTATTATTATTATTATTATTTAGAAAACGGGTCTCGCACTGTCATCCTTGTTGGAGTGCAGTGGAGCGATCATAGCTCGCTGCAGCCTTGAAGTCCTGGGCTCTAAGCAGTCCTGCTTCAGCCTCCCGAGTAACTGGGAGTACAGGCGCATGCCACCATGCCGAGCTAAATCCTCCCTTTTAAAGTGTGTGATTCTTTGGTTTTTCGTGTGTATACAGTTTTGTAATTGCCATTGTCTGACCAGAACATTTTCATCACCCCCCAAAAAAAGTGCCATATCCATTAGCAGTCACTCACCATTCCCTGCTCCTCTCAGGCTGTGGCAACCACTTGTATACTTCCTGTCTTTATTGATATACCTATTCTGGAAAGTTCATATATATGTATGATATATATGATGTATATATGATGTATATATGATGTATGTGGTATATATATGATATCATATATAATATGATATCTATCATATCTATCATATATAATATGATATCTATCATATCTATCATATATAATATGATATCTATCATATCTATCATATATAATATGATATCTATCATATCTATCATATATAATATGATATCTATCATATCTATCATATATAATATGATATCTATCATATCTATCATATATAATATGATATCTATCATATCTATCATATATAATATGATATCTATCATATCTATCATATATAATATGATATCTATCATATCTATCATATATAATATGATATCTATCATATCTATCATATATAATATGATATCTATCATATCTATCATATATAATATGATATCTATATCTATCATATATAATATGATATCTATCATATCTATCATATATAATATGATATCTATCATATCTATCATATATAATATATCTATCATATATATATTATATATATATCATATGATATCTATATCATATATATCATATGATATCATATATCTCATGATATCATATATCTCATATGATATATATCATATATCATATATATCATGATATATATCTCATATATCATATGATATATGATATATAATTTTTGTAAATATATATGATGTATATGAAAAAATATATATCATATATATGATTTTATATATTTATATATAGAAATTTATATATATAAAATTATATATAATATATATAATTATATATATATAAAAGTTCATGTATATATAAAATCATGCAATACACGGCCTTTTGTGACTGGCTTCTTTAATTTAGCATAGTGTTTTCAAGATTCACTCATGTTAGAACATGAATCAGTACCTTGTTCTTTTTATTAATGAATGACAGTCCAATGACTGGTTACATCACATTTTACTTATCCATTCACCAGTTGATGGGCAGTTGAGTTGTTTCCACTTTTGGTCTATTATGCATAATGCTGCTGTGAACAGCAAGTTCTGGTGAAGACATATGTTTTCATTTCTCTTGGGTATATACCTAAGAGTAGAATTGCTTGGGTGTATGATAACTGTGTTTAACATTTTGAGAAATTGGAAAACTGTTTTCCACAGTGGCTGCACCATTTTACATTCCTACCAGCAGTGTGTAAGGACTTCAGTGTTTCCATGTGCTTGCCAACACATGTTATCTGACTTTCTGATCTATAGCCACCCTAATGGGCGTGAAGTGATACCTCATTGTGGTTTTGATTGCATTTCCCAAATGGCAAATGATTTTGAGCATCTTTTTATGTGCTTATTGGCCGTTTTTCCGTATCTTTGGAGAAATGCCTATTCACATCCTTTGCCTGTTTTTAAATTGGGTTGTCTTATTGAATTGTAAGGGTTCTTTGCATATTCTGACTACAGGTCCCTTATCAGATACATGATTTGCAAAAATTATCTCTCATTCTGTGGGTTGTCATTTCACTTCCTTGATGCTATCCTTTCAAGCAAAATTTTCAGTTTTGATAATGTTCTGTTGTTGATTTTTTTTTGGCATCATATCTAAGAACAATTCTTTGCCTAACCCAGAGTCACAGAGATTTACTCCTATGTTTTCTTCTAGAAATTTTATAGGTTTAGCTCTTACATTTAGGTATGTAATGTGAGAGTTCATTTTTGTGTGTTTTGTAAGGGAAGAGTCCAACTTTTTTCTTTTGCATGTGGATCTCTAGATGTTCCAGAAGCATTTGTTGAAAAGACTGTTCTTTCCCCAATTGAATTGTCTTGGGCATCGTTGTTGAAATTGATCATAAATGTGAGGAATTTTTTCTGGATGCTGAATTTGATTCCTTTCATTTAGGTTGTCTTTGATTTCTTTCAACAGTGTTTTGTAGTGTTCATTGTATAAACTTGGTACTTTCTTGAAATTTGTTGCTTATGATTTTATTCATTTTGATGCGATTGTTAATTTTGTTATCTTAATTGTTCAGTTTTTGATTGTTCATTGATTATATATAGAAATACTATTGATTTTTGCATACCGGTCTCTGAAACTGTAGCCTTGTTTCAGAGGTCAATTATAGACTATAATCTGGCTTGTTTGTTTGGCAACAGCTCTTAAGTGGATGCCTTAGGATTTTCTATGTACAGGATGAAGTAGTTGGAGATCGTTTTCTTCCTTTCCAATCTGGATGCCTTTTATTTCTTTTTCTTGCCTAATCGCCCTGAGAAGCATCTCTGGTACAACATTGAATAGAAGTGGTGAGCACAAACATCCTTGTCTTGCTACTGATCTGAAAGAGAAAGCATCCAAGCTTTCCCCATTAAGTATGATGTTGTTAGGTGTGGGTTTTTCACAGGTACCTTTTGTTAGATGAGGACGTTCCCTTCTATTCCTACTTTGACCATTTTTATGATGAAAACGTGTTGGATTTTGTCAGGTGATTGAAGATGCTACACTGCTGGCTTAGAACATGGAGGAAGGAGCCCATGAGCCACAGAATGCAGCTCTAGAAGCTGGAAATAGCAAAAGAACACTTTCTCCACATAGAGACTCTAGAAGGAACACAGCCCTGCTGGCACTTTGATTTTTAAACAAGTGAAAGTCATTTTGGACTTTTGACTTCCAGAAATGATAACATGATAATAAATTTGTGTTGTCTTAAGCCACTGAGTTTGTGATAATTTGTTGTTAACAGCAATAGGAAACTAATAGAGTAGTAGTTTGGGGAAATTAGTGATAAAGGATAATTGGGAAGGAGAGGATAAATGTAGTTAGGTCAGTTTGAGTTCTCTGTGTGTTTCACTGTGTGTGTTTTGTAACATTTTAGTTTATCCTAAAACCAAAGGATTAATTGACCTTCAAAAGGCAGCTACTTTTTGATTTCAGTCCGTAACCTTTTATCAAATCAATATTTTCCCCAAATAGGGTTGACAGGAAGCATTCTAAATTATCTCCTAATAAGTTGTTTTGACTTCAGATATTGAAATTGCAGGCCCGTCTCCCACCCATCTCTGTTTTCTCGCCTTTTTTGTACGTTTTATAATAAGCCTTACATTGAAGTGTATGTGTCTGTCTGTCCCTCCCTCCTTCCCCCACCCCCTCCCTCTCCTTCCCCACTCTGTGTGTGTGTGTGTGTGTGTGTGTGTGTGTGTGTGTGTAATTACAAAGAAGTTGTAAAGGCCTTTTAAAGTAGTTATGATGTGATTTCCCCTCCTTTTAAAAAATAAAATATGTTAAGCATAAGTATTAACATCTTAGAGGGCAGGTAGGTGGAGACTTTGACTTTCTACTTTATCTTTGAATCGCTTAAATGTTTACAGTGAGCGTGTTATTTTTATGGTACATAGTAATTTTTGATGAAAACATTTTGAAGGCTGAAAAGAATGTCCTGTCTTTTGAAAATAAACCCATCTTTTTGTGCTAATTAACACTGGAGGCCAGCCAAGGCTTTATAATAAAATATTGCATTCAAAATACCTATGAAAGTGGCTAGTTGAAGAATATAATTTGCTTTGAAACGTAGCTTGAAATGGAAATACATTTCTAATAATGAAAGGTGTTGCTTTAGTAATAAATGAAAATAAAATATCCCATTATTATCCCTTCATAGAAAACAAATACAACCCTAAATGACATTTTAATTAACCAGTGATTTTCCTCTAAAGCTGAGATTTGTTTTTTTAATATGTAGGTAGGATTGGCAAATAGCGTACAGAAATCTGGACATCCTTTGAAGATAATTGTTGGGGTGGAATGGGGGCATAGAGTACTGTTTTATTGTGTTCATTTTTATTAATGAAACTGAATTTAGACCAAGCAAGTGATTTCAAAGTGGAAGATGGAACAGGATGTTTAGTAGGTTTTGTAGACTGTTTTTGTAAAAGGCTTTGGTGCAGAACCTTTCATAAAATGAAATATTTTTTCAGCATGTCTGTTATTTACTTTTAGAATTCAGAGCAAGGGTTCTTGTTTGAAGAACTACAAACCTTTATTGACTCCAGATTTGACTCAGCTCTTTTATATTTTCTTTCTCACTGATAAGGGAAGGTACTTTATAAAGTAGATTTGTCATTAAAAAAGAAAAAAAGACTACATTTACCTGGTCAGAAGTTCTTTTGGGTTTAAAGAAAAAGATTGCAGCCCAGGTTGCAACAAATGGTCTGACAGTTATAATATGTTCCATCTTTCTTTTTTTTTTTTTTTTTGTTTTTTGTTTTGAGACAGAGTCTCACTCTTTTGTCCAGGCTGAAGTGCAGTGGCACAATCACAGCTTAGTGCAGCCTTGACCTCCCAGGCTCAAGTGATCCTTCTACCTCAGCCTCACAAGTAGCACTCACCATCATGGTGGCTAATTTTTTTTTTTTTTTTTTTTTTTTTTGGAGAGACGGTGTCTCCCTGTGTTTCCCGGGCTGGTCTCGAACTCCTGGGCTAAGTGATCCTTCTGCCTCCACTTCACAAAGTGTTGGGATTACAGGTGTGAGCCACCATGCCTGGCCTCAACAAAAGTTGAACTATGTACTGTAGCCACCCTCAACAATGATAAACTTTTGGCTAATCTTATTTCATTTATACTCCACTTTGGATTATTTTGAAGCAGATTCCAGACAGATCACTTCATCTGTCAATATTTCTGTTTGTATCTCTTGAAGGTAAAGACTCTTTTAACCATGGTTGAGTGTCTTGATCAAATCAACATGGCTTGTTCATGTCGATACCATTTGCTCAGAGGGGAAAGATTAAGGGAAAAATGGGGTTGGATTTGAAATGCCAGGACCTGTCTACTGGGTTTGTGATTTGTTATTCTCTAAAGTTGTAGCTCTTAAAACAAAGAAAGGAGTGAGTTTGGCCTATTCATTAACTTTTACTCTTTAGACAGTTCAAATGTTTATTGAGTTCTTCTACAGGGCGAGCCCTGCCTTCTTCATGCTTACCAAGAAGCATTTTTACGCGGTTTCTCTAATGTTTGGGTGAACGGTACCTCACTAAGTTGTTTTTCACGCACGTGCGTGCTCGTTCCTGAAGAGTCCTGTCCAGGTGCTCTGCCCGCTTTTCCTTTCAGGCTTCTGTATCAGCTGCCGTTTCCCTATAGAACGTGCCCTGACCTCCACCCCTTAACCCTAACCAATTTGCCTTTACATGTCTGACCATCCATCAAGGCTCTTTTGGGTCATATTCAGTCCATGTTGATATTTCCCCTTCCTCCCTTCTTTAGTCCTTACTATTTTTGCTTTGGTCATGTTTTCTTACACTGTATTCTGTAAGCCTGTTTAATTTTTTTATGGTGGCAGGGGAAAATATTTTATAATTATGCTTTGTGCTTTTTATCTTCCACTCAATAAATGCTTGGTAAATATTTGTTTTATTGAATGTATGAGCCTATTCTAGCTATATTGTGCTTGAACAAAAATCTTAACTGCCTTGTAAGTTAACTGCTAAGAATTTGTCAAAAGTGCAGAGATAACATCAAGAGCTTGTCATGGATAGTACAAAAAGGTCTCTAAGGGCTTGATGGAAGTCTGTAAATTGACTTCCTATGAAAGAGAGTGTAAGAAGTGAAAAAAAGCAAAACAGAGTAGATGTTTTACTCTGTTTGCCAAGGGATTTGTGCTATTTTTTTCCTGTTTTATAAATTTGTCCTAATCTTAAATAATGAAGGGAAAAGAGCACTCTTTTTCAACCAAGGAATCCTTTTTATACTTCTTTTCTGTGAAGCCATGTTATGAAAGATTGTTATACAAACTTAAGTATAGTTTTTCCATCTTCAGTAACAGACCTGATTGCCATCTAGTTACTGGTTCTGATCACACAAGAATGCAAAGCAGCTTGTTCTAATAACTTGTGCAGGCCTATTGGGAACTAGTATATGGCTTTGAGTCCTTTTGAAGTATTTAACATAATTTGGCAATTCCATTACGCCTTTTATGGACTTCTTGGCATCTATGAACTCTTGGTAGGGAATCACTGTTTTAGAATGAAAAATGTCTCCCAGGAAGTAAATTAGCCGGTAAACAAATGAAACTTCATTTTTTATATGACTTGTAGAGCATAAATTATTACTCTTTCTGCATAAGTGGCTGCTTTCTAGGCTGCTTTTAGCGAGATTGTTAGAAACAAATGATTGGTGCTGTGAGGAAGAAGCAGCACTCAGGCAAAAAAGTTTTCTCAGCAAGACAATTTGCTTCTGCAAGTATGCTGCTTGCATTAGTCATGATTGCAAGAGCACACCAAACGGGGTGGAGCAGGGGTTCTTATCCCTAATGCACTCCCTACCTCTGTGTCATTCCAACATGGGCTGGGGTAGGACTGCACAATCTTAGCTGACTCAGCTGGATATTGTGAATATTTTCTCTAATAAGAAAGGGAGGGGGAATGTGAGTTACAGATTGGGGCTGGTAGGAAGAGTTGTTTACAAGGCAGGTTACTAAGCAGGTAACTAAGCTGGTAAGTAGGGTCGAGAAGGTACAGGGAAATTGTTCTTAGGAACAGAGAACAAGGAAGTTGAACAAGTTAAACCTTTGAAGAGGAACTTACTGTACCTAACAATTCCCCCCTCTTAATTTTTGTAATTCTTCCTCTTCAAACTTTTTTAGCATGTCTTTGCTTTGCTGTTCTGCTTGGTTTTCTAGAAGGAAAAGCTTATCTGAATAGGGTGGAGGAGAGCTAAGAGAGGTTTTGGTAAGTTCTGTGTCTATGAGTCTTTGCAGTAGTCCACAAATGTATGGTATGATACAGCATCCAACAAGAATAAGCACACCTATAACGATTGCAAGAGAAGTAAATATTGAGGACATTAAGCCTTTCCATTTTCCAGACCATTTCTCCATTAAACTTGTAAAGGGATCATTTATTCCAGAATTGCTTGCTAACTCATTGGATAAGGAGGTTAGGTCCTGCAAAGCTTTTGTTACTGTTCCGTCAGGGGCTGTGTTATTAGGAATAAAAGTACATCATTGGACTCCAATCATGACACAGACACCACCTTTTTCTGCTAGCATCGTATCTAGGGCTATCCTGTTTTCCCAGACTATTTAGTTAATGGGACCTAATTGGGAGGCTGTTCCCTTAATGGCATGTCTTGTGTAGTTAACAAACCTTTGTTGGTTGTAATAAATGTAGTTTATCCGATCTACATTTTTATTTACAGTTGACCACCAAAACAGCACAGATTCAAATCCTGAAGCTGTTTGATTTCGGGCCTTAAATTTATCTGGTACCCCTCGTGGAACTCCAGTAGCATCTTTATAAACGTGGGAGTCAAAGGACCCATGAAGGTCACTTCTTCTCTTCTGATTTTCTCTTCTATTATGTTAATGGAATGCTAGGGTGAAAGGGATGGCCAGTTGGACTAGAGCACAAGTACCACTCCAGTTACTTGGCAGAGTGTCCAGTAAGGGTCCACCACAATACCACCATACGTATGCTCGAGGATGAACAAGGGCAGACTGACTGGTAAGCTCTTGGGAGAGTTTAAGTTCACCGCATCCCTTTAGGTCTTCATGAAATGCCAAGTTTTCCCCTTGTTGTGAGAGACCCGAGGTAAAAATTGGTGTCAATAGATGGAGGCTGGATGGCCCTCAGGGACTGACCTGCAGGGTGTTGGACTTTAGGGAATAGCAGAGAGAGAGCTTGGCAAGATTCATTACCCCAGGCTGTGGGGTCTTGGAGAAGAGCTACCATACAGCTCATGCCCAGTTGGCTGGAAGACCATCCGAGTGGAAAGGGGACAACCTGGGCCTCTGGCCTACTGTGCGCACAAGTGTAACAGTTGCTTTTGTTTAGAGTGCGGACAGAATATTTAATCCATTCTAACCAAGCACTTGCATCTTGGTACCCTGTCTCAGTTGCTATGGTTTGTTTCAAATTTTTAACTTCTACAATGGCTTACCTTGATTTTATCCTTGGTTGAAGGAAGAACAGCGGTTTCGTTGAGAGAGAGTGTAGAAGGAGGTGGAGGAGGTGAGAAAGTAATGAAATGCATTTCAAAGGATTCTATAAGATGTGTCCCTGCTATTTTGGCTCCTATGCCGTATAAGCGACTTAAAGTAGGTTTAGGGTTGGCAGAAGTGGGGATAAGAATAGAAATTTGCACTGGATTACATTGGTTATACTGGCAGTCAGGGGGTGGGGAATGTTTCCTTTAACAAAGCAAACATGGTTTTAGAGACTTACAACTGCCTGTTGACCAAGCCCTGATGTTCAGTTGTCCACATAATATCATTCCAGCTGTGGCAGGCCTGTTTCCCTACATTTCTTAAGGAACAAGAGTCGTAATGGGGGAGGCTTTTGTCTGAAAGGGACGGAGATACTTCTCTGAGGCTGAGAGTTGCTTTTGACTTTGGAGATCTCCACAGGATATAACAAGGCAAGCATCAAAGGTAATAGTTTGGGGTGAGCTCGACCTAGTTACATTAATAACGAGAGGACTAGCAATAGAAGGGGAAAAGAAATATAGCATAAGAGGATCAAACCCGTTTTAGCTTTAACTTGGTTGGAATTGGCCCTGAAATAGCTGTCCATGATTCTGGAGTGGGTGGTGCTCTTTTGACTCAGGTATGGTGAGTCCATTCTTTTTCAGTGGTGTGGACGGCTGTCTCAGTCATTAGAAACACTAGATAATGTCCCTCCCAGGTGGGCTTGAGCTTCCTTTCTTTCTGACCTTTGATGAGAATGTGGTCACTGTCCGGGCTGGTGGTGGTGAACTGGAAATTCAAGGGGTGGTGTATGTGCCAAGAGGCCTTTAGTCCTAAGGAAAGAGAAAGTGGAGGATAGACCAAGTATATAGTTCTTGAGAAACAGATCTTTTGTTTCGAACGAGGAATGTCAGCAGTGGAGTGTAGATAAGGCAACTCATACAGCATTTCATAAGGAGGTGAGCCGACATCTTTCCTAGGGGCAGTTTGGAATCTTCACAAGACCATGGGGAGGCATTTAGTCCATGGCAACCAAGTCTCTAGGACTAATTTGGTTAGGTGGTTTTTCAGAGTCTGATTCATTCTTTCTACTCTTCCTGATGAAGGTGGGTGCCAGGGGTTATGGTAGTCCCATGTTATATCTAGTACTTGGGCTAGTTTCTTAAGAACATGTGCAGTGAAATGAGTCCTATTGTCTGAATCAGCATTTTCTATTAATCCAAACCTGGGTATAATATTTTCAACTAATGCCTTGAGTACATTACTAGCAGTTGCACTTGAAAAGGGAATAGCTTCTACCCAATGAGTAAGGTGATCTATCACTAATAAATATTTTAAGTGACCAATTGGGGGCATTTCAGCATAATCAATTTGGACACTTTGGAACAGCCTTAATCCTGGATTTCTCCCTCCAACAGGTGGTTTTCTGAGGATCTGCTTATTAGTCTTCTTACATACTAGGCAACTATCTGTAACTTGTCTTGCCAAAATATAAATTCCTATACATCTGTAGACCCCGAGGACTGCATCACACTTAGCTTGAGGTCCCTAATGAGTCCCTTGATGCAGATGGGAGAGAATTTCCCTCATGAGGGGTTTGGATAACATTTCTCTTTGGTCTGGTGACACCCATTTCCCTTCTGAATTTTCTTTGGCTCCTATTTTTATTAATTTTTCCTTTTCAGCGGGAGAAAAGATGGGGACTGCAGTCGAGGGAGGAAGGCAAGGGGCTAAGTGAAAAACAGGCATTTTCAGAGGAAACGGCAGTGTGTTTGGCTATTTGATCTGCTAGGTTATTCCTTCCGCTTTGAAAAGAAAGACTTTTCTGATGTCCTGGAACATGGACAATAGCTATTCTGGCAGCTGCAGGTTATCTAATACTTGGGTGATTAATTCTTTGTGGCCCAGGTCTTGGCCTTTGCTATTAATAAGATCTCGTTCAGTCCAAATTTTTCCAAAGGTGTGAGCTACCCCAAAGGCATACTTGGAATCAGTATAAATAGTCCGTTCTTGGTTTTGCAAGTGCTTTAAGGCTTGATTTAATGCAAACAATTCATTCACATGTTTGGGCAGACCAATTATTTGGCAGGCTTCCTGACTCTACTTCTTCAAGTGCCTCCCCATCTACTACTGAGTACCTATTACGCCTTTTTCCTTCAATTACTTGGGAAGAGCCATCTATAAAGAAGCCCTGCCCCGTTTTGTAAGGGGTCTCTCTTAAATCAGGCCTAACTTTTGTATGATCATTAAATCTAAACACTCATGCTCAGGTCTCTTTAGATTTGGATCTCCAGTCAGGAAACCTCTGGGTTAAGTGAATTATCAGTGGTTAGTGTTAAATCATCTCTTTCTAACAGGATAGCTTCATACTTTAAAATTCTCAAGTCAGTAAGCCACCTTCCTGCCTTTTAATTTAAGATGGCTCTAACCTGATGGGGCATGTTTACAACTAACTTTCCCCCAAAGGTTAGTTTTCTGCTTTCTTTAGTTAACAAGGCGGTAGCTGCAATGGATTGAAACATTCAGGCCATCCACAGGTTACTGGATCTAAAACTTTTGGATAGGAGATCCATGGGTTGCTGGTGACCTCCGTGTTCTTGGGTAAGGACCCCTAAAGCTACCCCCTTATTTATGTTAACAGAAAGGTGAAATGGCTTTTCTAGGGAAGGCAAAGCTAAAACAGAGGCAGTTATAAGCAGATGTTTTAGCTCCTCAACCTGGTGGAGTTCTTCAGAAGTCCAGAGGAGAGGGTCAGGCTTTTCTTGGGTGATTTTTAGGTAGAGAGGCTTTATGACAAGGGCATATGAGTCAATCCATAAGCGGCAATATCCAGCTATCCCTAGGAATTTTCTGAGTTCTTGTTTAGTCTTAAGCAAAGGTATGGATACAATCCTTTCAACCCTCTCAGGCCCTATCCTTCGTTTGCCGTTACTTATTAAGTGTCCTAGGTATTTAACTTCAGGCTCTATGAATCGAAGCTTTCTCTTTGAAACCCATAGCCCCTCTCCTTACAAATGGTTAAGGATATGGACGGAGAAAGCAGATACCTTTTCTATAGCCTAACCGGATATTAATAAGTCATCTACGTACTGGAGCAGACATATACATTTTGGGGTATAAACTTGTTCTAACACTTGTTCTAGAATTTGACCAAAGAGATTAGGGGAATCTGTGAAGCCCTGGGGTAGAACTGTCTATCGATACTGTTGCTGTCATCCAGAATGGGGATCTTCCCATTCGAAAGCAAAAATGTCTCAGCTGTCCTCATCCAAGGAGCATGCTCAAAAGGCATCTTTTAAACCTATTACTGTAAACCATTGATGTTCATATGGAATTTTACTGAGAATGGTTTAAGGATTAGGGACAACAGGATGGGTAGTCTAGACTGTCTGGTTGATGGCCCAGAGGTCTTATGCTAGTCGACATGACCTATCTGGTTTCTTCACAGGCAGTATTGGGGTGTTATAAGGGGACATACAGGGTTCAAGGAGCCCATCCTTGATGAGGCTTTCAATTACAGGTTTCAGGCCTATTCTGCCTTCTAAAGGAATAGGATATTGCTTTCTTCTTACTATTTCTCCAGGGGTTTTTAACTTTATATGTATAGGGGGAATTTGGAGTTTTCCCCAATTTCCTTCCCTTGCCCAAACATCAGGATGAATGTATGTTTCTTCTGCAGTGGTGAGCAGGTTTAATGAAGTGTAGAATCCTTCTGAGCCAATACGTAAACCTATACCTAATTTTAACATTAAGTTTCTTCCTAATAGATTAGTTCCTGCCTCTGAAATTAACAAAAATTCAACATTAGCTGAGCAGTTTTTACATCTAATTTCTGTTTCTTTTAAAATTTTTAGTTTGATTCCCTCTCCTTTTACCCCTGAGACTACAAGCTCCTCTGAGGACCAGGTTATATTGTGGGGGAAGGTAACAAACAGAGGAGCAGGCTGCTCCTGAGTCTACTAAAAAGGTCATAAGCTCGGATTTGGGTTCCACTTCTAAATTTATCAAGGGCTCTTGGTGGGATTCAAGGTAAAAGAGACAGAGCCCCTAACCCCCCTATTCCTCCTCAAAGGTCGTAAGTGGGACGACTTCTCTTTCTGATTTTAATTTGGGACAATACCTCTTGAAGTGGCCTACTTTCTCACAATTGAAGCATTGATTCTGTCTCTTCTCTCTATTTTTGGGTTTCTCGGCTTTGTCTCCTTATGTTCTTTATATGGCTTAGGAAGTGGGGGCCTAGGATCTTTATAGGTTTTGGCTCTCGGGAGGCTTTGTTTGGGAGTGTGTGGGTCTCTGGGTAACAGAGAGTAATACTGGTGTGTTTTATCCTTTGGGGCCCCCTGTTGGAAGGTGGATAACATAATTTTCATTTTTTCTTTTTGCTTCTCCTCATCCCTCCTTACACACACTTTCTGAGCTTCTCTAAGAAGCTCGTTCGTGGGATGGTCCTTCCAATTTCCTATCTTTTGTAATTTCCTTGTGATATCTGGCTGTTAGTAACAAAATGAAGCTTTAACATTCACTGCCTAAGAGGATCTTCTAAATCTAGGCCAGCATATTTTCTCATTTGTTCTTTCAACCTGTCTAAAAGTTCGATAGGCCCTTCATCTTTCCTTTGTTGTATGTCGAATGCTCGAGTAAGATTTTGGGTTCGGAGTACTGACTCCCGAATCCCTTTTATTATCATTTCCCTAAGTTCTTGCGTATCCTCTTCAGTGGGCTGCGTTATTATTGTCCCAGCAGGGGTCTTGGTTGGGGAATTTTTGATCCGCTGCATGAATGTTTTGGCCAGGAGGGTGTTCATGTTCCCAGGCTACCATAGCAGCTCTACAGATGATGCTTCTTTCTTCCCCTGAGAAAAGGATGCCTAGGATGGACATTAACTCAGCCCAAGTATATATAACTGTGGTCCTAGAAATTGGTTAATTCGATCTGCTATTCCACTGGAGTTGTCTAATAGTGTGGCTTGAACTCTGTTTTTAGGTTTTGGACCTCCGAGCTGGTTAAAGGAGCATTTACAAAGTGAATACCTCCTCCTCGTAGGGACACCTCTCTTCAGGGGAAGAGAGGTGGAGCTAATTCTCCCGAGGTAGAGGGGAAGGGGAAGTTCTGAATATCCCTTTTACATTGCTCTATCTCACACTGAAGTCCTTTCAGGGAAGAGTACTTAGGGTGATAGTGAGCAGGCTGTTGGGACAATTCCCAAGAGGCAGGGTTATAAAGAGGGGGAACAATGTGGGTAGGAGAAGGGTCTGGGACAACTGCTTCTGCTTGAGGGGGAAGGAGGTTAGGGATATTGGACGGGGGAAGGTGGTGGAGGAAGTTCCATGTGTTGGTGAGCTGTCTAGGAACAGGGACCTTATCTTTCTCAGAGGAGTTAATTTCTGACTTGCTTTTCAGGATTGATTCCTGAGTCCAAATGAAACAACAATATTTTATCATTTGCTGCTTTTTCTTGTATTTAGTCCTTTCACTCTCTTTTCAATATTTTAGCATAAGCCCTAGGGGACTATCAGGAGGAATGTTATTGTTGCTAGCTTTATCCTTTTTCTCCCCTGCATTACTTGAGGTATTTCCCATCTTGAAAAGGGATTGGGGTGAGGCTCAATTTCCCCTACTAGAAATTTCTTCCCAGTTACGAGAGGTTTGTATAAGGCTCAACCTCTCCTACTGGAGATTTCTCACCTTTCCTTTCCTTCCCTTCCCTTCCCTTCCCTTCCCTTCCCTTCCCTTCCCTTCCCTTCCCTTTCCCTTCTCTTTCCCTTCCCTTTCCCTTCCCTTTCCCTTTCCTTTCCTTTCCCTTTCCTTTCCTTTCCCTTTCCTTTCCTTTCCTTTCCCTTTCCTTTCCTTTCCCTTTCCCTTTCCCTTTCCTTTCCCTTTCCTTTCCGAGGCTCAACCCCCCTGCTGGAGGTTTCTTGCACTTTTCTCCTTTCGCTTCATCCTTCTCTGGCTGCTTCCCTCACGGGAACGTTGGTTTCCTCTTAGCAATGGCTGTTTCAGTAGAAACCCCTGACCCAGACTCCTTTACAGAAGGGCTACCTTAAGCTGTATAAGGTGACCACAGAACTGCAGATCTGGACTGAACACTTGCTTTGCACTCAATTGTGAGTCTCAACACACACTTTCAATCTCCAAGATATCCCAACCACCAAGAAAATACTTTGTCGCTCTTGTGATGTTTCTTACGTTGGTCTGTGCACATAGTTACCTGGTCACCATGGTATGTGAGGATCCTTTTCTCTTAAGTTGTTGGTCTGTTCCTTTCCAGACTGCTGAGAGTCCGGGTTTATTCATCACACTGGGTGGGTCCTGATCCCTCACCATGAGGCCACCTCAATGAGGCAGTGGGATGCTTCTCCTCACTATTGGTGACTGGAGACCCTTTTCTCAGAGGAGAATGGGAATTCCGGACGAGCCCCCAGATTGTTAGAAACAAATGATCAGGCTGGGCGCAGTGGCTCGCCCCTGTAATCCCAGCACTTTGGGAGGCCGAGGTGGGCGGATCATGAAGTCAGGAGATCGAGACCATCCTGGCTAACATGGTGAAATGCCGTCTCTACTAAAAAAAAAAAAATACAAAAAAATTAGCTGGGCGCAGTGGTGGGTGCCTGTAGTCCCAGCTACTCAGGAGGCTGAGGCAGGAGAATGGCGTGAACCTGGGAGGTGGAGCTTGCAGTGAGCTGAGATCAAGCCACTGTGCTCCACCCTGGGCAACAGAGCGAAACTCTGTCTCAAAAAAAAAAAAAAAAAGAAAGAAAAAAGAAACAAATGATCAGTGCTGCAAGGAAGAACCAGCACTCAGGAAAAAAAGTTTTCTCAGCAAGACAACTTACTTCTGCAAAAGACTGCTGTTTGCATTAGTCACGAATGCAAGAGCACACCGAGCGGGATAGAGCAGGAGTTTATATCCCTAACGCAGTCCCTACCTCTCTGTCATTCCCACATGGGCTGGAGTCGGACTACACAATCTAAGCAGACTTGATTTGCTATCGCGAATATTCTCCCTAATAAGGAAGGGAGAGGGAATGTGAGTTACAGGTTGGGACTGATGGGAAGAGTTGTTTACAAGGCAGGTAACTGAGCAGATAACTAAGCAGGTAAATAGGGGTGAGAAGGTACAGGGAAATTGTTCTTAGGAACAAAGAACAAGGAAGTTGAACAGGTTAAACCTTTGAAGAGGAACTTACTGTACCTAATAAGTTTTTTTGATTGGCTAATTAAATGTCTATTCATTATTGCCAAAAAGTGCCTACCCCAACAACAAGATACCAAATTTTAGAAAATGTTGGAGCTCTCTCTGAATCTAGGAGGAAGTGAGTAGTTTAGCTTTTATTTAGTAGTTAGGACCTTAAGTAAATCACTTTTTTTACTGTGTTTCTGTATAACATAGATAATATTTTTTGCCCTGCAAGAGAGCATATAGAGGAAAGCTCTTTGGCAGCGATACTGTGCCCTATGAATAAAAAAGTGATGGTGTCATTTGTGGCTGAATAACAGTTTATTTTGAGAATGCTTTATAACAGCTTTTCATGGGAAATAAAGCAATGCTGTTAACTTCATCTTGCATTTTTCTCATTTTTACTATGATTAAAAAGTAGTCAGCTTGTACAAAGGAAAGAAACAAGCCTTGACTCAGGAGCCTAGGACTTTTTCTTTGGTTTGCCCTCCTGGAACAGATTACCTTTCCAAATTGAATTTGTGGAGGAGCATTGGGAAATATCAGAAATGTCATATTAAGCACCTCAGTGGTACTTTTAATAGAGGAGTTATTCAGAAATTATACTAGGCAGATAGAGAGGGTAAGGAGGCCTCAGTAAGGCTTTCCCTTTTAATAGAAACAACTCCAGAAACATTTCTTTTTCTTTTCTTTTTATCTTTTTTTTGGAGACGGAATCTCGCTCTGTCACCCAGGCTGGAGTGCAGTGGTGTGATCTCAGCTCACTGCAGCCTCTGCCTCCCAGGTTCAAGTGAATCTCCTGCCTCAGCCTCCTGAGTAGCTGGGACTACAGGCTGCCAAGCTTTGATATGCAAATGCCAGCGCTTAGAAACTGTGTCCATTCAACATGGAGATTCCCACCCTCTTCTTCTAGTCACCACCTCAAGGTGACACCTCCAGATGACCCCATGTGTGCAGGACAACATGGTGACCTACATTTGCATATTAAAAGGCTAGGGTGGGAGGGCCACGTTTTTCTCGGGCTACATGAATGACCTGCCTGGTCAAACCAATGCCCTGGGCCCTGTGCAAATCAGACACCACCTCCTCCAGCCTCCCAATATAACCGAGTACTGTTCTGCCACACACGGGGCTTTTTCTCTGTTCAGACCCCCTTTTTCTGTACCGCAGGGAGCCTTTCTTCTTTCTTGTCTATTAAACTTTCTGCTCCTTAAAACCACTCCTGTGTGTCCATGTCGTTTAACTGGCGTGAGACAAAGGACCCCGATGTTTCTCCCGTTTTCAGAGCCATATCACTTTGAGTCCAGAGGAATTATTTTCATTTATCTGACCAATTTATAATATAGGGTCAAATTCCTAGTGGTTATCCTCCCTCATCCCCATTTTTATACCCTTCCTTGAAAGGAACAGGTATATGAAGAGGAGACAGGTTTCCCTTTTGTGAATAGTATATCCCTTAGTATCTTGATTTTTTTTTGGTGGGGGTGGGGGGAGTTAAACTTACTTAGACCTGGTAAAGGGCAGTATTTGATAAATGTCAGCTAGTTCAGGGTTAGGGAATTGAGTTGAATGGAGATAGTCACTGCCAAATGTAAAGCATGACTGGAGAGCCACAGTGATGAAGCCAGGGTCCCTTTCTCCAGATCCTTTGTAACAGTGTTATGTGATCTCTTCTAGAAGATTGTTCTGAAAGATAATGCCAACTCGGAACCTAGGAAACCATCCAGTGGGTTTCTGCAGCTTAGGTGGTTCAAATCCTCATCAGCACGTTTGTTTTCTCTGCCTCAGTTTGCTTACAGTGATGTTCTCAGTAGCTGTAATTGCTGTCTTTGAATACTTAAGCATTTTTTTTTTAGCTCACAGGGGTATGTGTGCATTTTTCTTTTACCAAGTGTTAGAACTTTGACTCTGCTTTTGTGGGCTCTGGTTTAGCAACTTGGTTGTTTAGTTTAAAATGATTAGTAGGGAAAACCGTGTGTGTGTGTGTGTGTGTGTGTGTGTGTGTGTATTTTAAGTTTCTTTTGTTCTCAGAGCACTTAGAATTTTATATGGAAATTCTATCAGTTTACTTGATTCTCCACCCCACATTTCTTAAACAGCAAAGTATGAAGGTAATGTGTCCCGTAACCAGCCTTCAGAATAATTACAGCTGCTGTGTCTCTGAACTTTCAAGAAGTTTGTGCATCAATTTTCAAAAAATTATGAAATCCTTGAAGATAGCTGTGTTCTACATTTGGAAAGATACAAAAACTGAACCTTCTAGCAGGCAGTTTTGCTTGCTGGTGCTTGCGATAGAGCCACACATTGGTCTCAGTGGATTTATGGAGAAAAATAGGTACGGAAAGTTATTTCTAAATAAGACCAAAAATCCTTTTCTTAAGCAGTGACAGGTAAAGAGGTTGTCTTGGCTAATATTGAATTGTGTTGCCCTTGATTGAGACAGTTTTATGGTGGGGATGGTAGTGGTGATAAACTTGTTTGAAATTTGTCCACCTATAGTAACCTTTGTGGTAGCTGTCACAGACAGCTTCATCCTCACAGGCCCTAAAATTACTATAAAACTAATAGATTGGAGGAGAAACAAAGGACCTGAATAATTAGATGCTTAGATAATTGTTCTGTGTTTTCATAACAAGTGAAAAAGAGCAGTGTTAGAAGTACTTAAACTTTCCATGTAAGGAGCACTGCCTGAATTTATATTGTGATTTTAGAGCATCATTCACTGTTTAAAAACAGGCATATTGTGGGTCATATTTTAAAGACAAACAGAAAGCTTATCTTTTCAAGATGGATCTAAAGCTTAACCTTATCAAAATTACAAAATGTGAAGGATATGATTGAAAAATATTAATGCATAGGTTTAAATATTGGTCATCATTTTAGATGTCTTTCAAAATAGGTTGTCTCTTAAATATTAAACTGAACAAACATTGAACTTGTTGTAGAGTTTGTGCTCAAGGTTAAGTTTCCTGGGGTGATGGATATTTGATAATATGGATAACAAAAAGTTCTTAAGAAATTTAGAAAATTTTTAGGCAAAACTAGAAAATAATACTGATAATTCTACCACTCAGAATGTACCACTATCAGAATTTTGTATCTTTCAGTCATCTGCTCATCTCTTTTCTCCTTTGCTTGTATGTGTTCCCTCTCCCTTAAAAAATCAGATTTTTTTTTTGTAATCTGCATTTTCACTCAATATTGTAGATCTGTGTCATAAGTTACTCCTCTACAGTGCCTTCAGTTATTGTGTGCTTTGTGTTGGATGACTGTACCATCTAGTCTTTCGTGTTTCCTGGTACTGACTACATAGGGGTGAGTGTGTGTGTGTGTGTGTGTGTGTGTGTGTGTGTATTTTTTTTCTACCTTAACTAATGCTTTGGACATCATCAACAGGTAGAGCTAAATCCTTGAAACCTTCCAAGTGGTGGCTTTCAGTTATTGCTGAATTGGTTTTTAGAGATGGAACAAATTATATTGTATGGAAACTTTTTTTTTTTTTTTTTTTTTTGAGACAAAGTCTCAGCTTGTCACCCAGGCTGGAGGGCAATGGCATGATCTTGGCTCACTAAAACCTCCACCTCCCAGGTTCAAGTGATCCTCTTGCCTCAGCCTCCCGAGTAGTTGGGATTACAGGGGCCTGCCACCATGCCCGGCTAATGTTTGTGTTTTTACTAGAGATGGGGTTTCATCATGTTGGCCAGGCTTGTCTCGAACTCCTGACCTCAGGTGATCCACTCACCTTGGTCTCCCAAAGTACTGGGATTACAGGCATGAGCCACCATACCCAGCCTTTTTTTCTTCTAGGTACCAGCTTTTATTTATCAGATTGGTATAAATGTTAGAAAGCGTGCAATGAAATGGGCATTTTCACAGTCGTGGCAGAAAGTATAATTATCTTTGACTTTCTAGAAAGCAGTCTGGCATTCTAGAAACTTGCCTAACCTCTTCCCATTTAGACAAGATGAATTCTGACAGGGCCAGCCTTGTCCCTGTGATTCCGTATCTCCCAGAAAGAGAGGTCTAGTCTCAGGGAAAACCCAGATTTTCTTGGCTTAGCCCACCTGACAGCTAATCACTGGAAATGGGGCGGGCCGGTAGAGTCCTTTGGTCAGGTTTTGTGTCAAGAGAGGGATGTGGAAAGATGGGAGAGAGGTAGCAAAACTGGCCTCAATGGAACTGTGTAAGTTAACATAGAATGGCAAAGGAATGTTTCTTCCAAGGAAGAAATTCTAGGGAAGGAATAAAGTAGAGGGGAAGGCAGCAGTTCTCAAAGTTTTGGGGTCAGGATTCCTTTACACTCTTAAAAGTATATTGAGGGCCCAAGGAGCTTTTGTGTATGTGGGTTATATCTATTGGTATTTATCACTAGAAATTAAATCAGAAATACTTAAAATATTCCTTAAAAGCTCACAAAATATTGTTATAAATGCTTTTATGATAAGAAAATTTCTAAACCCAAGGTAGTACAGTCTTACATCTTTTGCAAATTTCTTTGATGTTTGATATGTCATTTGTACCTGCATTCAATTTATTGTGTGATATTTGCTTGAAAAAATGTGAACAAAGGACAGTCTCATACAGATAGGCATTTCAGATCATTGTGGATATTTCTTTTTTCTTTCTTTCTTTCTTTTTTTTTTTTTTTTGAGATGGGGTCTTTCTCTGTCTCCCAGGCTGGAATGCAGTGCTATGATCACGGCTCACTGGAGCCTCATTCTCTGGGGACTCAGGTGATCCTCCCACCTCAGCCTCTAGAGTAGCTGGGACTACAGGTGTGTACTACCCCACCTTGCTAATTTTTTGTATTTTTTGTAGAGATAGGGTTTTGCCATAGGTATTCAAATAGAAAGTTTTGTTTTTGTTTTAGTATATAAAGAAATATAACTTTCCATGTTGGAAAAATTTTTAAAACCTTTTTTTAATTTTAAAACTCATAAGCAACCATTGTTGAGAAAATTGGTAAAGTACAGAAAAGATAAAAGAAAAAAATTAAAGTCTCCCATAATTTCTCTATCTAATATAACCACTATTGACTGTTGACATGATGGTCATTTTCTACCAGTATATATTTTTTCTTTGCTATTAAAATACATAACCCTTACACATATGCTTAATAGTTGAGGTCATATTCTCTATAGTTTTATATATATATATATATATATATATTTTTTTTTTTTTTTTTTTTTTGAGACAGAGTCTTGCTCTGTCACCCAGGCTGGAGTGCAGTGCCGTGGTCTCGGCTCACTGCAAGCTCCACCTCCTGGGTTCCCACCATTCTCCTGCCTCAGCCTCCCCAGTAGCTGGGACTACAGGCGCCCGCCACCATTCCCGGCTAATTTTTTGTATTTTTTAGTAGAGATGGGGTTCCACCGTGTTAGCCAGGATGGTCTCGATCTCCTGACCTCATGGTCTGCCCACCTTGGCCTCCCAAAGTGCTGGGATTACAGGCGTGAGCCACTGTGCCTGGCCCTTTTATATTCTTTTAAAAAGTATTTACTGTATTTTCCTGTGATGTCATAGTCTTTATAGAAAAATAATCATTATTTTCAGTTGACATGATTGTTTACCTAAAAATATCCAAAGGAACCAACTGAGAAAAAACAATTTTTAAGATTACTGGTTAAAAGTTCTTTTATATAAAAATCAATAGCCTTCCCCAATGTTAGCTATAATCACATAGAAGATATAGTGATGAAGTATTTTTTCAGGTATTTCAGCAAAAATTAAATGCCTAGGAATAAACTTAGATGTGCAGGACTTTTATCAAGGACAGGACAAAATTTTGCTGAGTGGAATGAAAGATTTGCATTCTATGTTCCTGGATGAGCAGATTTCATGTTATAAATATGTTAGTTATCACCATGTCTTCATATTAATTTGTAAATGTAATTTCTGCTGGGCACAGTGGCTCATACCTGTAATCCAAACAGTTTGGGAAGCTGAGGCGGGTAGATGACAATTAGCTGGGTGTCTGTGGCACACACTTGTATTTCCAACTACTTCTGAGGCTGAGGTGGGAGGAGCACTTGAGCCTGGGAGGCAGAGGTTGCAGTGAGCCGAGATCATGCCTCTGAACTCCAGCCTAGGTGACAGAGTGAGACCCTGTCTCAAAAAAAAAAAAAAAAAAAAAAACTAGAAAAGTGTGTGTGTATATATATATATTTCATATTTTATAAATATTTATATATATAAATTGTATATATACATTTTATATTTTATATATAGTGTGTGTGTATTATATATATATACACACACACACAAATTTCAGTACAAATTCTGGCAGATTTATTTTTGACACTTGACAAAACGACTCTAAAATTTGTTTAGAAGAATAAGTAATAAAAAGTAATAAAGTATAGACTCTTTCAACCAGATAGTAAATAAAATATTGTGGACTATCCCTGGGCCAGACAGATAAAGGCAATGGAAGTTTAGAACCAGAGTCATGCAAACGAGAATTTAGTATAAGGAAAAGGTGGTATTTTAACTTAATACTGAAAAGATAGATTATTCTGTAAATGGTTTTAGGAGAACTATTTGAGGAAGTCTGAGTCTTAACTCCAATTTTTGTCAAAATAAGTTAGTTGGTTTAAACACATCTATTCTTAAAAATTAGAACAGAAGAATATTGGTTTGAAGATATTTTAAGAGTTAAGGCTGAGGCTGGGCACAGTGGTTCACGCCTGTAATCCCAGCACTTTGCGAGGCCAAGGTGGGAGGATTGCTTGAGCCCAGGAGTTTGAGATCAGCCTGGGCAACATAGCAAGACTCTTTCTCTCTCTCTCTCTCTCGATATAGATATACATATAAATATACGTATACAAATAGAAAAAAAAAAGAGTTAAGTTTTATATGGAGAGCCATGAAGATAAGAGGTAAAAATTAAAGGCTTGATGGACACATGTTTACATCTCCATCAAGGGGGTTGATGGGAAAGAATGATAGACATAGCTCCATTACTGCTACCTCCTTTTAGGAAGTTGCTTCTGAACATCTAAAGATATCAGTTTTATAATAGAAATGAGTTATTTTTCAGTGTCTAAAACACCACATGAGATACATACATACATGCATACATACATAAATATGTTCATAAAGTTAAATGAAATAGGATATAAAATTGGGCCTAGTGTTTAAAAGGTAAATATATTTACATGAAGGAGAAAACAACTCACCTCCCACTCTTAGAGCCTCTGCCAGTTTATCATAGCCTAGTTTCTTGAGAGAATAAGCTACATGTCTTCACCTTTTTTCACTGAGCTCATTATACTCTGGATTCTGCCTTCATCGTTGCACTAAAATTTATCTCCTAGTTGTCAAATCCAGTGGCTCCCCTCTTAGTCCCCAAATTGTCCCCTCTGCAGTATTTTGATACTGTTGATTGTTCCTTTGTTGAAACATTCCTCCATTCTTAATGTCCACCAATAAAGAGTTGGTTAAATAAAAATTATAGTGTACCGTTTTATAATATTCTGTTGTTCTGTTGTGGACCAAAAAATGCAGCCAGTCTTTCCATAAGAGCACGTGCAAACTTCTAAGATATATTAAGTAAAAAAGTAAGGCATAAAATATTGTGTATAATCTGACCCCTTTAGTACACAGTGTAAAAACATCTGTGTCTGTGCTTCTTTATACTTACTTTTTTCTCCCCTGGTGAATACAGGAAACTGTGAGTAGTACAACACAATTAAAAAAAAAAAAACTGTGTGTCTGCTGCACCAGGACCTGTGATAATTGGGTATAAAAGACAAAAAAGACATGTCCCTGTCCTCTGGGAAGGGACATGATAATCAAATGAGACTTCTGTCGGATTCTTTTCTCCTGTTTTGATCTTATCACCCTTTCTTGGTCTCCTCCGATCTCTTCTTCCTTGTCCTACTTCTTCTCTTCTCATTCTGTGCTTTCTCTGAGTAATCTTTGACTCCCATTACTTAAGTCATGACCTGTGTTCCAGGGACTCCTAAATTTGTATTCATCTCCAGAGTTTCAAACCCATATATCTGTCTGTATATCATATATTTAGGGAATCTCACTTGGAGTGACATGGGTGTTCAAAATGATGATATTTAAATTTTCACGTATCCATCTCCTAGCACTCTATCTAGTCACATATGCCTAAACCTGGGAACTGTCTTAATATTCTTTTATATACACCTGTTCTGACCTCCCCCCCAAACTAGTAAATTTCTAAGACCTGTCCTTCTGAATGTCTCTTACAATTTTCCCTGTGATCTCAGTTTCTTCCTCCCATCCCTCAAATGCTTTGTGTGTGTGTGTGTGTGTGGTGGGGGAAGAGAGTAAAATTGAAATTTGTGGAAAACGTACTAGCCTGTCTGTCTGTCTTTCGAGGTGAAGTCTCCCTCTTGTCCCCCTGGCTGGAGTGCAATGGCACAATCTTGGCTTACTGCAACTTCCATCTCCTGGGTTCAAGCAATTCTCCTGCCTCAGCCTCCTGAGTAGCTGGGATTACAGGCACCTGCCACCATGCCCAGCTAATTTTTGTGTTTTTAGTAGAGATGGGGTTTCATCATGTTGGCCAGGCTGGTCTCGAACTCCTGACCTCAGGTGATCCACCCGCCTTGGCCTCCCAAATTGCTGGGATTACAGGTGTGAGCCACCATGCCTGGCCACTACCCTGTCTTGTTGCTTGGTATGACTCCACTACCCTGCTGCCTCTCTCCCCGTACAGCAGCATAATTTAGGAATCAGAGAGACTGAGGAGGATATATATTATTTAGGTGCACCGGCCCAGTCAGATTAACATCTAAAGGACTGAGCCCTGAACAAAGAGTCAGGTTACCTTTTAAGCATTTTGTGTCGGTCATTATGCCGACAAGGTGTCCGCACTAAGTTCAGTATCAGTATGGTGACCTCCTGGGAACAGGTCATCGGCTTGCCTAAGGATGGGAGAACTGGCCCAGGTCAGAAAGGGAGCAGGTCAGAATTCCTGCACCAATCGGTAGTGGGACTGTGCCTGGGCAATATAGCAAGATCTTGGTTCTTAAAATTCAAAATAAAGAACAGCTCATTCCCCTCTGGGGAGGGGCTGGCTCAAGGTTACACAGTGAGTGTGGGGGCAGAGGCGGGCCCACTGTACCTCCCTTGTTGGGTTGTCTGAGGACCCCTCTGGCCACCCCCCACAGGAGATGGAGGAGGACATCTGGACAGTGAGCAGGAGGCGCTTCGGCCCATGCCGAACATCCCAGGGGACCTGGAGAGCCGGGAGGCCATGGTGAGCCTGACTTTCCCTGCCCCTACTTTGCCACCTTCCTCTGTGGTCCCTCCGAAACCCCCTTATGTTCTTGGTTTCCCCGCCTTCTGACTTCTGTGGACTTTCTCTGCTTCTGGGAGCCAGTGGTCAGACACCATTTCACCTGTGACCAACAGGTGCACTCTGTGAGGCCCGAAATGAAGGGGCTATGCTCCATCTGCCTGCCCCAGTTGTTATGTGTATACCCCTACAAGAATACTCACCTCTTGTCTTCAGGTGGCATTTTTCAACTCCGCTGGAGCCAATGCCCAGGAGGAACAAAGGGTGTGCTGCCAGCCCCTGGCTCACCCAGTGGCCTCGTCCCAGAAAAAGCCAGAGGTAGCGGCCCCAGCCCCAGAGAGTGGGGGTGAGTCTGTGTTTGGGGAGACCCACCGGGCCCTGCAGGGGGCCATGGAGAAGCTGCAGGTGAGTAGGTCCTGGCATGGGCCAACAAGGGGGGCGGGGGGGCAGGACAAGGCAGGTGACTCCTGACATGTGACCCCATTATTTTGGCTCCACAGCGACTTTATGGAAGGAGAAGGTGGACCTGAAGGAGCGGGTAGAGAAACTAGAGCTTCAATTCATCCACCTCTCAGGACAGACAGACACCATAGGGAGTGAGAGGCTAGGGCACCGCTGGGGGGAGCTGCCAGGCCGTCTGAGGGGCCCCAGCATCTGAGCCATGTCCTCCTGCAGGAAAGTACATCAGCCAGGGGGCAGTGTCAGAGACGCAGCACTGGGAGAGGAGGACATCGTCAGGCTGGCCCAGGACCAGGAGGAGATGAAGGTAGGGTGTGCAACATCTCGGTGGGGGAGGGTGGGGGTGGGTGTGAACGTGCGTGCTGGCACCGGCATGGCAGCTAACACCCCTTCCTCCAGGTGAACCTGCAGGAGCTGCGGGGCAGGTGTTGCAGCTTGTGGGAGACCACAAGGAGGGGCATGGCAAATTCTGACCATTGCCCAGAACCCTGCTGATGAGCCCACTCTAGGAGCCCCAATAGCCCAGGAGCTTGGGTGTGCTGACGAGCAGGGTGGTGAGTAGAGCCCTCAGGCGGGGTGGGCAGGCAGGAGCAGGGGAGGCTCACACTGTGCTCAGATTCCCACCCCCCCTCCCTCTCTCTGAAGATCTTTGTGAGGTGAGCCTCACTGATAGCGTGGAGGCTGCACCAGGAGAGGACAGGGAGGGTTCTCCCCACGACAACCCCACTGCACAGCAGATCCAGCAGCTGCTTCCTGTAATGCAGGACTCCCCAGGAGCACCCAGGCATGGGCAGCAACCCCTGCATGCCATTCTTTTTGGGCTCCCAAGAACAGGGAGATAAACACCACCATCATCTGAGAGCCGGGAAGGGGAAGGCGTAGGTGTGGGCGTGGCAAGGTTCCTGGAAAAGAGGGGCTGGAAGGGAAAGGGGAGGAAGATGGAGGGAGAAGCTAGAGCTTCATAGGTAGTGCCTGGGGGCTGTGGCGGTCCTCCCCACCCCACACACACTGGCCTCTCTCATGGCACCCAGGCAGTCCACCCACAGTTCAGACCAATGCTCAACTCCCCCGGCTTCCCTCTTCTGTGGTCACCCCATCTTCCAACCCACTGGCCCAGGGCCACCTCTTGCTTGGGGAGCCCCACCCAACAGCCACCAAGCCTGACAGAAGGAACACTGCTTGAACCAAAATGGTGAAGCTGTAAGGGATGGCTGGCTGGAGTGAGCGCCAGAGGCCCCTCTCTGGGCAGTCAGAAAGCCCAGGGTCCACTGAAGGGACCCTGGGGAAGGCAGGGAGGGCAGGTAGCTAGATGCCACTGCCCATAGACTTATAAGTCTAAGAGGGGAACCTCAACTGGTTGGCGGGGGGCTGCAGGTTGCATAGGTGAGGCTGGGCCCTTCCTGCTGGGAAAAGCAGAAGAGGGAGACTCCGCGGCAGGAAAGGCAGGTGGGCTCGCTAGGCGGAGCTCAGCTGGGCCAGCAAGCACTGTGGTCTCCTTGGCTGAATAGCACAGGTGACCCCTAGGAGCAACAGGCCAAGGTCCGTGAGCCTGCTGGCTGGCAGTAGTGCTTCAGTAGTGCTGGCCAGGGACCCAGCCTTCAGTCACATGCTAGCAGCTGTGATGGTACCTGGGAGGGAGGGAAGGGGGCTGTGTGTCCTTGCATGGCCTATGAAGTGTGTTGTGGGATGACCGCGTGTATAGGACTCTCAGGCTTTTATCCTAGATCACCACTGGATTGCTGACAGATAGAGGACGTGGGACCGTGACTATCACCCCTAATCTGCAGTGGATTTGGCTCTCGGCACTCCCAGGCTGGGAGCTGGATACCTGCCCTGGCAGCATGACTCAGACTGCATGACAGGTACGGCGTGCCCAGGATGATGTGCCCAGGCCTCTGGCCGCCTGAGTCCAGCCCCCCACACAACCCCCTCCAAGCTCCCAGCCCCTACACCATAAACCATGAGCTCTGTGCCCTCTCTGATGGTTCCACATCTGCCACCTTCGGCATGGAGCCTGTTGTAAGAGCCCCCAGGCTCAGCCATGGAGACCTTGAGCAGTGGCACTGAGTCCTGTGGCTGGCAGGGAGGGAAGTGAGACAGCCAGCAGCACAAGGACAGAAAGAGGAAAGAGCAAGGCTGCAGCTCTAGAAGGGAGGGGCAGGCAGCCTGGCTCTGAGGCTCCAGGTATGCCCCCTGTGTGGAGCTGGGGCAGCGGGGCGGGCAGACCATTCATGCAGCAGGCAGTGAGGCATGTACCTACCATGGCTGATGCTCCTCAGGGGCCACTGATAGTGATTCTGAAAGACAGCATCAAATCACATGGCAGGTCCCATGCATGGGTGGGGCAGGCCTGGGGGTGGCGGACACACGCACACGCCAGATTGTGCACACACATGCTGTGAGGCCCCACGGCCCGCATGCACACTCTAACACATGCCCACAAACAACACGCATACGTCGCCCTCTCCGCCACCTCCCGGTGCCCAACACCCTCACCAGCCGGCACGTGCCGCATGGATCTGGGGCGTGCAGCCACTCGGCACACTGAAGCACATGCGTGGGCAGAGTCACAACACAGATGCTCACCCGCACACAGAGGCATTTGCACCAGCTCCCTGCACACTCGTGCCTGGCGTGCTCAGAGGACCACCCATCCTGCTCAGGGAGACAGGGCTTGCTCACTAATGTCCGGCTGTCATTTCTCCACCTAAGAGCCTTCCATGGCTCCCTACTGCCTACAGCGTTGAATCCCAACAAGTCATACTCTTTGGACTTTGAAGGTTCTCCACCCTGTGCCCCACCCTCCCCACAGAGCTCTTCCTCATTCTGTCTCTGTTCCCTGCTTTGGCCAGTGGCTATCCTCAATGTGACCCACACTACACCTCTGCCCACACTGCAGCTCTTTACCCAGTTACCCTCCAGTTCCTCACAACGTATGCCTATCTCAGTCATGCCCCGGACTGCATTGAAGCCAGGCTGCCTTGAAGAAGCTCTCCCAGACTGCCCTTTTCCCCAAGGCAGGGTCATGATTTGCCAAAGGTTTCGTGTGTGTGTTAGCAAGACTGGAGTCAGAGCAGGCATCAAACTTTACATCCCATATGTCACACCTCACCATAGACCTGGGTGCCAAATAGCCTGAAGAGTCTGAACTCACGTTGGCAGTTAGCAAAGTGCTCCTACAGCCGCATCTGCGGTTAACATAGCATCCCTATGGCCACTGTCTCCCTTGATCCCCACAGCCATCCTAGGAGAAAGGCAGAATGTCATAATTTGCTAAAAGGGATGCTGAGGCTCTGGGAGGGAAAGGGACTTGCCTAAAGCCCCAGGGTGAAGCAGCATCTCTGGACTCCCAGTCCAGTGATCTTGCCCAATACTTTGCTGCTTGCCTATACCCCTCTAACTTGGTCAACAGCACATCACAGGGCAAGCCCCAATCCCTGCTTCATTTTTATATATGGGCGCTGGTCCCACAGCCCCACTCTCCAGCCATTTGGAAACAAAAACAGATGCTATTGTTCTTCCTTAGAGAACGTGGCCAGTGGAGACGGCACACTGGAAATCAGAGTGAATGTTCTTGAAAGAGGGTCACGGGTCAACAAGGCCCAGCCAAAGGATGCAGTAGAACCATTTTCCTTAGAAATCTTTGGGAGTGAAGTAGGCTTCAGCCACTCCCATCCCTGCCCTCGCGGCTACCACTACCCCATTAGTTTAGACAGGGTCGGGCGGGGAGGGGTGTGGAGAAGAAATGAGCTTGCCTGTGGCCCCCAGGCTCCCTCTGTCCTAGCTCAGGTCTGGGTGCCATTCTTTACACTCGTGTGCTCGCTCACGCACACATCACACACCTTGCTGGTCACACAGTCACAGACTCGCCTCTGCTCCTGTGGTCCAGTGGCCGGACACCCCCTGGGATGGCTCAAAGGAGTCAGGACTTGGAAGTGGGGACATCAGGGTAGCTGAAGGAAATCCACACACCCAGAGCATCTCGGAGTTCAGACTCTCAGACCTGAAGTAGGCGCCCCCGGGACTGGGCTAGGAGTTGGACGGAATGGAGGATGGAGGACAGCGAGAAGAAAGGAAGAGAAATGCAACGTGTGGGCAGCCGCCAAGAGTGAAAATAGAGGGAAGTGTCATGCAAGTGCTGGACAGAAGGCGGCAGGTGGGACGAGCCCCACAGCCCCCTCCTCAAAAACGACCACCTCCAGGACTCAGTGATCCCTGGGGGGCAGGCTCTGCCAGCCCTCGGCCACACGTGGCTCCGGCACCCATGGTCCCAGTGCCTTGGATGGAGACGGCCAGTTCTGGCGGCCAGATGTGGTGCTCTGGAATCCAGTCCCATTTCCTTCCTGGCCACGCCTGTCCAGCGGCCTCTTCAGCCGCATTCAGCCCCTACTTACCTGGGGACCCCGGCTGGGGCACGAGAGCACCAGGGGGGTAGGGCCCAAAGGGATCAGGGGAAGCCTCTGGCCTGGAGGGTATGGGGCACGCTTCCCCAAGGGCGGACCCGGCAGGAGGAAGCCCAGGAGCTGGGTCCTGCCGCCCAGGAGCTGGGCCCTGCCACCCAGGCCGGGCTAGGGACATGGCAGGGCCTGGGCATCCTGACGCTGGACTTGGGCGACCTGGGAGGCACAGGGAGGGGAGAGATGGGCGACCCCGCCCCAGCGCAGTGCCGGCCACACCCCAAGGCGGTTGCCAGAGCTTAAGCCCCGCCCCCAGCAGCGAGAACATCCCAGCTCCACACACCCCCCCCCCCCCCGGCAGCCAGTGCTCCTTGTCAAGCTCCCCCCGTCACTCCAGGTGGGAGCCACCCCGGTGAGGGGGTGTGCCACTTGCCCCCAGGGCACTCCTCTGGGCATCCCGGGTGGGGGATTTTGGGGCCGTGGGGGGCAGTCTTTGGTACCTGTGTTCGTCAGGGATGCTCTGACAACCAGGTGTCGTCCACGGGCGGGGGCATGGGCATGGTGACAGTGGTCCTGTTGATGTCACCGATGATGCTGAGCGCCTCCTTCAGCGCGTGGTGCATGTGCAGCATCTCGTCATGCTGCTGTGCCTGCTCTGCCAACTCCTCCATCAGTGTGTTCTGGTTCCCACATGAGTACATATTGGCCAGCGGCTCCGAGATGATGAACTCCGGGGTCTGAGAGTGGGCAAACAGGGAAGAAGGTTGGGACCTGGTGCCTGTGCCGCCCTGGCTGCCTTGCTGGGCCCTTCTGGGACTGTGCGCTGGACTTGGAGCCCCTTGGAGTATGGCTTTTCACACGGGCTTCTATACCGCTTCGACTGGAAGATCCACCTCCCCACTGCCTTTTCTCACTCAGATGGGGACACCGAGGTCCAGAGGAAAAGACACCTGTCAAATGTCACAGATCTGGGAGGGGACTTAAGACTTATCATGCCAAGAGGACACCTGTCTACTCAGTTTTTTTTTGGTGGGGCGGGGGGCGGTGATAGGGTCTCGCTCTGTCACCAGGCTGGAGTACAGTGATGACTGCTCACTGCAGCCTCCACCTCCTGGGCTCAAAGTGATCCTCCAACGTCAGCCTCTCGAGTAGCTAGGACTACAGGCACATGCCACCACCAAGCCCAGCTATTTTTAAAATTTTTGTGTGGAGACAAGGTCTCACTATGTGGCCCAGGCTGGTCTCGAACTCCTGGGCTCAAGTGATCCTCCTGCCTCGGCCTCCAGGAGTGGGAGTTGGAGTTGATGCCTGGATACAGGAGCTCTGTGGGTGGGAGTGAGACAAAACACAGGGTCCTGAGCTCTGGGGACCAAGCAATGTCCTCTGGTGAAAAAAATCCTGGACTTGCTGGCAGAAGATTTGCCTCTTACTCGCCATGTGCTCTGAATACATTTACCTGCCCTCTGGGAGCTTCAGTTTTCTTATCTGAAAAATGAGGACACCTGACCCCTTCCCTGCCCAGTTCAGTGTTGTGGGACAGGGTTGCTGTCAAGACAATACCCAGTCCTGCCCTCCTCCCTGAGTGGGCCAGGTAGCCCATGTAGCCTCTTCCCAGCTTTCCTGGGTGGCACTGCCAGCCTGGTGCCCATTCAATCTAGTCCTTCATCTTGCTGGAGCATGGGGAAGCTCTGAGTAACATGGGACTATAGAGTGCAAGAGGGTTGCTGATGGTCTGGGTCCTGTGCCCTCCTCATTCCTGGGCATTCTTGACAAAGGCTCCCAGCAACTGAGGGTACGCAGCAGCTGTAGACACCAGCCTGATGAATATCTCATTGTGGGAAGGGCACCATAGCAGGAGTGGAGCTCCAGGGAAATACAGAACCGAGGTCTGGGAGGTGCTGATGTGAGAGGCCCAAGAAACCTCGGCTTTGCACTTGCTGAGTACCATCTGCACCTCTCAGGAGGGAGAGCGCCAGGCTCAGGAGGTCCTTGCCGAAGCAAGGGAGCTTGAAAAGGGGGCTGGGGTGGGCTCTGCCATTTTCAAGGGCTGACAGGGATCCCCTCTGGAGGTACTTGGGGCAGTGCTGTGTGCCGTGGCTCCTGAGTGACAGAGTCAGCTCTGCGCCCCACAAGACCGCTCCCTGCCGAGAACTCACTGTGATCATGTGCTGGGTCCAGATGCTCACGCAGCCTCCTGATGGGAGCATCAGGTGTGCTGCCTGCCCAGGGCGGCCCACAAGAGTCTGCCCTGCCCTGCCCTGCCCTGCTATGGAACAACTCCCATTCTGCCTTTGGGGAGAGGTGTTCATTTAAACCATGAGTGGGCTGGCCCCCGTGGCACAGTTACCACAGAGAGTCTGCCACTACCCATGGCTGAGAGCTCTAGTTCTTCTCTGAAGCCACCAGGACAGATGAACAGTGGCTTCCCCCTTTTGGCCGACTCAGCTGCCTTTCATCAGCTCATCTGCTCCTAGGATCCACTCTTCCTCTGGCTGGCACCTGATCTGAGCCCGAGGCTCACACCTCTGCCCACAGGCCCCAGCAGCTGCTTCACCTCCGACTCCATCCCCCACCAAGCACTGCCCCTCACCAGCTGCTGGGGTGCCACTAGTGCCCCTACATGGTTCTCCCTCTCCAGACCCTTGGGTCCAGCTCTAGCTTCCTTCGGGAAGCCACACCCCAAGACCCCAGCCCTGCTCTGGGGCCCTGTATCCCCGACTTCCTGCATTCTTCTCCCTCCTTCTGGGAACATGAACTTGCCCTGCCAGCCTGATGACTCCTAGAGGGCAGGACACCAGGTCCTGGACCATGGCAGGCCTGGGAGTGTCTGCTGCCGGTGATGCTGGAGCTGGTGCCCATGTCCACATGATGTCCATGGCACAGTGGCCACCTGAGGCTGGGCGCATCTGAGTGGTGGCTGCAGAGTGGGGCCCTTACCTCTGCCTGAGTGAAGTTCACCAGGTCCTCCCCTGTGCTGTCATGCTGGGCGTGGAAGAGCCGGCCTAGCTGGAGGCCCCGCACCACATGGTAGAGCAGGAGCTGGGGGTCGGTGCCTGCTGGCTCTGAGGCTCTGGCTGCTGAGTGGCTGGACGGACTCTGCCAGAGGCAAAAGGGGCCATCAGCCTTTGTGATCCAGGCCGAGGCCTGTGGCTGCAGAGAGGCAGTGTGACCCTGGCATGCCACCCTCAGCTCTGCCCCAGCCCCCCGCACCCAGGAACGCCCACAATCAGCACACCCACCTGGGCAGTCAGTGTCCGGCTGCCCTCCAGCGAGTGAAGCACTTGCTTCTGGGCCGTCACTCAGAAGCTAAGTGTCTGGAGGAAGTATGTTCACCGTCAGAGAGGCCAAAGTGGATGCCTCCGTCCAGGGCCCCTGGGGACAAGGGTGTTGGGTCCAGCTGGCCTGAACTGGCTCCCCACCTCAGGGTGCCCCCGTGGGCAGCAGAAACCTGGGGCTCGGCCCTCAGCACCCACCTCTGTGTGAGAACAGCACGAGCCCACCATCCAGCTGGGTCTGCTTGAAGCTGCGCACCTCAGTGCCCGGCACCGCCCACTGCACTACCCACCCATTGCTGGGCTGCTTAATGGTGTACACCAGGTCCTTGGGCCCAGAGTAACCATCCATGCTCCTCAGAGCCTCTGTAGGGATGGGCACGGTGGCCCCCTCCCACATCTGGGGACACAGGCCTGTGAAGGTTCTGCCCTGCCACACTTACCCACCCCTTCCTCCCCGGCCCTGGGCTGCCACCAGGGCTCCAACCCCACTGAGGCTCAGGCCCTCAGGTGGCATCAAGGCTGGCGCTGCTGTGGCTCCCCTGCACAAATGGCCTCCCTGCATTCACCTTCCCTGTCACCCCAGGGAAGGCCACCCTCCAGGCCCAGCATCCCTGCTCTTCATCTGTCCTAGTCCTGTGTGTCCCTCAAGACCAGCTTGTGTACCCAACCCAGGAAGGCCCTAGCTCTTACCGTCACCAAGTTCTCACCCCCAGAAACCCCCAGCGCTGACCAACAGTGCTCCTTAATCTAGCTCACTGGTGGGGCAGCAGTCTCCTTTCAGACCCTCCATGTGTGCCTGGCAGGGGCTGGGCACAGGTGGGAACAGTGATTTTAGAAACGAGCACTCCTTCCAGCTAAGGGAGGGGTGGGAGGCGCAGAGAGCTGAAGCCTGATGGTTGGCACTGTCCTGCAGCACAGAAGCAGTGCTGGGATGGGCCCAGGTGCTTCCAGAGCAGTTACGGGCCCTCCTCGTGTTGGGCAAAGGGGGCCCCTTTTCAGGCCTCCCACTAGCAAGCAGAACAGGCACCCGTTCCTGAGGTCCTGGTACCACTCTTGCTGGGTCAATTACTTGTGGGCAGTGCTGCAGTGGGACTCACATGCCCAGAAAACAGCCCTCTGGCATTCCTGGGCTTCCTCCCCTGGCCGCAGGGAGCCCTCAGGCCGAGCCTTGGCAAGAGGGGCCATACTGTGGGAGGCAGGGCCCCATCACTGGGCTCCCGGAACAAACACGGGTAGATGGCACCACCTGGTGGCCGCACTGCCACACAGCCATCCCAGCCTGTGGTTCCAGGGTGCTGTGTCCCACTCTTCTGTGGCGTCCGCACCATGAGGCCACCCCCTACAGGCACATCCTAGACCACCAAAGCCCCCCGGTGCCCCATGTCAGAGACAGCCCAAGTCAGCCCTCTTGCGGAACCTTCAGTGGCTTCTGCTGACTGGGGAGGACGCGCCCCAGAAGCTGGGGTTCAAAGCCCTGCCACGTGGGCTTAGTAAAGCCATGCCCTTTCTGTTCCACCAGAACTACTTTTGCAATCATGGAGAAGTTCCATCCCATCTCTGGGCCTCAACTTCCACCTTTGCCAAATGGGGGCCCTGCTCTGCTGTGGACAAGGGGCAGGAGTTTGGGAAGCCAAGCTGAGGCCTCCACTTGCTGGGGTGAAGGTGGGAAGCTTAACGGTCCCACCCTGACGCCAGCCCTTAAGGGCTTGTAAGTGATTCTTTCAGGTGTTCTGGTCCTAAGCCACAGGAGAAGGAACAGCAGAGCCACCCATGGCTGCTCAGAAGTCTGCCTACCGTACTTGCAAATGTCCAATAACAAAACCTCCCACCTGTGTTCTATTTCAGCACAATCTCACATCTCTCCTTCCAACAACTGCGTGAGGCACACAGTAGTGTCCTCATTTTGCAGAGGAGGAAACTGAGGCTCAGAGTGGGGGAGATCTGTGCCGGGAAGTAGGGGACATTGGCCTCTTTCTCAAAGCAGACATGGGGGGTGGTCCCAGGAATATGCTCACCTGCAGGCCTGAGTTTGTATGAGGTCGGGGGTTGGCCATTGACAGGCAGGATGGTGACAGTGAAGGCCACAGGATGGCTCTGGCGGTCCATCTCAGAGGCATTAGCCATCAGGACAAAACCGTCAGTGTCTTGCTCCCATCGTGCAGGTACTGGATCAGATGCTCTTCCACCTAGGGGCAGGCCCAGGGCTGGCAGTCAGGCCCCAGCAGTACCCTTCATGTTCTGCCTTTGGGTGCAGGAAGAGACTGACCCTTTTAGGGCCTCAGCTTCCATTGGTGGAAAATGGGGACCATAAGTTCTGGTTCCCAGAGGAGTTGTGAGGAAGAAAGGGGATATTTTATTTTATTTTGAGACAGAGTCTCTCGCTCTGTTGCCCAGGCTGGAGTGCAGTGGTGTGATCTCGGCTCACTGCAACCTCTGCCTCCCAGATTCAAGCGATTCTCCTGCCTCAGCCTCCTGAGTAGCTGGGACTACAGGTGCGGGCCACCACACCCGGCTAATTTTTTGTATTTTTAGTAGAAACAGGGTTTCACCGTGTTAGCCAGGATGGTCTTGATCTCCTGACCTCCTGATCTGCCCACCTCGGCCTCCCAAAGTCCTGGAATTACAGGCATGAGCCACAGCGCCCAGCCCGAGATACAGCATCTAAAGCATAGGTCTTTCTGAAATGTGACTCCCTGTCTCCTCTCTGTATAACCCCTGGACTGGGAGTCCCCGGGGCTCCCTCCACTCTGCCCCCAGAGCTGGGCTGCAGCCCCTGGGCCTCTCTCACAGCCGTACCTCTCTCCAGCAGAAGGTGCTGAGGGTCCTGGCTTGAGGCCCATCCTCCTTCTGCAGGGCCCCATGCCGGGGTGGCTCCAGCACCTGCAGGCCAAGGCCCGGGAGAGTGGGGAAGCAGGACCTGGCAACGCGGAGCAGTGGAGGGGCCAGGGTGCAGCTGCGACTGTGCCCCCTCTACTGCTGAAGTTTTGTGCCCCCAGTGGGGATGACAGCAGGCAGCACCTCCAGCTCCACGTGACGTCCTCAAGGGGAGCACCCAGGCCGAGGCCACATCCAGCGAGAAGGCATGCCTCAGGGCGGGAGTGCAGGTAGAGGATCCTGCCTGTGTCCACTGCCTCTTGGGAGAAGCTCTGCACGGGGTCCAGGCTGGGTGGCTCATCTGCCAAGATGCCACGCAGCACCATCACCAGGTAGCCGGCACTCGGTGGGCTCTTCACTGAGAAAACGATGTCTGCTGGCGGCACTGCCTCCTGGGCTACCTGGTTAACAGAGGTCATGAGGACTCACAAGGGAATGCAGAGGGGTCTCAGAGGGGCCCACTGTGGCCCTAAGCAGCCAGAACAGCCTTGATCTTGCTCCACTTATTTCCCCAGATACCACTGCTCATTTAGTGACACACACACATGTGGGTTCACACACACAGCAGCCAGACATGCAGCTGGTCACATTTTTTGTTTTTTTGAGACAGGGTCTCACTCTGTCACCCAGGCTGGAGTGCTGTGGTGTGATCACAGCTCCCTGCAGCCTCAACGTCCTAGGCTCAAGGGCTCAGCCTCCCAAGTAGCTGGGGACCACAGTCATGTGCCACCATGCCTGGCTAATTTTTAAATGTTTTGTGTAGAGATGGGGTTTCACTGGGTTGCCCCAGCTGGTCACATGTTAATACCCACCCCACACATGGTTACGGGGTGTCGGTCAACAGCTTGAGATGCACTCCCTCAGGGAGGTGCATAATCACATGTCCCCAGACTCAGTGACACAGACATATGAGTTCATCAGATGCTGACGCAGTCACACAGGTACAGGTACACATGCGTGTGTGCACACGCACACAGGCCCCCTGCTCAGGATCTGTTCAGGCCTGTGGCTGGTTTGCTGGCAGCATCCTCCCCAACCCCTGCTATTACCACCCAGGACCATCAGAGGGTGCCCTGCCCCACCCCACCCCACCCCTCCTAGAGGCACAGGCACCCCCAGCACAGGCCCTACAGAGCTCACACCCCAAAGGCCACATGGGCTCCCTCACCTGATGGGCCATCCACAAGAGGCTAAACTGCCTCCAAACTCACATTCCTGTTTTGTGCCTTCGGCCGGAATGTTCCTTTTGCGTGGAATACCACTCCCCATTCTCTGCTCCTAATGGCCTGTACTCTTCAGAGCCCGGCCCAAACACTGCCTCCTCCCATGAGGCCTTCCTGATGCCAGATCTGCTGGCTCACCATGGGCCCCAAGCTCCAGATGCAGACCAGAAGGGTCTCCGAAATAAGCAGTGTGGAAGAGTAAGGCTGAGAGCGGGCAAGGACTGGCCTGAGGTCACAGGGCATGTCAGATCTCTGGAAGGCCCGTGGCTGCTCTGTGGGGTTCCTGGGTGAGCAGAAGCCCTTGACAGACCCTCCTGGTCCTGGTCTGGGCTCTGAGAAGAGAGCGGGGTACACAGGGGTCTGAGAGGCAGCGGCCTGTCTCCACGGCCAGCAATCCCAAAAGTTCAGGACCCGTGATGCCCTCCCAGGGAACTGACTGCAATGCAGATTCTCGGGCTCCACTTCAGAGATTCTGTAGGGCTGGGTGGCGTCCAGGAATCTGCATGCTCAGCCATGCCATGGACATGAGTGGACACCAGCTCTAGAGGCACACACCACTCCCAGGAGGATGGGTGTACAGCAAGCTCCCCAGAAACTCTTGGGAACACAACATATATGGGAGCACATCTGAGGCACGTGCACACACACAAGCTGGGACCACCACAGGTACAGCCCAAGTCACATGTGTTCCCGGCATGGAGGCTGGGAGGAAGGCCCTCTACCTGGTCCACACCCCGCTCACCACCTCCAGCTCCTCACCTCCAGCTGGTCCCTTCTGATCTCAGCTGCCTCTCCCTGGAAGATGTAGATCTCCTTGTGCTGGGCCAGCTTCAGTGGGGCTACTGGGCCCTCTAGGGCAATGGTCACTTGTAGGGTGGCATCTGTGTGCACTGGTCCCACATCCATTGAGAAGGCCAGGGTGTTGCGGGAGCTGAGGCTGCCATTGTGGCCATAGAAAACAGCCCCAACCAGCAGGTCCTGCTGAGAGAAGGCTGTGGCTGGCTGAGTGGCTTGGAGCAACTGTCCCCAGTGAGGGCTGTCTGTGACGTGGTAGTGGGCCTCATCCCTACTGCAGATGTTGAGGTTGGTGCCCAGGTGGAGCTCGGCCATGTTGATGGTACCCTGGCCTCCTTGAGGAACCATGAGGCCGGAGCCATTGGCCACACAGAGGTAAGGCTCCAAGGCCTGCACCTCCAGCACCGTGATGGCCTGGTGCTGCCCATCGGACACCTGCAGCGGGATCCAGCCGTGGTCAGCCTGAGTGTGTGAACAGGACTCGCCTCTTCCTGAGGCCCCTCCTGGATGAAGCGGCAGATGGGCTGCATGGGCTCATCCGTGGCCATGATACTGCCAGAGAGGAGGTCCTGGTGGGTCAGCACCAGCTGGGCCTCAGCAAAGCCCGAATCAGCATTGCTGAAGGCCATGTTGTCTGTAGTCAGCAGCCGCCACCTACCCCAGGCCACGTGGAAGACGCAGCTGATGGTCTGCATAGGGGCGTGGTCATTCACAGGCTGGATGGCCACTCAGAAGACACCCCATACCTCCTCCCAGGCCACGTCACCACTGCTCTGGTCCTGATGGCAGCAGGAAATGGGATATCATCTTCTGTGATCTCGGAGTCATCATGCTGCTAGACCAGCTGGCCATGCATCAGGTCTCCATTGGTGAAGGATGTCACCATAGTGATCTTGTCCTGTGTCCCACGCCAAGTCAACCTCCCATGGCGGGGCTGCTCCATGACCTCATAGAGGTACCTGGCACTGTTGAGACTCTTGATGAAGAGCTGGTCAGCAGAGAGGACACACCCACCACCCTCGGGCACCACGAGGACAGGCATGTCTGGGTCACCGCCAATATGGATGGAGAAGGTACAGAGTGGGGAGAAATATGGTGGAGCTGTGACATGGAAACAGAAGGTGTCCTCCACTGCCACTGAGGCATGTGCCATGGCCCCATAGGTCACCTCTGCAGCCTGTACGTCATCCTGGGTGAAGCCCTGACCGTCTGACAGCATCGTGCCCTGTAGTTGAAAGTTGCCTTTCCTGGGAGCCTGAACCACCTCACAGTGGAAGGTTGGGGGGCTTGGGCCTGCCTCCTCCAGGGTGGCCTCCAGGTGGGCTGTGGTGAGGGCCTCCTGCTGGGTGTTCTGAGTGTGCAGTGGCTCCAGCTGCAGCATCCACACAGTGGCTCTCTGGATGGTCACTAGGAAGGACAGATTGCTCAGGATTTCCCAGCTCACCTGCACCTGCAGATCCAGGTTCTCCACGGTGTCCTCGGTGTAGTGCTGTGGGTCAGTGCTCAGGTACCTCACGTGGCCCTGCTCCACATCCTGCTGGTGGAACGCCTGTGTGACCCACCACTCAGCATCCTCCACCCCACCAGCCCCCTGCTTCTGCAGCTCCCTGAACGGCAGGCCTCCGGTGACACGGAACAGCACGGTCACATCCTGCCCCACGGCGCTGGTCTCCACCAACAGGTTGGTAGGCAAGATGGGCATGGCAGAGCCCTGGGCCAGATGCAGCCCTGTGCTGCGGTGGATTTGTATGGCCAGCTGGACAGCCACCACCTTCAGCATGGCCGGGGGGCTGGCCTGCAGTCCATTGCTGACCCGGAATGTCAAGTCCTGTGTAGGGCCACCACAGTGGACATAGACTAGGCTGCCGGCCTCCAACTCCCAGCAGGAGAACTCAGTCACCGGCTCCCCAGGCTGGTCTCGGTGCTCCACGGGGAGGCCAGAGGGGGTGCCAAGGAGCTGGAAGGTGAGGCCCTCACAGGCAGAGTCCAGGTCATAGGCCTGGAGAACCTCAGGCCCCAGAGGCTTCTGTGTGTGTTCCAGGATCACCATAAGGCTGCCATGTGGGAAGATGATGTGGGGTGGGTCATTGACAGGGTTGACCTGGATGGGCAGGAGGTCTGTTTGGCCCCTCCGCAGGCATGAGGGCATGGGCAACCAAGCCATCACTGACACCTCCAGCACCAGCTGGTCAGAGGTGTCCTCAGGGCCATCGTGGATGAAGCGGGCCTTGCAGTTCACCACGTCCAGGAGGGTGAACATTTTTCATGCCTGGGCACCCAGGACATCCAGCTCGAGCTCGCTGTAGTGTGCCCCTCAGGTCACGCTGAACAGCACCTGGGATTTACGCAGTTCAGCCTCCATCAGTGCCAGCATGGGCTGCACATGCCACCACTCAAGCCAGGCTGTGCCACCCTCGGTCACCACCACTGCGCTGATAGCAGCTGGATGAAATTGGCAAAGACAGGAGGTAGCCCTGGCTCAGGCACGCATGGCTCAGCTAGCTCCACGGACAGCCAAGCCTTGGGAGCCAGGGTGGAGAAAGCTTCATAATGGCCATAGGCATTGTCTACCTCCTCCAGTCTGCAGCCAGCCACCATGTTGTGCGTCAGCAAGGCTTCCCACAGCCCCTGCCTCTAGCCATTGACACTGAGGTCTTCCATGCAGCCAGCCCAGCAGGGAGGCATTGGCAGCCCCTGGTGTCAGGCCTGAGCGGTGTTCCTGGAGGTGATGAGAGGCCTCTGCAACCAGCTCCCCAAGAAGGAGACTGTCACGTGGCTCCAGGTAGCTGAGGACTCCTCAGTTCGTGTGGGGTACTGGTCCATGGAGATTTCTAGCTGGTGAATGTTGATGTGGATGCTGACCTTGTGGGGCTGTGCGTCAGTCACAGGCACACTGTTGAGGAGCAATACAGTACCCTGGCCCTTCTCAACCATGGACCACAGGTGGCCCTCAAATATGTCCACATGGATGAAGTCCCCATGCCAGCCTGCTGCCTGGAAGGCCAAGGGTGCCTGCCAGCTCTGTGTGGTGAGTGTAAACTCCAGGGTTCCTTCATCCTGAGTGCCCCAGGCAGGCAAGGCAGCCAGAGAGTGGGACCCAGAGAAGCCCAGGGCCACATCATCATTGGCAGAAAACTCTTCAGCACAGCCCTCATGCTTATTGGGGGTCAGAGGCTGGAGGAGTCTGCGGCCATTGAGAGCGGCTGCATGGAGGCAACCCCTCAGGGGATGGCTGGTTCCCCTCAGGTAGGGCAGGCCAAGTCTCCCAGTGCTCCCAACAAAGAGCCCATAGGGGACTTCTAGGGGGGCTCCCAGGACTACAGAGGAGGCATTCAGAAACCCATTGACTGACAATGTGGGCCAGTCCTCTGAGACAGTCAGAACTGTGGTGTGGGGGACGGAGCCACTCAGTAGAATTTCTGCTGGGGTCTGCAGCCTCAGCTCCTCCTGGCCCAGGACAAGCCTGACCTGAGGAGAGACGGGGAATGGGAGATGGGGGGCAGCACTTTGAATCCATCATTTCCCTTATAAAAGCACAGTGGGTTCCCCACAGGGGGCCCCAGAGCAGAAAACCTAGGACAAGGGCCTCTGGTGCCACTCCTCTTGCCTTCCTGCCATCTCTTTATTCATCCTCCAAACACTCACCAAAGGAAACTCTGGGCCAGGCCTGGATGGGCTCTGGGGACCCTGGTGTGAATCAGATGTGGTCCTTGCCCACAAGGAACTGACATATAGCAAGATGCTCTTCTAGAAACCCAACCTGTATTTTTAAATTCTCCTCCTCTTTCCTTGAGTGAGAAGCACCAGAAATATTGTCTTGGAATCTAGATTTCACCCCTGGAATAATGGGTAACTGAGAATCCGTTGATCAGTCCCCCTAAGTTTGGCAAAGTTTCTCGAGGTCACTGAAGGAAGCCAGGCTAACTGTTCAGGGACAGGGAGCCCAGGCAGATGCTCTGTGTTCTGGGAAAAAAAAAAAAAAAAAAAAGCTGCCTGACCTGTGGTGGAGGAATATCTCAAGGAGAGATGAAGGACATAGTTCTGTCACCATGACATTGACACAAGAAATGGCTCTGGTATGGTGCTCCCAGATGCTAGAATAGGTGATGGCAGAGTATGGGAACTGCAGAGGCAGAACACTAAGAACCATGATCTTGGAGTCCTGGTATGGTGCATCTCTGTAGGGATGTGGCATCACTACCTGCAGAGCTCAACAGCCATCAGCACCAGACTGCACCACATAGGTGTTCAACAGTGACACCTTGTGGCAATGAGCAGCAATGACAGCAGCAGACTGACCAAGCCCTAGTCCTCTTCCCACTGGGGTGTGGAAAGAGATGGCTGCCCCAAATTTGTTAATTTGTTTTTTTTTTCCTTCTAAAATAGAGATGGGGTCTCATTGTGTGGCTCAGGCCAGTCTTGAACTCCTAGGCTCAAGTGATCTTTCCACCTTGGTCTCCCAAAGTGGTGGGATTATAGGCATAAGCCACTGCACCCAGCCTGCCCCAAATTTGGACTAAGACCCTGGGTTCTTAAACTCTTCCTGGTATGGGGTAAGACTCAAGTAGGAGCCACAAGACTCCTTGATAATAAAGCTTGTGGTGTCTTGAAGGATGAAATGGAAAAATGAAGCTGAGGCAGTACTGGTGCTGTTACTCTCATGGACAGACAGTGGTGCTGCAGATAAATTGGTGCAGTGCCACCAGGATGCGCAGGGGTCATGGGGGCCCAGGAGGGGGTCTCGCCGAGGAGGAGGGGATGCCCACACTGAAACTTCAAGGAGAGACTAGAGTTCGGCAGGTACAGGGAATGGGTGGGTCACACACCTGGCAGGAGGAGTGTGATGACCAAAGGCCTGGCAGCAAGTGACCATAAGATGGCCAGGAACTGAAAGCAGTTCAGTGCAGTCAGAGCACAAAGGGCCAGTGAGGGCTTGTGGTGGGAAACATGGTTGGAAGGAGCCGGTGGGCAGAGCCAGTTCATGAAGGATTTACCATTTCTGAGCTGCTGCTGCCCATCCCACAGTGGAGAACTTGAGACCCCAAGAAAAGTGACTTACACAAGGTCAACAGCCAGCTGGGGTTCACTCAAAGCTAGACAAGGAATCTCGCCCCAATCCCAGGGGGACGTCACTCACCTGCAGGTGTCCAGAGTAGAGCTGCAGCAGGAGGTGGTCAGCTGGGCCTGCTGCCAGGAGAAGGAGGGCTTCGGGTTGGGACATGGAGAACTGCAGCTGCAGGTCTATGTCAGTCAGAGCCATGGCCACAGTCACCTCCGGGTGGTTCTAACCAAAGAAGGAAGCTGTGTGAGAGAGGGAGCTGTGGTCAAGGCTCAGATTCTTGCCTGGAGGAGGCGAGGTGCTGCAGGGAGGGATGGGTGGGTTGCAGAAAGGGGTCCGTGCTGGTGCACCCTCATGGTTCTGCCATACGGTGCTGCCTCTGAGCACTGCCCAGATCCCAGCATTTCCTTGGTCCTGGCACCAGAAGGCACAGCCTCACCTTGTGTCCAGCCCAGACCTTGACTTGGCAGGAGGTCAGACCCAGAAATTCCCAGCAACTCAGGTCTCCTCCTTGGAGGTTCCTGGAGCCAGAGGCCTCTGCCAGCTCTGACTCACCTCCCCTGGGCCCCAGAGGAGTCTCCCTCCCAGGTCTGGCTCCCCGACCTGGCCCAAAGGGAAACATCACTGGCCTGATCACCTGGCTTGGTGGTCACAGCCCTGAGGAATGGAGTTTCTGGAGAATCACCACCAGGCCAGATCGATCCCTGCTCAGATTCCTTCTCCTAAGTGCCCTTGTGCTTGGGCTCCTGTGCAGCACCTGCCGTGCCATGCCCCACCTCCATGGGTTGGCTGGGGCCACGGCTGGGATCTGGGGGTGATGTCAGTGCAGCCCACCTATCCCTGCTTCTCCCTCAGGCCATTCTTCCAGCTGCCATTGAGGGTGGGGGCAGGAGCTTATTGGCCTGAGTTTGCCAAGGAGTAAAGGCTCTCAGGCCAGATGGGGACCATATGCAGTGTCAAACCAAAGTGGGCCCACACTTCCTCCACTACCCCTGCTGTTGCTTCCTGCTAGAGAGCTATTCACAGTCCCCGCTGAGCAGTCAGATCCGGCCCCATTGTTTCCACCGTGGCCAAGGAACCAGGGATGAGAACAGCTCAGCTCCCAACCTCCCCAGGCCACCACTCAGTCTGAGGCTGAAGACAGGGCCTAGAAGGGGCTGAGGGTCTGCTGAGCAGGCCAAAGAGGGCCTCCCCAGGCAGAAGGCCATGTCTGGGCTTGCCTGGGATTAGTGGTTCTTATGCAGGGCCTGTTCTGTCCCACACTGGGACTCCTCCTCTTTTGAGTTGCTGCTTCCTCCAGGCAGTTTCCCCAAATTAGCCTCCCTGACTTCCAACCCGATGCCATAATTTCTGGTCTATGCCTTTTGCGGTGATAAGAGCCAAATATAACTTTAACTTTGCCTGCAGATGTCCAGGGCTGGGGGGCAGACAAACACAGGTTAAAAACTGTGATTCATCCCTGTTGGGTTTCCCTCAAACCCCAAGAACAAGCACAGGCTGATGGCCTTGATGGGGTGATCCAGCACCGACCTCACATGCACTGGTCCCTAGCCAGCCTGAGCCAGCTGCCATCTGCTCGAGGAAGTAGCTTCAGCCATTGGAGGAGTTGGAGGTTTGTATACCCTCAGGGCAGCCAGTCCCACCTGGAGGGATATCCAGGAAAGATCCCGTAAGAGCCCCTCGGGTTGAGTTAAATCCCCTCTAGTTATCCCCTCCTCCTGCCAGCACTGCTGGCAACACCAGCACCTTGGCTGGGAAGCTAAGGGAATCAAGCAAGCCCCGCAGACCATCTGCACGGGGGTGGCCCAGCAGTCTCAGCAGGCACAGCACAGCTTGGTGCCAGCAAGAGACAGACCAGGGAACTGCAGGTGGCGGCCAGCTACTGGGGTGCCTTATCTGCAAAGACATTGATTCCTAAGAGCAAAACACAGCACACTAAAGTGAGGGAGGCCATAGCACAAGGGGTGGGGGCACATGGCCCTGCAGGATGGAGCCACCACAGTCACCGGCTGGAACGGCTCACAGCAGCTGCCAGGAGCCAACTGTTGAATTTTCAGGAATTTTGAGAGGCAGGTGATACTGCCCACAGTGGGAATATTTATACCAGGAAAAGAGGCAAATACTGAAAATCAGGGTTCCCTCTCCCCAACAAAGCCCTTTGCGAAACATTTACCTACCCAGCACCCACGGGGAAGGGGGCACATCTCCCTGTGCCTACCCACCTGTGTTAATCAGGGTTCCCTAGAGGGACAGAACTAATAGGAGATATAGACAGATATAGATATAGATATAGATATAGATATAGATATAGATATAGATATAGATATAGATATAGATATAGATATAGATAATAGATATAGATATAGATATAGATAATAGATATAGATATAGATAGATATATAAAGGGGAGTTTATGAAGTATTAACTTACACAATCACAAGGTCCCACAATAGGCTGTCTGCAAGTTTGAGGAGCAAGGAGAGCCAATCCGAGTCTCAAAACTGAAGAACCTGGAGTCCGATGTTAGAGGGCAGGAAGTGTCCAGCATGGGAGAAAGATGTAGGCTGGGAAGCTAGGCCAATCTTACCTTTTCATGTTTTTCTGCCTGCTTTATATTCGCTAGCAGCTGATTAGAAAGATGGTACCCACCAGTATTAAAGGTGGGTCTGCCTTCCCCAGCCCACTGACTCAAATGTTTATCTCCTTTTACAATGCCCTCACAGACACTTCCAGTAGGTCAATACTTTGCAGCCTTCAACCCAATCAAGTTGACACTCAGTATTAACTGTCACACCACCCTTGCACTAAAGGTATACATACACCCACTAGGGCATGGTCAAGGTCAGAGATCTGGGCCAGACAGGAACTGAAGTAGATGGTTGGCCCTAACCACTGAACCACCTGCCTGCGGCCTCCTCCCATCAGAAGAGAGTAGAGCCTGTTTGGCCAGAGTGGAATGGTGGCAGGAAGCAGAGGTACTTTCCGGAGCGCTGGGGTCTGAATGGGTCCATTGAGGCTGGGCCCTGCTGCTTCCTGTAGGGCTGAGTGGGAGAGGCTCACAGAGGCTGCCTTGTGCAGCTGGAGCGCATAGCCAGGGAGGCCCCCACTCCAACAGAGGCCTCTGAGGCCTTGCTGGCCGGGGCTTTGGAAACTCTGACAGCGCTGCTTCCCTCACCTCCTGATCTCCTTTTTCTGCCCCTCTTACACTCTCTGAGGGGCTGCAGTTGCAAGAACCCAGAATCTCTGTCTTGGAGGTAGTGGGGGGGGGGGGCAGTTGAAGAGGGGCTTTGAATGGAGAGGGTCTGCACAATAAAGAGGTAATAAGCTAGGAGTCAATCCAGAGGACTTCCTGGAGGAGGTGATGGTGGTGTAGAGTCACAGAGAGGGAGGAACAGGCAGTCTCAGAGGACAGCAGCAAGGCCAAGTGAGAGACTGGCAGAGGTATACAGGTCCCCGTTGGCTGGGGTGAGGAGGGTTTCTGCTCCCTCACCCCCCAGAGCCTCTGGCTTATCACAGGATAAGAGCCAGCTAAGCTCCAGGGGCTTTCCAGGAAAAGTGTCTCTTGGAAAGGGTGTGACCTTTTCATCGGTCCTGACAGCACCCTAGAAATAGCTTGGCCTTTTCCCTCCCCTGAGCTCCACAGAGAACACAGCCAGCAGAAGACACATTCCCTGTCATCCAGAAATGGGTTTGATTCTCAGCTGAGGGACAGCAGGACTGGTAGAGACTGTCAGGCCACACAGCTACCTACAGAGCACCCCCATGCTTGGTCGGGGGTGGGAGGGATGGCAGGGTCTGGCTGTCCACAGGCCGGGCATGACAGTGGGGCGCACTGGAAGTGGCGCACTTTGGAGGGGCAATGTCAGGGGAGAGCTTCCTCTTGTTGGGCCACAAGACTCCACAAGGACAGCACGGTGACTGATTCCCAATGCTAGAGGCGAGGCAATCGGTCATGTGTAGGTGTGTGTGTGTGTGTGTGTGTGTGTGTGTGTATATACACACACATATGTGTGTATATATATATGAGGGTGTGTGTATGTGTGTGTATACATAATTTATTTATTTAGATGGAGTCTTGCTCTGCCACCCAGGCTGGACCTCAGTGGTGCGATCTCGACTCACTGAAACCTCTGCCTCCTGGGTTCAAGCAATTCTCCTGCCTCAGCCTGCCGAGTAGCTGGGACTACAGTCACCTGCCACCACACCGGGCTAATTTTTGTATTTTTAGTAGAGATGAGGTTTCACCATATTGGCCAGGCTGGTCTCAAACTCCTGACCTTGTGATCTGCCTGCCTCGGCCTCCCAAAGTGCTGGGATTACAGGTGTGAGCCACAGCACCCAGCTATTTATAGATATTTATAGAATATGACCTCAACTATTTAAACATATCTGTAAGGGTATAAGTACTTTGATAACAAAGAAGCAATACATACTGATAGAAACTAGCTATCATGTCAACAGTACTTATATTAGGTAGAGAAATTATGTGAGATTTTTATTTTTTTATATTTTACTAATCTTCTCAATAATGGTTGCTTATAAGTTTTATAATCAAGAAAAAAGATTTCTAAAGTTTTTGCAAAATGGAAAGTTATGCTTCTTTATATACTAAAGACAAAAACAAAACTTCCTATTTGAATACCTTTGACTTTTACTGCAGACTTACAGACCCTTGAAAGAAAAGGCAATTCCCTCCCACTAGTTCTGGTGTCATTCTCCCCATCTCTCCCTTCACTTCCACCTTGGTCTTCTTTCTACTTCCCACCTTGGCTAGTGGTCTCCACCCAAAATGCTTGCTTGGCTTAATGGTTAGAATTCAGGGAAAAAGAGATCCCGAATTGCTAATCTAAACTAAGATTATACATGTGGGAAATAATAAAGAGAAACCAGGTAGTAAATAAGATTTGGAGGACTTAAAATACCCAGACTTTAATTCCTCTAAGATTATAGTTATTAATCATGTTTTTATATAATATTATCACTTAACATTTAATTTCTAAATATAATGTTCATGAGGAAAAGAGAAAATAGCTTGGTTTCTTTCCTTACTGAACTGTTCTCCTTAGTATCTTCTAGATGTTCCAGAACTGATGTCAGATTTGGCTCATCAGAGTCCACAGACCATATCGGTGAAGAAGATGAATAGGATTCCTGTTTAACCCAGAGACACCTATGTTAAATGTTTACATACAGACTAACCCAAATATGCAATTAAACCACACCACTAAATGGCAAGATGACCATGGATTTAAACAAAATGTATCAGGGGGAAAAGGCAACACGTTTAAACCCATGTGAGGAGCTGGACTTCTGAGACAGCCATTCTCCTTGCATAGCACTGTCTGCTGCTACAGCTCATAGAAGTCAACAATTTTCTTCAACACTGGTAGGCAGCCTCTAAATGGCCCTGATCACCCTCACCTCCTGCCATTCACACCCTTGTAAAATTCCACCCCTGGACCTAGTGACTCACTTCTAACAAAGAGAATACAGCAAAAGTAACATCGCTTCTGAGGTGAGGCTACAAGGAGACTACGATGCCTGCCTTGGTCACCCTTCTCCTGCTCTTTCCATTGCTCCCTCTGATGGAAGCCAGTTGCCATGTGATGAGGTGCCCTATGGAGAGGCCCACGTGACAAGGTATTGTAAAAAGCCTCTGACCAATAGCCATCTAGAAACGGAGGCCCAGTCCAGCAGCCTCTGAGATGAATCCTGCCAACCTGAGCTTGGAGACAGATTCTCTCCCTATCCTGCCTTGGGATGATCACAGCCACCACCAACACCTTCACTGCCTGGTGAGAGGCCAAGCCAGTGAACCCAAGGTAAACTGGACAGAATCCTGACCCACAGAAACTGAGATAATGTTTGTTATTTTAAGCTGCTCAGTTTGTTACAGAGCAATAGATAACTAACTCAAACACCATAAAATTCTAATATTTTATTCTATCACACAAACCAGGTAATACCAAGTAAATGCCATTACTATACATATATTTTTGTAACACAATTACATGTGATTTTTTAAAAAAGCTAATGAACTATGCATTATGTGCTTTCACCCACTAACAGACGTTCCCGCTGTTACTTTGTACTGTTCTCTATTATAAATTGGGGAAAAACCATTATTATTATATATTAGTTTCAGAATAACTAGGTTCAAGTCACAGAAAACAATTTTGCACAAACAACTTTAGGCAACAGTGCTTTGAAAACTGTAATCTGAGTTAAAGCTGAAGCCACAGAAACCAAATATTTACTGAAGGTTCCTTTTTAAGAAAAGCAAGATGGGCCGGGCACGGTGGCTCGCGCCTCTAATCTCAGCACTTTGGGAGGCCGAGGTGGGCGGATCACGAGGTCAGGAGATCGAGACCGTCCTGGCTAACACGGAGAAACCCCATCTCTACTAAAAAAATACAAAAAAATTAGCTGGGCGCGCTGGCGGGTGCCTGTAGTCCCAGCTACTCAGGAGGCTGAGGCAGGGGAATCACTTGAACCCGGGAGGCAGAGGTTTCAGTGGGCTGAGATGTCCACTGCACTCCAGGCTGGCGATAGAGCAAGACTCCATCTCAAAAAACAAACAAACAAAAAGAGAAACAAGTTGTATTGATGGAGGACATCATTAACAGCATATCTCTTCAATAATGGTTTATTTTACTATTCTCATTCTTCTCATTCCTCTCTTACTGTGTTCCAAATCTCTTTACAGGCTAAAAGAAACTCTTCAGAATTACTCCTATTCTTTTTTTTCTTTTTTGTTTTTTTTTTGAGACCGAGTTTCGCTCTTGTTGCCCAGGCTGGAGCGCAGTGGCACGATCTCAGCTCATCACAACCTCCACCTCCCAGGTTCAAGCAATTCTCCTGCCTCAGCCTTCCTGAGTAGCTGGGATTACAGGCATGTGCCATCATGCCCCACTAATTTTGTATTTTTAGTAGAGACGGGGTTTCTCTATGTTGGTCAGGCTGGTCTCGAACCCCTAATCTCAGATGATCCACCCACCTCGGCCTCCCAAAGTGTTGGGATTACAGGCATGAGCCACCGCGCCCAGCCAACCCTATTCTTAAAGAACACCAGTTACTGAGTATTGCATTTTCTTCTATAAATTCTTCAGCATACACTGAGAATACACCATATGGACTATTTTTACACTTTTAATTTTCGTTTTTTTTTCTTTTGGCTAAGGAAATTGCAATTAGATTTAGGACTTCATTCTGTTAGGTTAGTATTTTCTAGTAAACTTCAGCATAAGCAAAATAAAATACGTGTTGTTGCTCTGGACTGAAACCCCTCAAAACCATATTTTAAAAGTTACAAAAAAAAAATTAACTGAAATCAAGTTTTTAAAAACCTTGTAGATGAAAAGATATGATATCTAGTACGTCTAAGTACCTATTTCAATGGTTCCCAAAGTGCGGCCCTCAGACCCCCAAGTCCAAACTATTTTGACAGGAATACTAACATGGTGACATTTGCTGTAAGTGTGCAAATACAATGGTGGGTAAAAATGCTGGTACTTTAGCACAAACAAAAGCAGTAACACCAAACTACTAGTAGTCATGGTATTCTTCATTAGGCACAGGAAAGGTTTAAAAAGGAAGGGTGGGTGGGACATGGTGGCCTACACCAGTAATCCCAGTGCTTTGGGAGGCTGAGGTAGACGGATCACTTAAGGTCAGGAGTTTGAGACGAGCTTGGCCAACATGGTGAAACCCCATCTCTACTAAAAATACAAAAATTAGCTCGGTGTGGTGGTGCATGCCTGTATTACCAAATACTTAGGAGGCTGAGGCAGGAGAATCACTTGAACCTGGGAGGCAGAGGTTGCCTTGAGCTGAAATTGCACCTATGTAACTCCAGACTGGGCAACAGAGCAAAACTCCGTCTCCAAAAATAAAAATAAAAAGGAAGGGCAACAAAAGGTCAGTTTCATTTAAGAATGTCTATGATAAGTTTGGGAATTTTGGCTCATGTCTGTAATTCCAGCACTTTGGAAGGCCCAGGCAGGGGGATCCCTTGAGCCCGGGAGTTCAAGACCTGCCTGGGCAACCTGGTGAAACCTCATCTTTACAAAAAATACAAAAATTAGCTGAACACAGTGGCTGCATGCCTGTAGTCCCAGCGTCTTGGAAGGCTGAGGCAGGAGGATTGACTGAACCCAGAAAGTTGAGGCTGCAGTGAGCTGTGATCACGCTACTGCACTCCAGCCTGGGTGACAGAACAAGGCCCTGTCTCGAAAATTAAAAAAAAAAAAAAGAATGTCTATGATGAAGCAGTGAATATTTTACTATATCTAAATCATTGAATATATCTTTTTAATATTTCAAGTGATGAAATGGGAAGTATACATGAGCATTCCTACAGGCTGCCTGAGGAAAAACCCTTGAGTGGCTAAGTCATGAAGTGAATTAACCACTTTAATGGAATACCATTTTTACTTGAAAGGCTGACTGACAAAAAATGTTATTTTAACTCGCATTTCTGGCAGATATTTTCTCAAAACATGAGATTCTGTCATTTCAAGGAAAACAACAGACAGGCTATAATAAAATTCAATAACAAAATTACTAATAAAATTCAAGCTTTTGAACAAAAAATTAGAATTTTAGAAAACTTATGCCCACCATCGCTTTCCAAAAGTATTCTGATGAGATTGATGGTGGTACTGATGAATGTATTTTGATACTGTACAAATGTATCAACATGTAGAAGATCTTAGTGAACCACTGTTTTATAAGTGACCAATGCACGATGTTGTAATATCATGCAAGGGTGGAAGATCCAAAGTTCAAGAAAAACCAAGATTTGATGGAGTATCAAAAAAGAAGCCTAGGCAACATGGCAAAACCCTGTCTCTACAAAAAATACAAAAAGTTAGCCAAGTATGGTGGTACACACCTGTAGTCCCAGCTACTCTGGAGGCTGAGGTGGGAGGATCACCTGAGTCCCTGGAGACTGAGGCTGCAGTGAGCTATGATCATACCACTACCTTCCAGCCTGGGCAACAGGGCAAGACCTCATCTCAAAAAAATATATATATATCCACAATGATCTAAAATGGTTATCTGTATGAGACTGGCCTTTGTTCACATTTTTTCAAGAAAATATCACACAATAAATTGAATGCAGAAGCAAACTGACATATCAATTTGCTAATGACATATCAAACATCATGCAAATGACATATCAAACATCAAAATAATTTGCAAAAGATGTAAGACTGTACTACTTTGGGTTTAGAAATTTTCTTTTCATAAAAGCATTTATAACAATATGTGGTGAGCTTTTAAACAATATTTTAAATATTTCTGATTTAATTTCTAGTGATAAATACCAATAGATATACCCTACATAAACCAAAGCTCCTTGGGACCTCAATGTATTTTTAAGAGTGTAAAGGAATCCTGACCCCAAAACTTGGAGAACTGCTGCCTTCCCCTCCACTTTCTTCCTTCTCTAGAATTTCTTCCTTGGAAGAAACATCCCTTTGCCATTCTATATTAACTTACATAGTTCCACTGAGGCAAGTTTTGCTACCTCCCTCCCATCTTTCCACCTCTCTCTCAACACAAAACCTGACCAAAGCATTCTACCAGCCTACCCCATTTCCAGTGATTAGCTGTCAGATGGGCTAAGCCAAACAAATCTGGGTTTTCCCTGAGACTAGACCTCTCTTTCTGGGAGAGATGGAATCACAGGGACAAGGTTGGCCACCTTGGGGTAGTGAGAATTCATCCTGCCTAAACAGGGAGAATTCAAACAAGTTTCTAGAAAGCCAAACTACTTTCTAGAAAGTCAAAGATAATTATATTTTTTGCCATGACTGTAAGAATGCCCATTTCATTGCACACTTTCTAACATTTTTACCAATCTGATAAATAAAAGCTGGTACTGAGATGAAAAAAAGGCTGGGCACAGCGGCTCACACCTGTATTCCCAACACTTTGGGAGGCTGAAGTGGGCAAATCACCTGAGGTCAGGAGTTCAAGACCAGCCTGGCCAACATGGTGAAACTCCGTTTCTACTAAAAATACAAAAATTAGCCAGGCATGGTGGCATGCGCCTGTAATCTCAGCTACTCGGGAGGCTGAGGCAGGAGAATTGCTTGAACCCAGGAGGTGGAGGTTGCAGTGAGATCACGCCATTGCACTCCAGCCTGGGTGACAAGAACAAGACTTCATCTCAAAAAAAAAAAGAAAAAAAAAAGAAAAAAAAAGTTCCCATACAATATAATTTCTTCCATCTCTGGAAACAAATTCAGCAATGAGAACTGAAAGTCACCACGTGGAAGGTTTCAAGGATTTACGTCTACCTACTGATGTCTAAAGCATTAGTTAAGTTACAAAAAAATACGCACACACACGCGCACGCACACACACACATACCCGTATGTATTCAGTACCAGAAAACATGACTGACTACATGGTAAAGTCATCCAACAGAAAGCACACAATAACTGAAGGCAATGTAGAGGAGTAAGTTATAACATGGATCTACAATACTGTTGAGTGAAAAAGCAGATTACAAACAAATATCTGATTTTTAAGGGAGAGGAAACATACACAAGCACAGGAGAAAAGAGGTGAGCAGATGACTGGAAAGATACAAATTTCTGACAGTGGCACCTTCTGAGTGGTAGAATTACATAGGTAATATTTTCTAGTTTTGCCTAAAAGTTTTCTAAATTTCTTAAAATAAGAAGGTTTTGTTTTCCATATTACAAAATATCCATCACCCCAGGAAATTTAACCTTCGGCACAAACTCTACAACATGTTCAAAGTTTGTTCAGTTGAATATTTAAGAGACAATCTATTTTGAAAGACATTTAAAATGACCAATATTTAAACCTATACATTAATATTTTTCAATCACGTTTTAAATTTTGTAATTTTGATAAGTTTTAGATCCATCTTGAAAAGATAAATTTTCTGTTTGTCTTTAAAATATTACCTACAATATGCCTGTTTTTATACAGTTAATGGTGCTCAAAAATCGCAATATAAATTCAGGCAGTGTTCCTTCTATAGAATGTGTAAGTGCTTCTAATACTGCTCTTTTTCACCAGTAATGAAAACACAGAACAATTATCTAAGCATCTAATTATTCAGGTCCTTTGTTTCTCCTCCATTCTGTTAGTTTTATACTAATTTCAAGGCCTGTGAGGATGAAGTTGTCTGTGACAGCTACCACAAAGGTTACTATAAGCAGACAAATTTCCAGCAAGTTTATCACCACTACCATCCCACCATAAAACTGTCTCAATCAAGGGCAACACAATTCAAGGTTAGCCAAGACAACCTCTTTACCTGTCACTGCTTAAGAAAAGGATTTTTTGGTCTTATTTAGAAATAACTTTATCTATTTTTCTCCATAATTCCACTGAGACCAATGTGTGCCTCTATCTCAAGCACCAGCAAGCAAAACTGCCTGCCAGTATGTTCAGTTTTTGTATCTTTCCAAATGTAGGGCACAGCTATCTTTTGATATCATAATTTTTTGAAAACTGATGCACAAACTTCTCCTTGAAAGTTCAGCCAGGTGCGGTAGCTCACACCTGTAATCCCAGCACTTTGGGAGGCTGAGGCAGGCAGATCACGAGGTCAGGAATTCAAGACCAGCCTGGCCAACATGGTGAAACCTGTCTCTACTAAAGCTACAAAAATTAGCCAGGTGTGGTGGCAGGTGCCTGTAATCCCAGCCACTCAGGAGGCTGAGGCAGGAGAATTGCTTGAACCTGGGCAGCAGAGGTTCCAGTGAGCCAAGATTGCACCACTGTACTCCAGCTTGGGTGATAGAGTGAGACTCCATCTCAAAATAAAAAATAAAAAAAAGAATTTCAGATATACAGCAGTTGTAATTCTTCTGAAGGCTGCTTATGGGACACATTACTTTCATAATTTGCTGTTCAATAAATGTGGGGTGGAGAATAAAGTAAATTGACAGAATTACCATATAAAATAAAATTCTAAGTCCTCTGACAACAAAAGAAACTTATAACACACACACATACACACACACACACACAGCTTTCCCTGCTAATCATTTTACAACAACCAAGTAGCTAACCCAGAGCCCACAAAAGCAGAGTCAAAATTCTAACACTTGGTAAAATAAAAATGCACATATATCCCTGTCACCTAAAAAAAAATGCTTACGTATTCAAAGACAGCAATTGTAGCTACTGAGAACATCATTGTAAGCAAACTGAGGCAGAGAAAACAAACGTGCTGATGAGGATTTGAAACACCTAAGCTGCAGAAACCCACTGGATGGTTTCCTAGGTTCCGAGTTGGCATTATCTTTCAGAACGATCTTCTAGAAGAGATCACATAACACTGTTACAAAGGATCTGGAGAAAGGGACCCTGGCTTCATCACTCTGGCTCTCCAGTCATGCTTTACATTTTCACTTCTTACACTCTCTTTCATAGGAAGTCAATTTACAGGCTTCCACCAAGCCCTTAAGTGACGTTTTTGTACTATCCATGACAAGTTCTTGATGTTATGTCTGCACTTCTGACAAATTCTTAGCAGTTAACTTACTAGGCAGTTAAGGTTTTTGTTCAAGCACAATATAGCTAGAATAGGGTCATACATTCAATAAAACAAATATTTACCAAGCATTTATTGAGTGGAAGATAAAAAGCACAAAGCATAATTATAAAACATTCTCCCCTGCCACCATAAAAATTTTTTTAAAGCCTTACAGAATATAGCATAACATAACCAAAGCAAAAATAGGACTAAAGAGGGGAGGAAGGGGAAATATCAGCATGAATTAAATATGACCCAGAAGAGCCTTGATGGTCAGACACGTAAAGACAAATTGGGTAGGGTTAGGGGGTGGCTGTCAGGGGCACATTCTACAGGGGAAAAACAGCTGATACAGAAGCCTGAAAGGAAAAGCGGGCAGAGCACCTGGACAGGACTCTTACCTGCTGCATCCAGGGTACAATGCGCCTTTCCAGAACACAGCAGCGACCCGGGGTAGAGGGATCGCTCAAACAGCACCAGAGGCTGCATTCCAACTTTTCCTCCATCAACGAGTCCGTTTTCATTGTTAGTTTCTCCTTAAACACGATTGGCTGAACATGCGGGAACAAGGAAAACCTGACTGAAGAACGAGGCATTTAAGCTTAAGGGCCTTGGATCTGGGCGCGGTGGCTCAGGCCTGTAATCCCAGAACTCTGGGAGGCAGAGATGGGTCATTTGAGGTCAGGAGTTCGAGACCAGCCTGGCCAACATGATGAAACCCCATCTCTACTAAACAACACAAAACTTAGCCAGGCGTGGTGGCGGGCGCCCGTAATCCCAGCTACTCGGGAGGCTGAGGCAGGAGAATCGCTTGAACCCACAGACTGTCAAGAGATGGAGGCTGCAGTATGCCGAGATCGCTCCACTGCACTCCAGCCTGGGCGACAGAGTGAGACTCCATCTCAAGAAGCGCCTGCCACCATGCCCGGCTAATTTTTGTATTTTTAGTAGAGACAGGGTTTTACCATGTTGGCCAGGCTGGTCTAGAACTCCTGACCTCAGGAGATCCAGCTGCCTCAGTCTCCCATAGTGCTGGGATTACAGGAATGAGCACTGCGCCCGGCCAAAAAACCGAAAATCTTAAAGGCCTTTCCCCTTCCCTCACTGGGCTCAAACAACAGCGGGAGCCGCCCTGCCACGCCCCGTCGCGGTCCAGGGGAGCAGGCTAGCTGACTGAGGGCGATCATGGGCCCCAACAGGTCTGCGGGCGACGCGGGCTCCCACCTCAGGGCGCAGCGACTGGGGCGAGAGGTGCCGGCAGCCCCCAAGCCAGCCCCGCGGCAAGGAGCCAGAGAGACGCGCCCTCCCCCTCCTCCCACGCAAGCCTCACACAGCGGGGCGGGCCAGACGCGGGAGAAAGGGGCGCGCTCGCCCCGCCTGGGGAACCGGGGCCTCTCCCGGGCAGGCTCCCCTTTGTCCCGGGACTCTGGGCGCCTCCTCTCCGCCCTCGCCCTGGCCCGTGAGGCCGCCACTGGGCGCCTCACCGTGATGTTGCAGTGGAGCGTGAGCTGTGGCGGGGGCTCCTGGTTCTTGTGGAAGATAGAGGCCAACAACCTCAGCTTGGCCTTGAACCCTCACACGGACATTTTACTCTCACCTCTGGCGGGAGGGGCGCGGAAGGTGAGCCCGTCGGGAGCCGCTGTCACGGCCGCAACCACCCGCGGGACCTCTCGGCGGCGCTCTCCCAGCTCCGCCTCTCCCTGCTGCCTCAACTCTAGTCGGAGTAGGGCTGGAAAATGGCAAGGGGCACCGAGGCCTCTGCGGGGAGCTGTGTGGCGGCCTGGGCGGCTGCTCCCCTTGTAACAGACTCCACCGACAGGAGACGCTGCTCCTGTCAAGCCGCAGCTTAAAAGGGCAACAGCACCACAGCCCCCGCTACCGCCTGGGAAAGGGCTGCCCCTACCCCGCTCCCGTCCCTCTCGCCCCTCACACCCGTCGCCCCTCACCCCTCAACCCGCGTGCACCCTGCGCACCCGTTTTGGCGGCTGCAGGAGTCCAGAGCATGCGCGCGCTTCCGGCTGCCCCCTCCTCGCCTTGACCCAGCACTGCTGGACCCATCTGGTCCGTTCTTCACACTCGCGGACTGGAGGCTCCGGGCAGCACAACCACCAACTCGTGTGTGTGTGTGTGTGTGTGTGTGTGTGTGTGTGTGTGTGTGTGTGTGTCTCCCAAGGGAACAGCACTGCTGAGTTCAGGCTATCATCTCATGGACTGTCAGCAAAATACAGTCACAAGAAGGCTATGTGCTGTTTTGTCTCTTGCAGTGATGTCATGTTGCTCATGTTTTATGTTTTTCAGAGTTCATTAGTTTCTGTTTGCTCTCAGTTAATATCCAGCTCAATAGATTGTGTAAGTAGAATACCCCCAAACTGAAAGTCACCTACATAAAATATAGTGAAAAATATGTCACCCACTTAAACTATAGTTGAAAATATGTACTCATTAGTTTTGTGTAGCCAACACTGGATAATGGGTAAGGGGAAAGGATCCCAGGGCTAGACTGCCTGGGTTCAAGTTCTGATTTCCTGCTGGCTGTGAAATACTTGACGCGTTCAGCCTCTGTTTCTTTTTTTTTTTTTTTAGCTTAATCCCAAATATGATAGTAAGTCTCAGTTTCTTGATCTGAAAAACAGAAATTATTCAGTGACAGTCTATGTGAAAACTTTAAAGTTTTCAAAGCCACTATCTAGCTTAGGAAAGTCCTCAGCTTTAGGGGTTAAAGTTTTTAAAACCACTGCCTGGTTCAGGAAAGCCCTCAGCTGTAGCCATTATTAGCTATGATTATTATTGTGGTGGCTACACATACATTAATGAGGCAGGAAAATGCTCAAGGATAACAAGCAAGTATCCAGATTATCTCATCAGACCGAGACAGATGCATATGCGTGCATGATCATGTTTTAGCTCAGAGCCATTTTTCTAAAGGCTCTTGAACTCAGAGACCCAGGAGTGTCAACTTTGCTTTGCAGTGGAGCCATCGCTTTTGTTAATCAATGAAATTGACATAACGTTCTTCTTTTTTTTTCCTTTTTAGCACCAACCATGTGCCTAGAGCTAACTGTGTTAAGAAGAGCATGCTTCAAGTGGCTGGAGTGAGCAATTCAACTTGTGGAGGAATGAGAAGTGACAGTGTTGAGACAAGCAACATAAAACCCCAGGGTAAGGCAGAAATCACTGAATGTCAGGCAAAGGAACTGGCGTCCAGTAATGAGTCAGGCTTTGCCAGCCTCTGGCCCTACAGATGGCTCTTTGCAGAGGAAAAAATTAAGCCAGGCCTGAGGGCACAGATCCTAAGGGAGTGCTGGCAGCTCTAGGCTGTCTATGAGAGTCCAGAGATGCTGCTTCACCCTGGGGCTTTAGGCAAGTCCCTTTCCCTCCCAGAGCCTCAGCATCCCTTCTAGCAAATGACGTTCTGCCTTTCTCCTAGGATGGCTGTGGGGATCAAGGGAGACAGTGGCCATAGGGATACTATGTTAACTGCAGATGCGGCTGTAGGAGCACTTTGCTAACTTCCAACGTGAGTTCAGACTCTTCAGGCTATTTGGCACCCAGATCTATGGTGAGGTGTGACATATGGGATGTAAAGTTTGACGCCTGCTCCGACTCCAGTCTTGCTAACACACACGAAACCTTTGGCAAATCATGACCCTGCCTTGGGGAAAAGGGCAGTCTGGGAGAGCTTCTTCAAGGCAGCCTGGCTTCAATGCAGTCCGGGGCATGACTGAGGTAGGCATACGTGGTGAGGAACTGGAGGGTAACTGGGTAAAGAGCTGCAGTGTGGGCAGAGGTGTAGTGTGGGTCACATCGCGGATAGCCACTGGCCAAAGCAGGGAACAGAGACAGAATGAGGAAGAGCTCTGTGGGGAGGGTGGGGCACAGGGTGGAGAACCTTCAAAGTCCAAAAAGTATGACTTGTTGGGATTCAACGCTGTAGGCAGTAGGGAGCCATGGAAGGCTCTTAGGTGGAGAAATGACAGCCGGACATTAGTGAGCAAGCCCTGTCTCCCTGAGCAGCATGGGTGGTCCTCTGAGCACGCCAGGCACGAGTGTGCAGGGAGCTGGTGCAAATGCCTCTGTGTGCGGGTGAGCATCTGTGTTGTGACTCTGCCCACGCATGTGCTTCAGTGTGCCGTGTGGCTGCACGCCCCAGATCCATGCGGCACGTGCCGGCCGGTGAGGGTGCTGGGCACCGGGAGGTGGCGGAGAGGGCGACGTATGCGTGTTGTTTGTGGGCATCTGTTAGAGTGTGCATGCGGGCCGTGGGGCCTCACAGCATGTGTGTGCACAATCTGGCATGTGCGTGTGTCTGCCACCCCCAGGCCTGCCCCACCCATGCATGGGACCTGCCATGTGATTTGATGCTGTCTTTCAGAATCACTATCAGTGGCCCCTGAGGAGCGTCAGCCATGGTAGGTACAAGTCTCACTGCCTGCTGCATGAATGGTCTGCCCGCCCCGCTGCCCCAGCTCCACACAGGGGGCATGCCTGGAGTCTCAGAGCCAGGCTCCCTGCCCCTCCCTTCTGGAGCTGCAGACTTGCTCTTTCCTCTTTCTGTCCTTGTGCTGCTGGTTGTCTCACTTTGCTCCCTGTGAGCCACGGGACTCAGTGCCACTGCTCAAGGTCTCCATGGCTGAGCCTGGGGGCTCTTACAACAGGCTCCATGCCCAAGGTGGCAGATGTGGAACCATCAGAGAGGGCACAGAGCTCATGGTTTATGGTGTAGGGGCTGGGAGCTTGGAGGGGGTTGTGTGGGGGGCTGGACTCAGGCGGCCAGAGGCCTGGGCACATCATCCTGGACACGCCGTACCTGTCATGCAGTCTGAGTCATGCTGCCAGGGCAGGTATCCAGCTCCCAGCCTGGGAGTGCCAAGAGCCAAATCCACTGCAGATTAGGGGTGATAGTCACGGTCCCACGTCCTCTATCTGTCAGCAATCCAGTGGTGATCTAGGATAAAAGCCTGAGAGTCCTATACACGTGGTCATCCCACAACACACTTCATAGGCCATGGAAGGACACACAGCCCCCTTCCCTCCCTCCCAGGTACCATGATAGCTGCTAGCGTGCGACTGAAGGCAGGGTCCCTGGCCCCTGCTGAAGCACTACTGCTGGCCAGCAGGCTCACGCACCTTGGCCTGTTGCTTCTAGGGGTCGCCTGTGCTATTCAGCCAATAGTGCTGCTGGCCCAGCTGAGCTCCACCTAGAGAGCTCACTTCCCTTTCCTGCCGCGGAGTCTCCCTCTTCTGCTTTTCCCAGCAGGAAGGGCCCAGCCTCACCTATGTAACCTGCAGCCCCCCGCCAACCAGTTGAGGCTCCCCTGTTAGAATTAGAAGTCTATGGCCAATGGCATCCGGCTACCTGCCCTCCCTGCCTTCCCCAGGGTCCCTCAGAGGACCCTGGGCTTTCTGATGGCCCAGAGGGGCCTCTGGCATTCACTCCAGCCAGCCATCCCTTATAGCTCCACCATTTTGGTTCAATCAGTGTTCCTTCTCTATCAGGTCTGGTGGCTGTTGGATGGGGCTCTCCAAGCAAGAGGTGGCCCTGGGCCAGTGGGTTGGAAGACATGGGGACCACAGAAGAGGGAAGCCCGAGGGAGCTGGCATTGGTCTGAACTGTGGGTGGATGGGTGGATTGCCTGGGTTCCATGAGACAGGCCAGCGTGTGTGGGGTAGGGAGGGCCGCCGCAGTCCCCAGGCACTACCTATGAAGCTCTGGCTTCTCCCTCCATCTCCCTCCCCTTTCCCTTCCAGCCCCTCTTTTCCAGGAACCTTGCCATGCCCACACCTACGCCCTCCCCTCCCCGGCCCTCCACAGCTGCTGCAGCGCACCCATACTCTGCACTTGCCTCACCAGCTCTGGCTTTTCTCTAACCCGTTTTCTCTCTGCTTTCTCTCCAACTGCCAGCTGATCGGGTCAGGCAAGTCCATCCCATCCTGAGAGCCCCAGGCCCCACTTCGACCTCTAAACAGATCCCTCTTCTCAGAGACCTCCCTTTCCAAGCCTGCCTGGGCGGGTGTCCTGTGACTTGACAGTGGCTCCCCCAGCTCCAAAGCCAGCCCCCTTCTTCTGTGACTTAGTCTGTTGTAGCGGTGAGCTGACACGTCCAGGTGTGACCATTGCTGAAACTTGTGCCCCCTCTGTGGTATGCCCCTGCCCTGTTCTATAAATAGCTATAAATTCTCTCTCTCACACACACACACACACACACACATATACATATATACACGTGGCCAACTGCCTCACCTCTAGCACTGGGAATCAGTCCCCGTGCTGTGCTTGTGGAGTCTTGTAGACCAGCAAGAGGAAGCTGTCTCCTGACATCGCCCCTCCAAAGTGCACCACCTCCAGTGAGCTTCCGGGACATGCGCGGCCTGTGGACAGCCAGCCCCCGCCATCCCTCCCGCCCTTCTGGCCAAGCATGGCGGTGCTGTGCAGGCAGCTGTGTGGCCTGACAGTCTCTACCAGTCCTGCTGTCCCTTGACTGAGAAACCCATTTCTGGATGACAGAGAATGTGTCCTCTGCTGGCTGTGTTCTCTATGGAGCTCAGGGGATGGAAAAGGCCAAGCCATTTTTAGGGTGTTGTTGGGAGCAGTGAAAAGGTCACACCCTTTTCAAGGGACACTTTTCCTGGAAAGTCCCTGGAGCTTAGCTGGCTCTTACCCTGTGAAGCCAGCTCTGGCCACTAGGGGCAGGGCCCTGAACTCAGCCTGGAGGGAACCTGCGGGGCAGCCGGCACTCTGGAGGGACAGACAGGCCACCCGGTGCAGACAGGAGAGGGAGGCAGGGGGACGGAATGGAAGACACGTGGGGTGGATGGAAGTCAGTGCCCTTGGGCACTGGTATCTGTCTTCCCTGCCACAGCTAGATCAGGCTTCTCAACCAGTTGGCTGTCAGGGCCAGAGTGTACTCTGTAGGCGCCATGGCAGTCCCCATAAAATCCACCAGGTGTCACCAGGCAGCATACAGGTAACAGGCCTGGAAGGTCCCCAACAGCCCAGCTGGACATGCTGAGACACTCTGGGGCTCCTCATTCAGTGGGACAAACTGCAGGACCCAGTGAGGGAAATGGGAACATAACAGGCCGAGCAGTATGGCTAAATCCATTTATTCCAAAATCAAAAGCAAAAAACAAAAAACAAAAAACAGGAGTCCCATCACCAGGCAGCCATGACCCCATCCCCGCCTCCTTCCTCGCTCCTATGCTAGCAATAAATAAGTTTCCCAGCCGCGAATAATTATAAGAACCTCTTCCTCATATGCCAGCTGCAACCTCCGCTAGGTACGATACAGAATGTTACACAGCTACAGTATGTACACGGGGGAAGGGGGGCCACCCCCAGCAGCCTGTGCCCTGGCCTGGTCTACAGTTAACTCCACTGTCCCGCCTCAGCTGCCTCTCTGAGTAAGAAGATGGGAGCCCCCCTGAGGGAAAAGTTGCTTTGGTGAGAGTAAGAAGGCCATCAGACCTCCTCCAAACAAACCAACTCCACCAACCTCTGGCTCTTAAATAACAAACATCATCATCCAGAAATGTAAGGACTCAGCCTTGGTCAAGGTGGTAAAGGGTCTGTTTGTCTCCCTCCATTAGACAAGGGTCTTGTCTTGCTACCCTAATGGTAAAGGGGTGACTGGGGAGGGGTTGTAGGGACATGGTGGGGGTGAAGACTCCAGACCCACTTCTCCAGGCTTATGCTGACAGGGGCCTGCTTTTATTTATTTTTATTTTTATCCCATGACTTTTTTTAAATCCTGTAACTAATTTTTCATAACTTTTTAAAATAACTTTTCATAAAAGTTTTTTTTTACTTTTTTTCCACAACTTTTTTTTGCCACTTTTCCACAGTATTTTTTTATCCTGTAACTTTTTCATCCCACAACTTTAATTCCTGTTAACTTTTTTAGTTTGTGTTCTTTTAATAAACACACTTACATAGTTACAATTTTGTAAGAATAAAAACCGATTACCTCATGCCAAGCATGCCGAGAATTTGCAGAGTCTCAATACCCAGTACTATAGTTTTCAAGACACACAAAATTTTTAGGCAAAACAGCACCTTGAAACAATTTAATAATGTATTACATTATAGTAGCATCACAGCAGCAGTCAATAATGCCACTTTAGACAAAAATCAGTATTTCCATTATGCATTCTGTGTATAAGAATTCATAAATCGGTAAAAGTCATTCTAAGAAAACTTGGCAAATACAGCTTTGGACTGGAATTGGCATTTCTTTGTCTACTTTTCCTTCCCCTAGATTCTTTGTTTTAAACTACAGTATTCATATTTTAAAATGTTTTAAATTATTTTAAGACGTTAATATAGCAGTTACATTTTTGAATAGTTATTTGAAAGTGACTGTAAGATAAAGTTTTAGAGAATCTATTATGGATAGGGTTGATTTACATTTTCACATTTTCTAAAAATCAGCTTTGGTTTTAGAACTGATTGTTTTTCATTTTGGGAAAACCTACCAGGTTTAATCAATTACTTTAAAAATAATTATCATATTTTGCAGTCTTTAAATAGGTGTTTTGATTCTTTACTCCCTACAGAAATTCAAATTTATTCAGTTGAAGTCACATTTTAAAATTCTATGTTCCTGCTGAACTCTAACCTTCTAATGTTGCCTTCTAAGCAAATTAAAGGCTGCCTTATACTGAATGAGGTAGAGAACAAATACTTGGCTGAATGAGGTACTGCAAAAGACTGCATGCACTTTGAAGAAAGACTTGTCATAGTTATTGTCATAGTTATTGTCATAGGATTTCCATTCTCTTTAGCTTTTTCTTAAACATATGACAAAATACCTACACAGAGAGTGGTATTTGAGTTAATATAGTACATTTATTTTTCAGACTGACATTCAGCTTAAATATGCCAGTATGTGATTTAATCCACAGGTACCTGATGAACACATTATTGTCAGATTGGTTACAGTTGCTAAACGCTATCTGAAGGTCATTCCTAGTCATTTATACGTGTCAGGGTAAAAGTGAAGCGATTTGAACTATAAAAATACCTTTGAAATAATTTATCAATGTATTAGGTAAGCTCAGTTTCAGAATGATAAACTGTTAGACCAAATAATGTGGCTAATTAACAGTGGTACGATTTCTAGCCTGAGGGTTTAAAATGGGCTTAAAGTAACTGTCTTTAAACTGAACTCAAAGAATGCAAAAGCGGCAAGTTCAGACAAGGCAAGAACAGGACCTTTAGTCCATTTTAAGCCATAAATATTACACAAAATATGCCTCTAACTGAAACTGAGAGGTATAAAAACATATTTCACTCTTTGTAAAGAACTTTGTGAGGAAATATAACTCTGTGATTGTATAGACACTTTCCTCATGACACTTTGACATTCACGAACAGTAGATTGTGCTGCAGTTTGTAAACGTTTTACGTTGCATAAACTGCTCCTTGATTTTCAAATGTAGTATAATACTGTCTACTAAAACTCCTTTTTGTTTCAACTAAGTACTCTCACATATATTAGTTTATAATAATGTTTGTTATTATTTTTAAAGTGTTCTCCATTCAAGGAAAAGAAGTAAATTCCTATGTCAGATGGTTGAAGACTAGCTATTAGCCAGAGAGGTCTAGATGGTAAAATCCATCTTCTAGCCTCAAATAAGCTCCATGAACACAGAGGAATGCCAGGTGTCACACAGCTTTCCTTCACTCGAATTCATTCTTGACTAGAGCCTGTATATGCCTGTTCCAGGGGCATTTAAACTCTTAAAGGATTTCTTCTGATCTTTACTAAATACATTAAGGAGAACGCCAACCAGTGCCCTTTTGTGTACTGGGACATGTAGTCATGTGATTAAAACAGGGAACATGAACTCTGACTTTAAAATGTATTGTAGATATAAATGCTCTCAGCTAGAAAAGGTTTTCCACATCCACAGTCATGATGGGAGCCTTTCATTCCTCAGAAATAATCCCTTTTCAGGTCATCAAAAAAGAGTACAACTGCCACAGCTCATGAGGCAGTATCTTCATGAGCCTAGAGCACATACAAATCCTAAGGGAACTACCGTAGTACAGCGCTCATTCTTGGCACCGGAACAAATGAAACATATTCTATCCTGCACACACCTGCCAAAGCAGGCCACTTTCCTCTTCTGGGAGATTTAAAAACCTCCCCAAAATGTTATTACTCCCATCCCCAATACACAGAAAAAGGGGGAAAGGCTGTTTCCAGAGGGCAAACCACATATTGAGCTAATGAAGAGCTCACTGTGATTAGGATTCGATCAAACATAACAGCAGAACATAAGGAAATTTTATCTGAATTCCGTAATGAATATACAGGCTGTACTAACATTAAAAAAGCATGGCAGCCTATCCCAAACCAGCAAGAACAGTTGTGTGCATACAGTGGGTCTTTGTGTGTTTGAACTCCCACCACATAAGGGCAAACTCGATATGCATGCTAACGTCCTATAATTATCAAATTAAAAAAATGCTAAAAGATGCCAGAGTGAACATGAGAGAAAGACCCACTCTCATTTAACTTTTTACAAATAAATTTAAATTATAAATTAGAAACACAAATAAATTTAAACTATAAATTAGAAACACAAATAAATTTAAACTATAAATTAGAAACAAATAAATTTAAACTATAAATTAGAAACACAAATAAATTTAAACTATAAATTAGAAACACAAACATAAGTGGCTCTAACATTCAAATGAAGTAAATGAATTGTGTAGGATATTAACCCCTTAAATGTTTTGTTTTTTTTTTTCAATTTCTTGACCCGCTCTTAGATGATGGTGATGTTTAGCTCCCTGTTCTCGGCAGCCCGAAAAGAATGGCATGCAGCCTCTCCTGCTCCTCCTGCCGCCTCTCCTGTACCAACAGCTTCTCCACTCAAGCCTGGGTGCTCCTGGGGAGTCCTGCATTAGAGGAAGCAGCTGCTGGATCTGCTGTGCAGTGGGGTTGTCATGGGGGAGAACCCTCCCTGTCCTCTCCCGGTGCAGCCTCCAAGCTATCAGTGAGGCTCAGCTCACTAAGATCTTCAGAGAGAGGGAGGGGGTGGGAATCTGGGCACAGTGCGAGCCTCCCCTGCTCCTGCCTGCCCACCCCGCCTGAGGGCTCTACTCACCACCCTGCTTGTCCGCACATCCAAGCTCCTTGTGGGACTGGGGCTCCAGGTACTGGTCTGGCTGCTGCTGCAGACTCGGAGCCTCTTGGCTCTTCAGCTCCACCTGCCGGAAGACCCTGGGCATGAGGACATGTGGTGGCTGGCTTCCAGATTCCTGGCCCATTAATAGGGTAGCGAGGGCACTGTGGGGCTCTGTGGCCTGCCCAGGCCCCTGGCCCCTTGCTCCAGGCCTAAGAGACTGTCTCCCTTGCTTAGAACCCCATGCCTCCTTCCCTAGCATCAAATCTCACGTCCTTTTTCCCAGCATGTAAACTGTAGGCCACAGACTGGTGGAAAAGCAGGCGGAGCCAACCACCATCTGCTAAGTGTGCTACATGCCTAATGTTTCCACGTATTATCTCATTTAATCCTCAGCACCTCTGCAAGGAAAAGGCTAACTTCCTTTTGAAGTTAAAGAAACAGAGACTTAGAGATGCAAAGTAGTTGAATTATGACCAGTGGAACCGAGGCCGGAATCCAGTTTGAATCTAAGGAGTCTTTTTTGTTTTTCTGTTTTGTTTTGTTTTGAGAGAGTGTCACTCTGTGTCCCAGGCTGCAGTGCAGTGGTGCAATCTCAGCTCACTGCAACCTTCATCTCCCGGGCTCAAGTGATTCTCGTGTCTCAGCCTCCTGAGTAGCTGGGATTACAGGCATGCACCACCAGGCCTGGCTAATTATTATTATTATTTTTAATTTTAGTAGAGATGAGCTTTCACCATGTTGGCCATGTTGGTCTCAAACTCCTGACCTCAAGTGATTGTCCTGCCTCAGCCTCCCAAAGTGCTGGGATTGCAGGCGTGAGCCACCACACCCGACATAAGGAGCCTCTTATACCACTGTCTCTTCCTCTGTGATTGGGGGGCTCCATGCCTCTAGCTGGGATGATGATGTCCAGACCTGGGAGGACCCCAGGGCTACCCACCTCTAAAAGTCAGAGGGCAGGAAGCAAGAAACAGTCATAGGACTGCCCCGGAGGGTGCTGGGGTCACCTGTCCCCAGGCTGCAGCTGCCTGTGGCCTGGCACCTCCCCTCCCCAGAGGCTGGTGCCCGCCTCCCACATCTTCTTGGATGGGTCGGAGGTTACAGTCTCTTTCAGCTCACCCGACTTCTCCAGCTCCTTTACTTGCTGCTCCAACTGCAGTGTGCTCTTGTTCTCGTTGTTCTGGACAGAGAGAAGCAATCAGTGGCCACCCACTAAAACTGGAGACCCCAGAACTTAGTGTCTGCCTCCCATGGCACCGGGAAGGGTGGAGGCAGGTTAGAAAAATATCCCCTCTCTCCCACAGCCATCAGAGCAGGGCTCTGGCTCACAGATGCCTTTAGAAGTACCATTTCATGTGAAGGCTACAATGCCCCATTTTACAGGTGGGGAAACAAAGGCCTTGAGGGCTAGGGAAGAGGGCAGCCTCCCCAGGTGGGGCAACGTACCAGCTCCTCGAAGCCGCTGCGTGGCTCGGCCCGCTGCTCGTACAGGGCTTCCCACCCCAGCTCCAGCATCCTCTCCAGCTCCCGCAACCTCTCCAGCTCCCGCAGAGTCTCCTGCTGCCACAGCCTCTCATCCTGTTGCCGAAGCCTCTCCTGCTCCAGGAGCTCCTCCACCTCGTCCAGCAGCCTCTCCCTCTCCAGCAGCCTCTCCTGCTCCTCCTGCCGCCTCTCCTGTTTTAACAGCTTCTCCACCTCTTCCAGCAGCCTCTCCTGCCCTGGCAGCTTCTCCTGTTCACACAGCCTCTCCTCCTGTTCACGTAGCCTCTCCTCCTGTTCACACAGCCTCTCCTCCTGTTCACACAGCCTCTCCTCCTGTTCACGTAGCCTCTCCTCCTGTTCACGTAGCCTCTCCTCCTGTCTCCTGTTCAGGAGACTCAACATCTGATTGTTTTCCACCTCAGCCTGGAGCTGTCTTCCCACACTCTCTAGCTCCTTCCTTAGGTGGTTGGTCTCATCTTGTAGCTGCTCCACCTTAGATGGCCCTGCTGGGGGCTGTGGGGCCAGGGGTTCAGCTGAGAAAGCAAGCAGAGAATAAGGGCCTCTGGATTCTCAAAAAAAAAAAAAAAAATCCTCCCTTTGGTGCACAGCTCCTCCTCTCAGGCTTCCCAAACTTGGCCTCACTGCTAATGACTCCTCACACCCGGATGGTAGACAATCTTCCAAGTCACTTTCAGATAGAGAGCACTGTGGGTGGGTGACAATGGGCACTCCTCCCTCTTTACTGATGGGGACACTGAGGCTCATGGAGATGACAAGACTTGTCCTCCCCTGGCACAGACCTCTTTCCCTCTGCCTCAAAGCCCTTCCATCCACCCACCTCCCTGGGGCATTCTAAGTCACCCCCACAGCCCTCTAATGCCAGTCCAGCTGCCAGGTCATGCCAGCCCCATCTTACCCGTCTGGTTTTTGAGTTTGAACAAGCTCCTCCCAAGCTTCTGTACCAGATGTATCTCATGCTTCTTCTCCTCCTTAGATGTGCGAACCTGCCCAAAGCAAAGGGGGAAAAGGGTCCTGGAGGGAGGGGCTGGTGAACCTCCAGAGACAGAGTTTGAGAAAGGCCCACCCCCCTTCTGCCAGTTTGTGATTTAGAAACGTGCATTCATTCAACAAACATTTACTGAGCATGTACAGGCCAGGTACAGTTCTTCATAGCAGAGATATAAAACAGCAAAGGACAGACAGGAGCCCTTCGCCCTGAGCTTTCCATTCTAGGGGCCTTTAAATCTCTGACTTTCAGAGCTAACCGAGACCTTTGATACTCTCTACCTCCTCCAGAAACACGAGCATAAAGAGGAGAGATGGCTTGTCCAGACTCAAAAAGCAAATTAGGGACTGAGGCAGGGCAGGAATATGGACCCCTAACAACCAGTCAGGCTAGTGCTTCCCAGAGAGGTGACAACCCCAGGGCATGTGTGGCAAGGACTAGAGCAGGGGTGTCTGGAGAAGAGAGAGTCAGCAAAGAGGGCAGTGCAGAAGAGCCATGCTGCATGTTCTGTGCTCTGGGGTCCCTCCAGGTGAGACCTGGGTGCCCAGCTCCCCATTTGCCCTTGGCATCAGGGGCCCCTAGCCCCTTTCTTCAGGGCCCCAAGAGGAAACTGGAGTCCAGGATTGACCAGCTGTAATCAGGGGACCCCACTGGACTCTTACCAGTGAATTGATGTTTTCAGTGAGTTGACTGATTATTGCGGAGCTTGAATCCAGGGCTACTGCTAGTTCTTGGTACTGGCTCTGAGGTGCATGCAGAGAGAAGGAGTTGGAGAAAGATTGTGGGGAGGGGTAGAGAGAATAATCATTAGGGCTGGTGGGGGTGTGTGGGCTGCCTCAGCTGGCAGAGGGGCAACAAGCCCCTGCTGTGGGAGGAGGTTGGAGGGCTGGCCTGCAGGGTCACTGCACCTCGGCCCAGGGCCTCTTACCTCCAGATCCTGCAGGGTAGTAGAGGATGCACGGCCCTCCCCGTAGATACCTGTTGCTGACTCCAAGAGATGAGAGTGCACATGGAGATGTTCTGTCCCCCCTCACTGTCTAAGCCCTCTGACTTCCTTTCTTCCCCCATCAACTGGCAAAAGCTTCTTTTCTGCCTATCTTGGACCCTTTTTCCCATAACTCCTTTGTGCCAACTTCTCTCGTGGTTCTTATCTCCCCACCATCCCACCCTGGGGCCCTTTCAGTGACTCCTAAAGGGACAGCCTGATGGCAAGTGGCTCTTCTCATTGGCCTGGCTTCCCCTTGAGACTGGGGATGAGGAAAATCAAACAGCAACGACCATTTCCTCGGTGTCCTGGGTGTTTGCAGCAGGCCATGTACTAAGGATTCACATAAAAGCAACAATAACGAATCTCATTTAAACTTCACAAATGGAAGTCAAAAAATACCACCTCTATTATACAGATGTGAAAAGAGAGGCCCAAAGACCTCAAGCAACTTGCCCTAAATCATATGCTAATCAATCCCTAATCAATTCTTAGCAGACGGAGAGGCAGGATTCAAATCCAGAATTCTTAACCAGTACCCAACAGTCCATCTACAATCTTAACAATTACCCTCTACTGCCCCTTGGGCCCCCTGTCCCCAGGAGCCTGGCCCGCCGAGACTCACATCCCCAGGTGAGTGGTAACCACCAGAAGTGGCTGTGTCAGGGCTACTGCCATTGACTTTCTTTTTCCTGTTAGCTCCTGCTGGAATGCCAGGGCTCTTCCTCTGCCAATATGCTTTTAACTGTGGGAAAGAAGAGCAGTAACACTCATGAGAATGATCAGCCCCTACAGCCACATCCTCCTTTACAGTTTTGACAAAATACCCTTATATACCATCTGATGTAATGCCACCAACAACTGTACAAGGTGTTGTCACAATCAGTGACTGAGAGGGATTCATATCATGGATAGAAAAAAAAAAAAAGAAAGATCAAAAAAGGCAATACTGGAACTTAAACTCAGTCCTCTGACTCCACGCTCTGGGGTTTTGCCATGAATCAGCAGCTTCCAGGGACCAAAACCAGGGGCAGAGGTAGAAAAGCACACATTAAGCAGGCAGGAACTGTAGGCCGTGTGGTTTAGAGTCATACATCCTCACAGGTCTGCTAGCGTGAAGAAGCGTACCAGTACCTCTCACACTTTCATATCAATGTGTCCTCATGGCAGAAGGCAGCTTTTCTATTAAATCTGGGAATTTATCAGAAAGAGGACAACCCAAGCCTCATTTCAGAGCAAAGTCTGGTATACGCTTGGAAACCTATGTGTCTGTCATCCCCAAGTACATTAATGCATTTTCTCAAGAGAATCAAGGGAAAATGATGCTTCAGAAAGATGTCCCGCATTTATCCTGTGGCACTCAAAGTACCCCAGGTTGAGACGATATGAGGAAGATTCAAGCTGTCAAGTTCAGTTTCCCAAGATCTATTCCACAGAAGATGAGCAAATCTCACTTCAGAGGCCACTGACTGAAGGGCAGTCTGGTCCCAGAACCGTGGAGAACTCAGAAAAAAATGTTAAAGTCTCTCTGGAAAGTAGAAGCCTGGGAAAAAACCAAACCAAACCCATTCTCCCATTGCCACCCAGAGATACTGTGAACATTTTGAGCTCACAGGGGAAGTGTAGGCTTTTCCCACTGTCAATGTCTATGTTAAGGGAGTAAGGCAGCCTGAAACCTGTTGCTCCTAGGTCCCATAGTCTCCACTCCCCTTCCAGCTGGAAATTTGTGCTGCAACCAGAGGAACCAGAAATGGGGTGAGAAAACTTAGGGGACTGGGTTGTAAGATCAAAGGCTGGTCTTGCAGCAGTAATGACAGTTCCTAGGGGCGCTGTGACATCATTGCATTCCACTCCTCCCAGGGGAGGGGACCACATCAGCGCGATGCCCGAGTCGCTGCTCCACGATGGGGGAGGGAAACACACGGTTTCGACCCAGGTCCTCAGAGACGCCAGCCCAAGAAGCCTAGGGAGGTCGAGCTTGGGGCAGCAGGAGGGGAGGGCAGAGTCTGCAGTAGGGAGCCCCGGGAGTCACCAGCCCAAAGCCACCCAGGGATGACTGGTGAGGGCAGGGCCTGGGGCTGGGGGACCCAGGTCCTGGGAGACGCAAGCCCAAAGAGCCCAGGGAGGTTGGGCTTGGGGTGGCAGGAGGTGAGGGCTGATTATGGAGCAGGGAGCCCCAGGAGTCACCTGCCCAAAGTCACCCTGGGGTGATTGGCAAGGGCAGGGACTGGGCTGCTTGCTGAAGGGGTGGGGCTGACTGACTAGGCTTTGGTTGGGGGAGCCCAGAGGGGCTGGGGTTGGGGGGCCCCATCTGGTATGCCTCAGGAGTGGTATGGACTCTGGCACCGGTCTTGTCATCGGAGGGGATCTGTGGCTGGGTTGGGGGCCATGACCTGGTGTGTTTTACCTTTTTCTTGGCTGCGGCCAATTTCCCCTGTTGTGTTTTTTCTGACATCGCGGGGTGGGGAGGGAGGCGGGGTTGGGGCCACATCAGCGAAATACCAGTGAGCACTGCTCAATGCCTCCAGTCACCTACCAGGCAGCTGTGCAACTGAGCCACAGGTGGCGTAACCAGGGCACCAATGGAACGCAGAATAGGGGCGTGGCCTTAATGTTCCAAGCCCATTGGTCAGTGAGAAAGATGAAAGGGAAAGGAGGCGTGGCCAGGCGCAGCATGTCCAGAGGGACCTGTAGCATCATAAGGAAAGCTGCCCATGCAACCGCTGTCCCCGCCCACTCAGAGAGAGGGGAGAGGCCGCCCACTCTGGGAGAGGGGAGGGGCTGGCTTTTGCTTTAAAAGCTTTAAAACTGTTAAAAATAAACTTTAAAAAATATATGTGTATATACTTTATATATGTGTGTCTGTGTGTATCTATGTGTTCCTCCAGAGCTGTCTTCATTATGCAGCTTCTATGCAAAGTCTATGATTTTGGCCTATATTTTTCATCTTCAAATGGAGCACAAGAATTACAAGTATTACCTTAACTGAGATATAGACCCTATAAAAATGGAAAATCCATAGCATTCTTGATGATTAATGAAGCTGACTATAGTATCCGACATTCCAATAACAGAGAATAATCACAACAATTTCTCTTTTTTGGAAAAATGTTTGTCTTATTCTCCTACATTATTGTTAAGATTTCTTTTAAAAACAAGAAACATGTCTAATATCTTTAAAAACACAAAGCTTTTGGGCCAGGTGCGGTGGCTCACCCCTGTAATGCCATCACTTTGGGAGGCCGAGGTGGGTGGATGACCTGAGGTCAGGAGTTCGAGACCAGCCTGGCCAACATGAAGAAACCCTGTCTCTACTAAAAATACAAAAACCAACCAGGTGTGGTGGTGGGTGCTTGTAATCCCAGCTATTTGGGAGGCTGAGGCAGGAGAATCACTTGAACCCAGGAGATGGAGGTTGCAGTGAGCCAAGCTCATGCCACTGCACTCCAGCCTGGGTGACAGAGCAAGACTCCATCTCAAAAGAAATAAAATAAAACAAAATAAGATACAAAATAAGTAGGAACACAAAACTTACAATTTAATAAGCACTTAAAGCTCTTTACTGGTTTAAAACAAATACAAGGCCCATTTTTCTAGAATCACCAGGCCTCTCTAGGCCTTGCAAATGAAACTGAATTTCTCACTTGATACCTGGCTATGACTTGCAATCATGAAAACCAAGAATTGTGTTATGTCACTGTGTACTGCTTGTTACCTGAAATCCACACTAGGCTGGGATCAAGGGTTGAATCTTTCATGATTTTCTCCATAACCTGTGTGCTTCTTATCCCAGACTGAACTAAGCTTTTTTCTAGAGTTCTACAATTTACACTTAATAGACAAGAGTGGTTCTCAAAATGTAGTCTATGGACTAGCAGCACCAGCAGCACCTGAGACCTTTTTATAAGTGCAAATTCTCAGGCCCCACCCTGGACCTGGTGAATCAGAAACTCTGGAGTAGGGTTCAGCAATCTGTGCTGCAGTAATCCCTCCAAGTGTTCAAGAACCTCTGGCATACAGCAGGTAGAAAAATGTGTTTCCTTCTGTAGGTCCAAAGCCAGGGTTACCATATGTTCTGCCTTGTTATGAAACAATGACATGCAATTAAAAGACCAGAATCTCCTTCCTACTCGCACCCTCCATCCAATGTGTTTTATTTGTATGAGTTCCATAAGAAAAACAAGCGGCAATCAGAGATTTAGTCTAAAAAGTATGTTTACAAGTGTCCATTCTCATCCAGCCTGATCTCCTACAAAACCGTTTACATCCTCTTACATCTCAAGTTTTAAAAAAGTATCTTCACAATGTAAGACTCACGCACACTAGCAGTTCTATAATAAAACACCAAGTAGATCAGAATGTCCAACCTTACTAGAGAAGAAAAGTGGAATCATTGGCTATATTTTCAAATTGCATTCAACAGGAAATTTAAGTTTTGAATTTTTTTCACCTTTATACTTCCAAAGTAATAGAATTAAACCAGAATACGCCATTCTTTCAAAGCCTCTCGCCAGGCAAAGTTTTACTGTATTATTTCTTGCTTTCAATGGATATAAAGCAGATTCCTGGTAGGCACATTCTGTATACCTGCAAAGATGCAGAACTAAACAGTTCCATCTGTTCAATATTAAACCAAAAGTCCTGTAGACCTCGAATGGTGAGTGTAATACTTCAGCACTAGCCCAAAACCTCAAATATGAAAAGATACCAAGAACACCACTAGCAAACAAAACTAAACTCTCAGTCAGGAGCAGTAGCTGACACCTGTAATCCCAGCACTTTGGCAAGCCGAGGTGGGAGGATTACTTGAAGTCAGGAGTTCAAGACTAGCCTGGGCAGCATAAAGAATTCACATCTCCACAAAAATTTTTGAACATTAGCTGGGTGTGGTGGCACACAGCTGTAGTCCTAGCTACTTGGCAGGCTGAGGTGGGAAAATTGCTTGAGGCGAGGAGTTCAAGGCTGCAGTAGCTATGATTATGGCACTGCACTCCAGTCTGGGTGACACAGCGAGACTTAGATAATTACATTTTCTCCTGCTCCTGTTTACACTAAAATCACGAAGTTAAAAGGCTTTCAAATTTGGCAGGATAAAAATTAAGTGAAATGTGACTTTGGAGCTTGGCTAGTGAAAGAAAGAAAGAAAAAAAAGGGAAGAAGGAGGGAGGGAGGGAATAAAGAGAAAGAAAGGAAAGGAAGAAAGAGAGAGAGGGAAAGAAGAAAGAAAAAGAGAGAAAGAAAAAGAAAGAGGAAAGAAAGAGAGGGAGGGAGGGAGGGAAAAGAAAAGAAAGTAAGAATGGAAAGCAAGAAAGAAAAGGAAAGCAAGGAAGGAAGAAGAAGAAAGAAAGAAACAAGGAAAAGAAAGAAAGGGAAAGGAAAGGAAAAAGAAAAGAAGAAAAAATGAAATGACAAATTACTTACTGGGAGAAAGTTTTGTCACCTCAATGACAGATAAAAGGCTTGTATCCTTAGACTATAAAGAAATCTTTAAAATTACTGAGAAAAAAAAACAAATGATTTTCAACCGAAAATGGGCAATGGAGAAACTGGCACTTCTCACAAGAATAAAAATGGCCAATGGCATATACAAAGATTCAAAAGCACAAGAAATCAAAGAAATGTCATGAAAACAATGAGATTTTCTGTATAAAGGCAGGAAAGATGACAAATGGAAAGGGGAACCTGGAGCTCTGTCCTTGTTGGTGGGAGTATAACCTGAGTCACTTTTCCTGGAGAATGATTTGAAAATTTCTATTAAAAACCCTAAAAATTATTTTCCTCCAGAAATTCTACTTCTATGAATTCAGTCCAAAAATGTTTGCTCGAGCCCATTAAAATGTGTGTATAAGAAAATTCACCTCTGGGGTGGCAGTGATTAACTTAATATACATCCAGCTATTAAAAATGATGATGCCAGGATATATTTACTGCCACAGAAATATGCCCAAAATATAGTAAGTGACAAAAGACTACATACTACGATTCTACTTTTTAAAAGGTTTATGTGCATAAAAACGTATAAAAAGCAACAAACCACAATGTTTTGAGTGGCAAATTAAAGATTTTTCTTAATATTTGTCATCCAAATTATTACAAAAAGAATGATTTCCTTTATAATGAGGGAGAATTGTTATTTTCATTTATTTATATTTAAATCTCTTTTCTTTTTCTGATTTTGTTTTCTCCTGTATGTATCCCATGTAGGCTAGAATCCCTGCCTCTTGAGGTAAATCAGCCCATTTTTGGGAAGTGCGCTACAGAAAGCTGCCCCAGCTTCCTTTTAAGAGATCTGGAGACATTTTTTATTTCAAATTGTTTTATCGTTCTCAGATTATTTTGTTTAATATATGAAATTGAGGAAAAGACAAAGGAAAGGCTGACTCCCTACCCTCCTGGGGCTACTCTTCCAATTTTTGCTGCTATTGTTATATATTAATATTCACTGGGTACTAAAAAGATGGGCAGCCCCTTAGATCATTTGTTCTTATCTCTTTCTCATAATCCTACTTCATTCCTTCATTCACTTATTTTTAAAAAGGTCATGTGTACAAACACATGGTTCAGAAAATTTTTAAATATAACTACCTATAAAAGTATGTGGCCAAATCCCATTCACAGTCTTATTCTCCTTCTACAGCCAAACACTTTTAATTGGTTTCTTATATATCATTTCAGAATTTATGTTTGCAAATACACACGTATATTCTTATTCTACTCTTCTCTCTCAACACAAAAAGTAGCATACCATACATACTATACCATTCCTTGTTCCTCTTAAAACACACACAATATATGTGAGTTCTTCTACATGAGTACAGAGGTCTTTGTCATTCTTCTTTACAACCGCACAGTATTCATCGTTTGGATGTACCACAGTTTACTTAACCAGTTCCCTGTTGGTGGACACTGAAGTCATCCCTATCATACTATTACAAACAATAATGCCAAGCATAACCACCCACATACCAAGTTCATTTCTGAATCTGCCTTTGATGAAGCCTCTATTTGAATCACCACAAGGTCACAAGGCTGAAAAGTTAGCCAATTTTTTAGTTTTCATTATGTACAGCAGTATGTAGCAAAAGACTCCCTTGGGCAAAGCAAATGTGCTCTTTGGGGATTTACTGCATAACAATAAATGGATTAACACCAAGGAGAAATATTTCTATTTAACCATGCACATGTATGTATATAATACATGCATATGCATAGATAGTATACAATAAATCCATCAAAGCATTAAGCATTGTCTCAGTATGGTGGATCTATGGAGTGCTTTGTAGACAGCCCTCCTTGCCTATCAATTCTTTCTAGTTTCAAAACAGTGAATATGTACTATTTTTGCAATATAAAATTTCAATAAATGTTAACTCAAGCCAGGTACATTCCTTCAGTCTGTCCTATATTTGTATGGTGCTCCAGAGTGCTCAAATATCATTTCATTAAAAAAATTTACTTATTTTTTTTCAAATATAGAAACAGGCAGGGCTTTGCTCTGTTGACCAGGCTGGTCTTGAACTCCTAGATCCTCCTGGATCCTCCCACTTCCACCTCCCAAAGTGCCGGTATTACAAGTGGGAGCCATCCGGCCCGGCCGGCTTCATTTGAGAAATATTTCCCCAGAACTCCATATATTATGAATAATTCCTTTCTTCTTGTTTAGATACCATCTTAGTCATATCTCTGTTACCTCACTTGTCACATGATAATCAGTTGCTCACCCATCCATCTCCCTTGATTGCTCGAGAAGAGTCTGATTTTCAGCACCTTGAACAGTGTGCAATACATACATGCTTCATACGCAGAGAAGGAAATGATATCACTACAGTGTAATTATTCCCAGAATTCAATGCCCGTATTTGTAAATTGTTCCAGATACTCTGCCAACAACCTGAGAATGTTATGTGTTTTCCCTAAAACTTCCATCGATTACTGAGTGTCTACGGTCATAGTTAACTCAGTTGCGATCTGACCTCTGGCCAAGCCCATTCATAGCTTGTATTATAGGTGATTTTTAATTTTAATTTTTGATTTTGATAGTTTCCTTTTTGTTTTTTTAATCTAGCAGTGTTTGGTAAACTTCAACATCTCTATATCCCTGTGTCTTTGCACCTACTGGTCTCTGCTTGGAATAATAGCTCAAGGTTTTATTCACCTGGAAAAAATTTCTACTTACCCTTAAAGAATCAGCTTAAATAAGCCGGGCATGGTGGCTCATGCCTATAATCCCAGCACTCTGGGAGGCCAAGGTGGGCGGATCACCTCAGATCAGTAGTTTGAGACTAGCCTGGCCAACATGGTGAAACCTCGTCTTTACTAAAAATACAAAAAATAGCTGGGTGTGGTGGTGGATGCCTGTAATCCCAGCTACTCAGGAGACTGAGGCAGAAGAATCACTTGAACCTGGTAAGCAGAGGTTGCAGTGAGCTGAGATCACGCCATTGCACTCCATCTTGGGCGAGAGAGCAAGACTTCATCTCAAAAACAAAAACAAAATCAGCTTAAATAATACCGTCTCTGAGAAGCCTTTATATCTTCCTATTCTTTCAGAAAGAGTTGAAAATTCCTCAACTCTTAAAACATTTGTGCCTCTATTATTATGTATCAGGCACTGAACTGAGTGCCTAGGAGACAAAGATGAAACTGTAGACCCTGCCCTCATGGAGTTCATGGTCTAGTATGGAAAACAGCCATATGAACAAATAACCATACTGTAGGTCTTCAGAGCTCAAACCCTATCCTAAATACTGCTAAATTAATATTCTGTGAGGTTTTGAAATTACTAGGGCCAGAGACAATATCGCTGTTTGGATGACTTTCCATCCAAGTTAACATTCGGCCCTCATCATCAAAGGTGGTATGTGTGTACCTCTTCCTTGCAACCCACCAGGGCCTAACACATCATATACCCACTTTTGAAATTAGGAAACAGCCTCAGAAGTCCAAGAGCTTGACCAAAGTAACTCAGCTGGTAGGTAGCAGAACCAGGTCGGTATGATTCTTCTTCAATATCCTCCAAGTTATATGGGCAAGTGGCCTCAAAATCAACAAAAGACAAGTAGAGGTTGACATGCATTAATGGAGAGAGGCTCAAAAGGAAGAGTTTATACACAAGAATAGAACAGAAATGTTCCAGAAGTATGTCTGGGGATGTGAAGTAGGAGGGGGCACACCAGGTTTCACCTTGGTCAAGTGAATCTATAATTCCAACCTGGGCCTCACCCCTGAGCTCCAGACTTAGCTATCTGTTTTTCTCACTCTAATATAAAATCCATAGGGCAGGACTTAATCTCTAGGTTGTTCATCACAAATTAAAGCAGAGTCTGGTTTATAGTAAGTACTTAATAAATAAGTAAACAAACTATCAAAGAAGCTAAAGAAACATTCTACACTCTTGGGGGAAGGGATTACCATGAAATGCCATCTGTCTTTTTCCTACTTTTCAGTATTTGGGGTGTTCTTCATTGAAAAAGATTAGCTTCTTGAATGTTCCAGATAGGAAGAGAGAGGGAGAGGGAGAGAGACAGGAACAGAGAGAAGTTTCATATTTTAACTATGGTTCAATTCTAAGCATTCTAAAATTGTATTGAGTTTTTTATACCATGAATTACAAGGGTGTTTAATTTCCAAATTCATGTAGCTTTTTGTTAATCTCTTCATTATTGCCTTCTAACCTTAATTGCTTCATATTTAAATTATAAATTATATGGTGTGGATGGTACCAATTGTTTTTAAATCTTCTGACTTGCTTTACGAATTAATATATAATTAATGTTTCTCCCACAGTCCACATATGCTTGAGAAGAATATAGAATATCTAATTATTGGGTACAAAGGCCTATATTTGTCCATTACACCATGTCCATTCACTGGTTATTCAAATCTACATATGGGCATTCTGTGTAACTTACTTATGGTAAGCAGGGTATGGTGAAATCTCCAAATATGCTGGCAGACTTGTCAATTTCTCCCTGTGGTTTTATCAGTTTTTCTCCTGCATTTTGAGGCTATTTTGACAGGTACATAAAATATGAAAATTGCTACATCCTCCTAATTAACAGTCAGCATCAAGTTTCTTACTAATGCTTTCTGTTCCAAAATCCTTTTTTGATACTGAAGCTCCATCACTTGTTTTTGGTTAATGTATACTGCCATATCTTCATTACTCTCTCTCCTTTATAAAAACTTTCAATCTTCTCATATCCTTATATTTTAAATATGATGGATTAAAACAGCTGGATATTCTTTTATTAGTTCCACCTAACTGGTAACTTTAGTCCATTTACATTTGTTGTGACTGATTTATGTGGACTTCCTTCTATTGCCTTTAGAACTTCTATTTCTCTCACTTTCTAATATAATTTTAATATCTCCTCCTGGGATTCCACTAAGACATATTTTAGACCTCATTCTGATCTCCCTCCCCCTACAACCCCACCAACTTCTGCCCTATCATCTATCCTCATGTCTCTCTGTGTAACATACTGACTCACTTTTGGGAGATAATTGTCTAACCAATTAATTCTTTCTTCTGATGTCTAATCCATCCACTGAGTTTTTTATTTCAACAATTACATTTTTTATTTCTTTATTTCATTTTATTCTGAGACGGAGTCTCACTCTGTCACCCAGGCTGGACTGCAGTGGCATGCACATGCAGCCCTTGCCTCCTGAGCTCAAGTGATCCTCCCTCCTCAGCCTCCTGACTAGCTGGGACTACAGACACGTGCCCCATACCCAGCTACTTTTTTTTTTTTTTTTTTTTTTGGTGGTGTTGGGGTATTTTTTACAGAAACGAGTTCTCACCATGTTGCCCAGGCTTGTCTCCCCAACTCCTGGGCTCATACCATCCTCCCACCTCGGCCTCCCAAACAGTGCTGGGATTACAGGTGTGAGCCACCAGACCCAGCTATATATTTTATTTCTGTAAGTTCTAGTTCATCCATTTTCTTTTCAGGTCCTCCTCCTCATTCCTGGTGGCCTTTCTGTTGCTCAATTTAATGAGTCCATCTTTCTTTTATATTAGGTTTGACATGTAACTATTTTCTCACAATTCTAATATTTGAAGTCTGTGTTCTGTATCTGATAATTCCAAAACCTAGTCTTTGGGAAACATATTCATTGTTTCTAACAATTCTCAAATATGTTGGGTTGAGACTACTTGAATGCTATGATTTGACTGAATTCATATTTGCCTGCTTTTAATCTTTGGGAATCCTACAGGCTTAAGTTAGAGATGTTTTCCTACAAAAAGTATCTGTGTCTGCTTCTGATGAGAGCTGTGGGTACAACTAACATGAGACCACTTTACCACCATGCATAATCCTGACATCCTCTTGGATTCTCTTGGAGCATCTCAGCATTACACAAGGTTCTCAGATCTGGCTCCCCACCCTTGCTCATTTATACACAGAAGACTAGACTGCTTAGTATAGGTGGTGACTCACTTCCTGCTACCCTGGAAAAAACAAAACGGATCTCTCATCTGAATGTGATCACAGACTAGGAAATTCTGAAGGTGAATAACTAGAGGCTGTGGGCAGCAGGCAAAGATAGGTGTCTTTCCTGACCATAGAAATAGGTCAGAAGCTGCCCTAAAGGCTGTGTGCTACAGCATTTCACTATTTAGCTCAACTACCATTCCCTCCATAAGTGTGAGTGGAAGTTTCTTAGAGCACCATATTGCCTTTAAACAAAACCAAATTTTTGCTCAAAAGTCATGGTCATGGAAAACAAAACAAAACAAAACAAAAAAAACCCCTCTGGCTTTGGAAGGCTTTCTCAGTAATGTCCTGGAATTACGGTTACAGCCTGCATTTCATGTTAACTGAACAGAAAACCAGCCTCCAACATCCTTCTGCCCCGTGGCTTGCTCTCAGCTCCTCTTGGTTGGGCCTAGGGCAGTCAGACTGTCTGGTTCCAATCCTTGCTCTGCCACCTGTGACTTTGGACAAGTTACCTACCTTCAGTTGTCTCATCCATAAAATGCAGATATTAATAATACCCTCTTTTAAAGTTATTAAGAGGACTGAAAGAGCTAATAAAAAGTAAAAAATAAAAAGACTTGGTAAGCATAGGCACAGAGGGAAACAAAAAAAGTAAAAATAAGTAAATAAAAAGACTAGTGCCTAGCACATAAAAGTTCATCAGGAATTAATTTTATAACATGAACTCAATTTTGCAAAACTTCAAAGTACATATAACTTTTACTATGGTATACATAACAATAATAAATTTACAACTGTAGACATGTTTCTCTACAGTAAATATAACAAAGACTAAACAATCAGATACTAAATCATTAAGTGATTATCAGTTAGTAACTTTAATTTTCTTATACTTCTATATGTTCTATAGATCATCTTTGTAACAAAAAGAAAACAAACCAAATGAAAATGAAATGAATTCTCTCAAAAAGAATTAAGATAGGAAGAAGGCTCACAAAGTAGCATAAAATATATCTTATGGTTTATGTAAAATTCTTAATAAAATTACCTTCTTTGCTCCAAGCTGCACTCTGGCTTTGCCTTTGACTCAGGTGGCTTTTATTTGCATGATGACTGATTCTATCGAGTAGGCACTGCTTCAGCCCTACAGGAAGAACAAAACATCTCTAGAACACAGCAGCGTTCCTGGTTCCCACTTGAGAAGGCCTAACCAAATGGCATATAACTTAACAGTAGCAGACCAGTGTTAAAAAGTCTGGAGTCAAGGGGAAAAGGTAAAATTGGAACGTTTCCAGAATCTCACAAAAAAACAACAAACCAATGTTCTAAGTGCCCAACATGAACAAATTAAAACCTTAAATAAAGGTCACTGTTAACGCCTATCCTAGCATAAATTCAGCACCAAGCACAATGTTATTTTACTGGTTTGCCTTTTTCATTCTGTTTTTTTTGTTTTGTTTTGTTTTGTTTTTTTGAGATGGAGTCTTGCTCTGTCACCCAGGCTGGAGTGCGGTGGCACCATCTCAGCTCACTGCAAGCTCTGCCTCCCGGGTTCACACAATTCTCCTGCCTCAGCCTCCCGGGTAGCTGGGACTACAGTCACCCGCCATCACGCCCGGCTATTTTTTTTGTATTTTTTAGTAGAGACGGGGTTTCACCGTGTTAGCCAGGATGGTCTCGATCTCTTGACCTCGTGATCCGCCTGCCTCAGCCTCCCAAACTGCTGGGATACCTTTTTCATTCTTGAAAGTAGGAGCTACGAAAAAAAAAAAAAACACTAAAATGTCTTTAAGAGAACCGTCTACTTACGATCTAACTTACATAATCAAAACACTCTATTGAGGGTGAAAATTGAGTATAATAATAAAATAATCACCAGAGGTTCCATACATAATGCTCCTCCACCCAATACATACCTTAAAAAGAAAAAAGGAAACATACAAAATTATCTTGAGAAGTATTCCTGCTTAAACAATTTCCATGTGGCATTATTAAGAAAGTATGCACACAGTAAAGACAAGAAGAGAACACGTAAGCATGAACATACTTGTTAGGCATATAGGATTATAGGTAATTTAAAAATTCTAATGGTATTACTCTTATGAAATTGCTCTGAAATTCCAGTCAATTGTTTGAAATGGCAATCAGAACAGAATACTTTGAAATTTTTATGATGTCAAAAACTAAAAACGTGGCCCTAAATATTCCAAAGAATCAGGGCAGAAGAACCCATTTCCTTAAATGGCATTTGAGTGTTCTTTACAATGGAAACTTTCTCTCCCAACCTGTGATGGCCAGGAGTTTTTCCTCTGACAATGGCACCGATCTTACCCTATTCAAAATATGAACATCTGCACGGTTTCATGGTTGAAATTGTTCTTATCCATTCTGTTGTGAGAATCGAATGGTTCACACCATGTGGCTCCTCTCTGGGACTCCTCAAGTCCTTTCTAGGTCTGAAGACTGTTCTCTGAACCAAAGACAACTTCTGGGGATGTACCAAATCTCCCATTAGAAAATTATTTAGATCAAGATGTTTTAACCTTTTAATTCTTTCTCAAACAAAATAATTTCATTTCTCCTTTAATGTTATTTTAAATTTCAAAATACACAGATAGCATGCCTAAAGTAAAATCAAGGGAATGATAGTTTTAGAACAAAAACTGTGGTAATTTTGAAAGCACAAAAGCTAAGACCACTGATTAGATCTATGTGGACACCAAGTCCACCACAAACGGTTCTGTCCTCCGGGGCTCTGCCCACACCTTTCCCTTGCTTGAGATTCCTTCTGCTTCCTACCCTTCCAAATGCTGTATTTCCCCCCAGAAGACTTGCCAAGACCACTCTAGCCTGCGCATCTTCCATTCCAGCTAACCAAAGGCATCCTTGCATTGACTAAACCAAATTATTTTGCAGAGAAGGCATCTAAAAACTTCTACTGTAGACCATTCACCTTAATAATTGTTTTCATGACATTATTCAATAATAAAATGAGGGAAAGAAGCCCTCTTTAACTCCCTTGCCCTGGAGAATCCAAGCAAGTGTCTTTCCCACTTGCTTTGCCCAAACCCTGGGAGCTTTCAAAGTGAAAGTTTAATGGAAGGAAAAGAAAATCTAAAAGAAAAACTCTCCGAAAAATTAAACTCAGGTAAAGAATCATGGGATTAAAAATTTTTATTCTTTGTGTATTTGATTTCTGAAACATTTGAAATCTCTCTCTCACTCCTTAAATCTGCCACTGGGCTAAGAGAGTATTGTATATAATGTGCACTCATTGATTTAACAGAATTAGAACATCCAGGCACTCACTCAGATTTTGGTTCCACAACTGCTCAAAGTCTAGTCATTTAGTTAATGAGTTAACACCACACTTGATCTTCAAATTTTGGAGATGCTGATGGTAGACAGGAACTTGTTTTGGGAAAAGGAAGTATATGGCAGACATTGTCACCCATTATCCAACCAACACCACCTTTCCTTTAAAGTACCCCACTCTTCCTTTAAGGTTGCAGAGTCTCAGAAAGTAGGAAGAAAGTTTTTGCATTTTCAGGTCAAAAGACAGTACATTTGTACAACCGCATAATACCTATGCAAATGTTTGTTGAAATCTAAACAGAAGACAGAAGTAGTTCTAGTACCTTCACTACATAAGTAAGATAAGTAAACTTTTCCTTAATATACACTTCCAGCAGCACTGACACCTAAAAGTGGTCGACTCTACTACTGTATTAAATGACATTCATTTCGTCAATATGTGTTCCAAATTCTTACTGCTCTTTGTCTCCAAAGGGTTCCTACTGAATATTGAGACAGTTCAAGAATACTAGGGAAAAAAATTCTAATAATTGAAGTAACGGTCATCTAAGGATAATATGCCACATATACAGACACAGTAATATTTTCAACTTAAAAAAAATTCAGTTGTCAAAGCTGTACAGCAAACACTATCCTAAGCTTGGCCTCTTCAGGCATTTGCTTTATAATCACTTCAAAGAAAAGTCAATTACAAAATGCCACATTTTGTATGATTCTATTTATATGAAATGTCCAGGATAGGCAAATCTACAGAGACAGAAATTAGATCAGAGGTCGCCAGGATCAACGGTGGGGGAGACGAGTATACAGAGTGACTGCTAATGGGCATGGGGTTTCTTTCTGGGGAGAAGAAAAGGTTCTGAAATTAGGTAGTGGTAATGGCTGCATAACTCTGAATATACTAAAAACCACCAAACTGTACACTTCAAAGAGTGAGACTTATCATATAAAAGCTGTATCACAATAGTTTAAAAAATGTTTGGGTATGTCAAGAAATAAAGGATAGAATCATAGCTCAAAGATATGGACATAAAATAAATGGAACAAAACTCCTCAGTAATCTATCTAGAATCACACAATGCTTAAGCTTTACCCTGACTAAAATCACAAGCCTGGTGTTTTATTGGTATTTCACATTTTTCACTTCTTCCTAAGTCAGCCAATAATTTCTCCTTAATAGTTGACTATTAAGACCAAGGCATTTTGATTCTGCCTCCAATGGGCTTTCACATTTCATTCCTCCTTCCACTCCCATGACTACCACACCAATGTAGGTTCTCCTCACTTCACTCTAAGACAACAGCGGTGCCCTCAACTACTGTCACACTCTTCTAGGCTCTGTGAGCACAATGTGTCTCATATTCTCTTCTGCTGTCACCAGATTTATTCTAAAACAGTTTCTTTACTGTTACTCCCCTGTTTCTCAACCAGCTACACAGAAAGATGAATATCCAGGGGTAATAGTTTACTTACCTGAAAAAAAAAATCTGTCACCAATCCACAGAACTGTTTGAGTACAAAATATTACATCAGCAATATTTCCTACAACTCTTCTACATGAATCCTACCCTCCTTGTGTTATAGCTCAAATTGGTTTCGTATACTCTGAACCCCTCATTCTTTCCTAGATACCTGATTGCGCTTACTCTTCACCTATGTAAATAATTTTCCTGCAACCTCCACCAGCTGACCAAACCCCACTCACATTTCACTGCCCAGCTGAGATCCCATCTACTTCATGAAGAGCAACTCTTTGCAGCTTTAAATCTCAGAGAAATTAAGTCCATGCTTAGCTTTTCTTTTTCTTTTTTGTTCAGATGGAGTTTATCTTTGTCACCCAGGCTGGAGCGCAGTGGCACGATCTCAGCTCACTGCAACCTCTGCCTCCCGAGTTCAAGCGATTCTCCTGACTCAGCCTCCTGAGTAGCTGGGATTACCAGTATGCACCACCACATCTGGCAAATTTTTTGTATTTTTGGTAGAGACAGGGGTTTCACCATCTTGGCCAGGCTGGTCTTGAACTCCTGACCTCAAGTGATCCACCCGCCTCAGCCTCCCAAAGTGCTGGGATTATAGGTGTGTGCCACCGTGCCTGGCCCATGGTTAGCATATGATAATCAATGCAGTACTTACAGTTCTTAGTACTTTTAATCTCCTCTTACATAGCTGGCATTTCGTATAATGAAAAACACTTTACTAGGAATCAGAAGATTTATTTGGCTAAGTCACAAGCTGACTTATTATTCAAATTATTCATCCAAATAATGAGGACCATAACACACTGTGGCAAAAAAGAATCAATGAAGAAACTATGTAACAGATTTTAAAACTGAAAATGGCATGATTCATAACTTCATGTATTTGTCTCGATTCTAGGTGGTATACTAAGATCATAAACTTACATTCTTGGGATTCTTACAACAAAATGTTGAAAAGCTATACTGGTCTATTTCATAATCACATTTTAAAATGTTTTCATACATTTATCCTGAATTTGCAGATTTTTATCCAAATCTTTTCTTTGATCTTTTTTTTTCTCAAATAAGATTCTGAACAAAACATGACCCGTTTTCCTTTCCCTATGCTTATGGGGATATTGAGTCAACATACACAATTTTATAAACCAGCACATAAAACTAAAGCACAATACTTATGTCCTTTCTCCCCAATCAGTAAGGGCTTCATTAAAAAGACATTTTAACATTCAACTATGAAAAACAAAAGAACTATGGCTTGGTGGCTAGTAAAAAGCCTGCTGTAGTGAGCAAAGGTTAAACATTTACTATTTTTCAGTCTTGTGTTTATTTTGTATACGTAAGTATTTGGCTGGGTTACTTAACACTGAACTTCCAAAACTGACCATTAGGTTGTATGCCAAGAGAAGTACTTTTTATAGCAATTTTACTGCCAAAACCAAAACAGCCTAGAGAAGCTTTAAAGGTAACAAAATAGTACACAATTCTAAACAACTCTGCTTCACACCCAACCTGGGACTTCCACTCACCGTAATAGTATATTCGTGATCAACTTTGTAACAAGCTGTCAAAGGGAGACCTCTAACATCTGCTCACGAAGGAATCACTTCAGCATGTCCTGCTCTGCAGCAGAAAACGCATGGGGATCACTCAGAACTCCGGATTTCCAACAGAGCAGCATTTCCCAGAGAGTAAGCCAGAGGACACCATCCTCTGAGATGCTGTCAGGAACACTAATAAACAAATTTGGGAAAAACAGAAAATGGCATTAAGGCTCCAAGAAGTCCTTTGGTAAAAGACATTTTGAACCTGGTTCCCCAAAACCTTGCAATCTCCACAAAACAAATATCTATTACCATACCACTATATTAGCACTCACAGAACATTTGGGAAGATATGGCAAAGATTAGACTGCAGGCGTCGGGTAAGTAGACTCTTAAAACACAATATTGAAAAAATAGAAATTTAAAAATTAAAACAGAAAAGCAAAAGATAAGTAAATAAATAAAAAATTTTAACAAACAACATTGGGCTGGGCAAAGTGGCTCAGACCCATAATCCTAATACTTTGTCAGTCTCAGTGGGGTGGATCGCTTTAGCCTGGGAGTTCGAGACCAACATGAGCAACATGGTGAAACCCTGTCTCTATCAAAAATACAAAAATTAGCTTGGTGTGCTGGCATATGCCTGCAGTCCCAGCTTCTCAGGAGGCTGAGGTGGCAGGATGGCTTGAGCCCGGGAGGCAGAGGTTGCAGTGAGCTGTGATTGCACCACTCACTCCAGCCTGGGGCAACAGACAAAGACCCTGTCTCAATAAAATTAAGTAATTAAATAATAAAACCAATATTCCTTTACTGTGTGGGGAAACTCAAAATGAGCTCAGCACATCCACATGTAATACTAAGGTTTTTTTTTTTTTAAACCCACACTTCTTGTTTCTCTGAACTTTTACACATGGATATCATGTCCAGACAACTATTCCGTAGTATCAGCACCATAGTTAATATGTATTCTGATTATGCAGAATGATTCTTAACAGGATCTTAGCCCCCAAAACACATACATAAGTATGTAAAGCAAATACAACTAAAAATAACTGTAGCAACAAAGCTCTTCTGGAGAAAGTTCTGAAGTGTGAAGTAGTCACTCATATTTTTACCCTAAATGCAACTATTACTATCTCAACCATAGAAATGATCAAAGTAAGGGCTGGAGATATTTAGATTTTAATCACCATAATGTGGATTATGTCACATAATGGAATTAGTCAGCTGAGTGTTTGAAAATCCTCAAGTTACTTTAAATTGCTCATACTTTGAGGGTCTACAGAACATTTCATAACTAACCTAGCAAACTGTGATCTTTTCCCCACTTCTGTAAGACTTCCAATCACAAAAAAGAAGCAATACAAATTTCAGTAAAACTGCATGACAATTACCATTTGATTCTACTACACTGCAACTATCACCTCTAGAAGTAATTAGCCAGCTCCATAGGTCCATGGGATTTCCCATGATTATTCCTAGAAGTACTAATTAGGATTACAGGTATGTGGGGGGACCACTCTGTAATCATAACATTCTCTAAACCTTCAATCACAATTTACATTTGAAAAACCTTTGGTTTTTATGATAAAAAAGTATGTATGAATATATATATGTGTGTGTGTATGTATAAATATGTGTGTGTGTGTATATATGTGTATATATGCATATATATAACACTAAAATCTCTACCTATCAACAACATAATGCTTTATAACCAGTGGTTCCAGATGTAGGCCCCAGAACAACAGTATCAGTTTCACCTGGGAACTTCTTAAAAACGTAAATGCTCAGGCAACACCACAGGCCTACTTAATCAGAAACCCTGGGACTAGCTCTCCAAATGATTCTGGTGCACGCGATATTAAAAAAAAAAACGTAGCCCAGGCACAGCAGCTCATGCCTGTCATCCCAGCACCTTGGGAGGGCAAGGTGGGAGGATCACTTGAGCCCAGGAGTTCAAGAACAGCCAGAGCAACATAGTGAGACCTCATCTCTACAAAAAATTTTTTTAAACTAAAAAAAAAAAAAAAAAAAAAAAAACATTTAAAGTAATCACTTAAACTTATGCTCCTGAGAGAACAGGTAATACCACTCAAACAAATGGAGGCTCAAATGGAAAGTTATCCTAAAAAGCAAATAAGCAAGTTTAATTAATTTTAAGAACATCGTTAATACTATATACCATTTAGAAGATTTTAAAAGTCTATAAAAGAATATGTACATTTATTATCAGATAATGGGTGAGAGTCATAAAAGTAAAATTAGTACAGAAAAAATGAAATGAAAACCAAAGCAAATAAAAATGAAGTTAAAATGAGGCCCAAACAGAACAGTGTTATGGTAAACTTATGAAACATATGAAGGGGTTTCACTTCACTAGAACTATATAAAGGAACCATTCCAATAATGATAGAGTAGGTAACTTAGATCAATCCTCTCACTGAGAACTAGAAAGATGGACAAAATGTAATGATTACAGGGCTGAGAAAAGGGAATAGCAGAGAACAGGGTCTTCTTTTCTCCCCCTTGGGTTTTCTTCCAATGACAGCAGAGAAGAAGAGGTTAACAAGCTGAGCTAGAACTCACAGCCTCACAGAGCTCACAGGGAGTTAAACATTGGAGCTCAGCATCCACTGAGGAGAGGCCCTGCTAAGTCTCCCACTCCTTAGGTTGGGAATCTGAAGAACAAACTGCAAAATGCCCCAACAGGGAATGATGGCCAGCTTTAATCGTCTCAATCCCTGATTGTGAATTTCCAAGACCCTAGCAGGGGAAATGTAAATCCTCTCTGGAGAAGAATATCATCCAAGGCTTCAAATTAGCTCTGCAATTTTTCATATATAATGTCTATCACTAAAAATAAAAAGCCACATGAGACTTAAAGATGACATAACAGAAAACAAGAGAAGCAAACAACAGACACAAAACCACAAGGGATTGAGATAACAGAGTTAGCAGACACACTTCAAAATAACTCTGCTGAAAGACAAGGAAAGACAGGACAAGACTGAAAACCTGGCAGAGAAATGCAAATTATAAAATGAACCATATGAAATTCTGCAATTTAGAACTACCAAAACTGAAATTAATAACATAATGGATAAGCTTAACCACAGCAGTAACCTAGCAGAAGACAGATTCAGTAAACCGGAAAAAGGTCAGAAAGACAAAAAGGTAGAAAATTGAGAAAATAAGACAATATATTGAAAAGTTTATCATATATGTAGAGCCCTGTAAGAAAAAAAAGAATGGGACAGAAGCAAGAGCTGAAGATATGGTTGTGGAGAATTTTCCAGAACTGATCAAAGACTCCACAAGATTTAACCACCATAAACACTTCAGGAGAAACAATGGAAGCTAGCATAACAGAATGATATCTGCAAGGTGCTGAAAGATGGAAACTGCCAATCTAGAGACTTACGCTCAATGAAGATACTCTTTAATAATGAAATAAAAAATAAGGATTTTTTCTATCTGCAGACTCACACTAAGGGAAATACTAAAGGATATTTTCAGACAGGAGAAAGAGGATCCTACATCAAAACCTGGGGACTCTATTCCATAAGCTCTGTACCCTGGAACTCAGGAATCAAGATTTTACAGAAATAAAAAGAGTTCTTCAGGGAGGGGAAAATAAAGGTTGAGGGTGACTGGTAAAATTAAGTTTGAGTTACCTTAGTATATTTTAACTCAGAACGAGACTCTCAGGCTCTACAAGGATCTCATGAAGTTATCTGACTTCCCATTTAACATCTCAGCCTTCTAAGTTATTCTTAAAGATGAAGAACATTCTAGTTTTCAAAGACTACATCACCAGATGGGTCTAAATAGTTACAAGTCACTTCCTTACATTGAGTTGAAAATCACCTCTTTGTAATTTGACTTATTAGTTCTAGTTTTATGCCCTGTCTTCACCAAAAACAAATAAAAACTAATGCTTCCATATACATACTCCTTCAAATAGTTGAAGACAATCTATCATGAACCAGAACCCCCATGTTTTCCTCTCCAAATCCATAATTTCACCAGCTATCCTAGGACATGGAAAAGAATCTCTTCCCAATCCTGGCTATTATTCTCTAAATGAACCTAACCTTATCTAAGTAGACCTTTCTTAAAGTACTACCTCAGAATTCAATTCAGTAACTCTGATGTTGCCTGTAACATCTGAAAACGACTTCCTTAAAAGTACAGCAAGTTGGATTTACCAAGTTGCTGACCAGGGCACATTCCCTCCTGCAGTCACTCCCATCTTTGTGTTATACTTTATCTCAAGTTCAATTTTGCTTATTATTCACGACTCTCAAGTTGTCACTGCGGACATCAGAGGCCATAAACATATTGTTCTGGCTCTTTCCTGTAAATCTTTCTGAGTCATACCTGCTATTCTCCAAAGTCTGTGAATCCCAATACTAATAACTTGGCAATTCAGTTTAAGGTCCTCTTCAGAAGGTCAGTTAGCTCAAGGCAATCACATTCTTCCCAGGCCTCTTAAGAAATACTCCAACCCCAGAAAAGGCCCTTCTTTCTGGTATCAGGAGCCATGGGCCACAAACACAAATCCAATAGCATTTCAGCCATTTACCTCCCAGATCATCCCCTCCCTGAAGTTCTAACTACAGCAGGAAAAAATAATGAAAACACCACCTGCAGTCACAAATCCTCCAGTTTCCTGGCCAAGATGTCACATTCCCTTCAAGATACCTCCCAAAGAGGACATGACAAGGGAGGGGCACAGAGGGTGCTACAGGTACTGATAAGGTTCTATTTCTTTTTTATTTTTATTTTTTGAGATGGAGTTTCACTCTAGTCACCCAGGCTGTTGAGTGCAATGGTGCAATCTTGGCTCACTGCAACCTCTGCCTCCTAGGTTCAAGTGATTCTCCCACCTCAGCCTCCCAAGTAGCTGGGATTACAGGCACCTGCCACCACGCCTGGCTAATTTTTGTATTTTTAGTAGAGATGGGGTTTCACCATCTTGGCTGGGCTGGTCTCAAACTCCTGTCCTCAGGTGATCCACCTGCCTTGGCCTCCCAAGTGCTGGGATTACAGGCGTGAGCCACCATGCCCAGCCAAAGGTTCTATTTCTTTAAAGTTTGGTGTTGTGCATATGTTCATATGATTTAATGTTTTTTTTTAAAAATGGTATCTTCCTGTTTTTTGTGTGTGTGTGTTTTTTTTGTTGTAGGCCTGAGTGCTTCATTCGTTCACCCATATGAATCCGTAAAGAAGTAGCCATTAGCAACTTCAGCCTATACTGGATTCATACTTTAGGAAGACAACCCAGTTGACAACCACAACAGTTTCTATGATAACAAAATTGAGAGAAAATACTAACATTAGGGTCATTTCAAGAAAGTTCAATCATAAGATATATCCCCAAGGAAAAATATACACATGAAAAAGCTAAGTAAGCTTTTAGAAAACTACTACCATCCTTAGAGTAAGTACAACAAAGTATTCCTTTATGTCTTTGTTTTTTTCATCAAAATACTTCATATAGCCATAGATTTTAAGCCATTACATCTTGTCTAGATTCCATATTAGATCATTAACATTTTTTCTAGATTCCATTGTTATTCTTTTGTAACCTTTATTTTTGGTATCTTAAAAGTACTTTATTAAATATAACACATTCAGAAAAGTACACAAAAGATACCTTAAGGTAGACCTTAACAAGTTATTTTAAATTATTTGCCCATGTAACCACCAACCTGGTCCAGAAATATATTACAGCCAGTATCCAAGAAGCCCACAGATGTACCTTTCAGTTCACACCTCCCTACCTCCCACCTAGATGGACTCCTTACTCTACCCTGTGTCTAATCACCTCTTTTTTCTTGATAGTTTTACTGCCCAAGTATGAACCCATAAAGAAGTGTTTCTCAGTTTTCTTTTCATTTATGTTCTATGGCCGTTTGGAGGGCAGCAGACCAGTATAATAGGTCAGATTTTCTTTCACTCTAAGGACCAATTTTCACTCCACTGCAGGCGATATTGCCTCCGCTAAGAATGTATGCCCTAACCAACATTAGTTTTGCCTATTTTTGAACTCTATATAGAGGAAATTGTACAAAATAGGTTTTGGGGGTCTGGTCTCTTTTGCTTAACATAGTGTTCAAGATTCGCTCATCTTGTCCCACATGACTGTAAGCCATTTTATGAATACCACAATTCTCCATTTTATTGGAATGAACATTTGGGTTATTTTCTGTTTGGGGCTATTATAAACGATGCTGCTCTGAACATTCCTGTGTCTCCTGGCACCTATGTACTCATTTCTTGTGGAGTATATATCCACGAGATTCCTGAACCATAGGGTGTGAGTATCTTCCACTTTCCCAAACCGTTTTCCAAAACACTTGTACAAATACACACCCCCATTAGAAGGATATAGAGTCTCATAACCATTTTCTTACCTTGAAAGATAAGCAAAATGTCTCCTATCGCTTCTTTTTAAGATCTAAAGATCACTGTGCAAAGGACTATCAGGGTCAACCTTGAGAATTCCAAAACAAAAAACAATTCAAACAAAAAGATTATTATTATTATTATTATTTTAACTAACTCAAAAATGAACCAATCTGAAAGCTAAAATAGAGCACCTAGGATAAGTTCCAGAAAGAGGAGATCTTAAGCTGCTCTATATCCCCAGGAAAAATAGAGGCCACTATAGTTTCCAGCTCCTTTAGAATAAATGTCCCAAAGGGATCACAATACCCTAAATCTAATCTAATAAGGGGGTTCAGAGTTTGGAGTCATTCTAAAGGAAAACAGTCATATGTATATAATTTTCTCAAGAATTCAAACACAGTTTAATATGCTTTCCTAAACTTGTATTATTAGCCAAGGTGTTCAAGGAGAAAAATTTGCCATGGACGGAACCGTCAAAAGTTAAATCACTAAAAAATCGGTATTTTTCTACAACTGTCCTATATATACATATACAATATGTATCCCACCCTCCACTCCCCCTTGTTTTTGTTTTATGATACAGGGTGTCTCACTCTGTCACCCAGGCTGGAATATAATGGTGCAATCACAGCTCACTGCAGCCTTGACTTCCCCAAGCTCAAAAGATCTTCCTGCCTCAGCTTCCCACCACCTCTAGTAGCTAGGACAACAGGTGTACTCCACCTATATATTTTTAAAGTAATAACATAACTACCTCCACAATAAGAGTTGATTATGTTGCTTTCAAAACTGGGGGGAAAAATCACAAAAATCAACTTGGCAATCATTCTCTGTATAATGAAATGTATTACTCTTATTTACTTATCAAGCAATATTGCTCAAGCTTTTTGCCAGAAGATAAAAATCATGTAAATGTTCACTCTATCAGGAGGATGACCAAAAAAATTCCAACGGACCTATAAAAACAATTTCTTTAAATCCAAAAACAAGCAAACTCATCCTATCTTACCCCCTACATCTTTTGGAACTTGATTGCATTTGAGTTTCACAAAATAAAGCTAGTAAACATTTCCATTTCTGTCCAGCTTTAAGAAATGACATTTATAATCTGACAACAGAAAAGAACAAAAGAACAATAAGAGAAGGGATTTAGAGATCCTTACCTGTCTTATAACTCTGTGATCTGTATATGTCCCTGAGCCCTGTATATGTATAAGTCTATCTGAAGCTTGCAAGCTTGCACTGACCCAGACACTTCAGCCGGAAACACAAAAGCCGCTGTTTACCAGGGTCTACTGAGCCAACTAATTTAAAGATTTAAGGTATTTCAACCTGCTCTAAAAGATTACAGTAGCCAGGCACAGTGGTTCACACCTATAATCCCAGCACTTTGGGAGGCCGAGGCAGGTGGATCACTTGAGGCCAAGAGTTTGAAACCAGCCTGGTCATCAGCATGAAACCCCATCTCTGATTTAAAAAATACAAAAGTTGGCCGGGCATGGTTGCATGTGCCTGTAGTCCCAGCTACTCGGGAAGTTGAGGCAAGATAATCACTTGAACCTGGGAGGTGGAGGTAGTAGTGAGCTGAGATGGTGCCACTGAACTCTGGCCTGGGCCACAGAGCAAGACTCCATCTCAAAAGAAAAAAAAAAGAAAAAAGAGAAAGATTACAATAAAAATGGATCACCACTCAACAATTTAAGAAGTAAAAAAAAAAAAAAAAAAAAAAGACAATTAAATGAAGCGTTATGAAGTTTCAAGAGAATATAAAACTAGACACAAGTCTGGTTCATTTCCTTTTTCTTATCACCTAAAAAACTCTAGCCAACATGTTCAGATAACCATGGACTCCACGATAGCATAGAATTCAGTATGAGTCTATTCCAAACCCCAGCAATTTTTGAAAATACTCAAGGTGACACAATATTAAGTAAAATAGGCTTCCATTCATAAGACTACAAGCAAGAATATTACACAGATGGTCTAGTTCACACATTAAGACACTGAGAACCACGTGTGCCTACATGCAACTGGTTTCAGTTTTTCAGTGCAGGGACTTCTCTAAAGATGAAAACACATCCATATCTTATCCTAAGACTAAACAGAAATGGAACTACTTTTTGGTCATGTGAAACTAGAGGTTTTAAAGACTGCACTAGACTTTGAAGGGGGAAAAAAATCAAGTTTATAAAAATATTACCTCCTAGCTATGTAAACCTGAACTCATTTCATATCTATAAAATATGAAAAGTTTTTCATATCTCTAAAGTATAAACAGCACCTATTTCACACAGTGGCTATGATGACTAAATGAAAAGATCTTTATTAGTATAAAGTATTTAGTATAGTATCGGTCATGCAAAATTATAATTTTTACTTGTTTTGAAGATAACTCAAACTGGAATTGATCACAAGACACAGGAAGTACAGTAACATTAATTCAAATGCTACAATCTTAGTTTTTTAAATAATCAAGATATGGAGATTAACTAAATTTCTTTGCTGTATGAAAAATTACCAATTAAATTAATATACAAATAAGATTGAAGGAGGGAGAGTTATCTGATTTCAACATCTGGCATTTGCTTGCCTAACAATTCATTCCCTGTTTTGGAGAACCTGTGCCCAAGACAAAGTAACTGGTCCTCGGATGTTGTGGAGTTGGTAAATAGCTCTAATACAAGGCAGGAAGCAGTAACTGTTCAGACAATCATTTGATGTTTCCCTACTCTGTCTAAGCATTTTATGTATATACATGCATCATTTTAATTTATTTTTCATAGCAACCATCCAAAAGATATGTACTGTCTCTCCATATTTTAGGGTTGAGCAAAGTGAAACCATAAAAGGTGTGTCTGTCACCAAACTCAGTGTTCCTTTCCCATCCTGCCGCTTCACATAAAAGAGATGTTAAGTCAAAAGAGAAACATTACTTTTGGTTTGGTCAGAGCAGGATGGGTCAAAGTCAGCTTCATGAAGGAGAAATAATTTGAGTTGTGTTTTGTAGGAAAGAATGAACTTGAATTTACAGATGCCACAGAAAGAAGGTAAGCAGAGAACACAGCATAGACAAGCTGGAAAGGGGCATATACAGGGATCAGCAGGTGGTTCCAGGATGTGAAGAGCAGATGAACAGGGTAAAACGTGGCTATTCATAGATGAGAAAGATAACCTTCGGCAACAAAGCATATGAGCGTGGCTAGGCATGGTGGCTCATGTCTGTAATCCCAGCACTTGGGCAGGCCAAGGTAGCAGGACTGCTTGAACTCAGGTGTTCAAGACCAGCATGGTCAACACAGTGAGACCTCATCTTTACTAAAAATCAAAAAAATTAGCCTGGTGTGGTGGCACATGACTATAATCTGAGACACTTGGGAGGCTGAGGTAGGAGGACCACTGCAGCCTGGGAGATAAAGGCTACAGTGAACTATGATTGTGCTACTGCTCTCTAGCCCAGGCGACAGAGCAAGACCCTGTCTCAAAACCAATAAACACATGACTGAATCCGCCACTAAGGCAGGAATGGAGGAGGAGAGCAGCTGACATCGGCATGTTCATGAATTGCCTGGTATTAACTATAATTACTTAACCAAAAAGTCCAGATATTTATACACACTTACACATTTAAATGGCCTTGCCTTTCAGTCTTCCTAATTTTCTCTAATATTGCCCAATTTTCTTTTTCAGTTCCTTCATCCTCCAACTTCTTCTCACTAATAGGCTCTTCTTTCATCTCATAGTGATCTAAGTCTTCTATATCCTGCAAAAAGAAGAAAAATATTAGCCGATTCAACCCATTTTCCTTCAGCAGTTTCTTATGCCAAAACTTAAATTATTCTTGACTTGGTGGGGGACAGGAAACAGAATATATCTATCCTATGGGGAGAAAGAAAAAGCCCCCACATTCCATTCAAGAGGCTCCCACCTTTTATATCCTGTATTTTATTTAAAAGCTAGACTCTGGGGAAAGCAGATTTAAAAGCTTTACAAAGTCACAACTATTATGAAATAAGCCATCATTTATTTATTTACTTCTTTATTTATTTTATTTTATTTTTGTAAGATAGAGTCTCACTCTGTCACTCAGGCAGGAGTAGAGTGGCGCGATCTCTGCTCACTGCAACCTCTGCCTCCCAGGTTCAAGTGATTCTCATGCCTCAGTCTCCTGAGTAGCTGGGATTACAGACGTACACCACCACGCCCAGCTAATTTCTTTGTATTTTTAGTAGAGACAGGGTTTCAACATGTTGGCCAGGCTGGTCTCAAACTTATGACGTCAAGTGATCTGCCCACCTCAGCCTCCCAAAGTGCTGGGATTACCAGCGTGAGACACCACGCCTGGCCAAGCCATCTTTTAAATCTCCTAAGAGGAACCTTTGAAACAGTTTAGCAGCAGGTGTCAAGAACCTTAACTGTTCATAGTTTGTTCCAGAAACTCGACTTCTAGAATTGTATTACAAGAAACTAGTCTAAGAGGTAAACACAAATTTAGGCATAAGAATACCTATTTCAACCTTGCAACCACAAAAACAAACACAAAATCTGCATGTGCAAAAATAGCAAAACAGTTAACTCAATTCCATGAACTATTAAGCAGCCACTGAAATATCAACACGGCATAATTTCTCCTGTATCGAAAAACTTTGAAATGAAAAATGGATTACACAAAGGAATAGAGAGAATTTCAATTATGCTGAAATAAGCACAGAAAAAGACCAGAACAACTTACATTGAAATGTTAATTTCAATTAATTTTAGTTGTTATCTCTGGAGACATTTGGTGCTTTCCCCTGATTTCCAAGTTTATGGTTTTATGTAGTAAGCACCTATTGATGTTAATAACTTAAAAATAAGTTAGAAAAAGAATTTGATGTCAGGTGCTCAGGAGGCTGAAATAGAAGCACTGTTTGGTCCCAGGAGTTCGAGGCTGCAGTAAGCTATGATCATGCCACTGCACTCCACCCTGGGTGATAGTGACCCTATCTCAAATACTAATAATAATTTCAAAAGAATTTGAATAATACCCTGCAGAACAACATCTTTATTCACATCATTCTGCTCCCTCCCTTCCCATACTATCTGTTCTTACACATACGCAAATATATGCAGAATTGTTTAAATCCTAACTTTTTTCAATTACCTTATATTTCTACTTCAATTGCCAAAATCTCTAAAGGGGTAGTTTATATTTATCTCGACTTTTTTCCCAAGCCGCTTAATTCACCAATTTCTAGACCAGATTACTGACTACCTTCACTCAAACTCTGCCCATGTACTTCATGGAGCTCCCTTCTCCCTGTGTGCACCTTTCAGCCCTGATCTTCCACCCACACTTGTTTTCCCACAATGCTCACAAATGCCTTTGGCCTGTATTTCCACCTGTACCTTCAACCTCAGTCATGTTCCCATCCACAAAACTTCTCCACCTAAGTATTAATCAGCACATCCCAAACAGAATTCAACATATCTTTCTAAAACAATATTCTCAGCACACCATTCCCTGCTTAAGGCCTTCTTATCAACAAACATACCAAATAGAAACATGCCTGTCTCAAATTCAAGACTTCTGTCCATCTGTCTTTTCTGGACAATCTTGCTTTCCATGACTTCAACACATCAACCTTCCTTCTCAAAAGCATCCAATGCACCCAAACACACCATGTCCAAAGTTGCTCTGGGCCTGTTCCCACATTATTTTAGGAGCCTAGAATATCTGCTTTTCACCTGTCCTAATCTGACAACTCCAAAGTCCAGTCTCCTACCTTTCTAGATTTCCCTCAAAGTTGCGGTCCCTTGTTTATTATCTTGTCAAGGGAAAATGAAAGGGTTCATGAACTTTAGTACAATGGCTGCCTGACCCATGGAAAAGGTTTAATGTTTTCATGCAGTTTATTCCACCTAAGCTAAACTGCATAAAAACATTAAAACAGACTCTCATCCTAATTGGACAATTTTAAGAAGTATTTTACTCCCAGACTCATAAAACAAGCCTACAGCCAGGCACAGTGGCACACACCTGTAATCCCAGCACTTTGGGAGGCCGAGGTGGTGGATCACTTGAGGCCAGGAGTTCAAGACCAGCCTGGGCAACAGAGTGAGACTCAAACTCTACAAAAAAATAAAAAAAAATTAGCTGGACGTGGGGCACCGGCCTGTAGTCCCAGCTACTCAGGAGGATCGCTTGAACCCAGGAGTTCAAGGTTACAGTGAGCCATGCCGGCGCTACTGCACTCCAGCCTGGGTGACAGTGAAACCCTGTCTCAAAAAACAAACAAAAACAAGCCTACAACACTACCTTTTTAGTTCCGAAGCACTCTAAAGTACATTTTAGATTAATAATTTCCAAACCAAGAAAATGAAAGCCTAAATTAATTATAAGACCCCAAACAGAAAAAAATCTTTTAAAACAATCAACACCATGGAATTCACATACATTCTATTTGGTCAATGCAGAGACACAGATCTTTGTTCTGAAGTTCAAATTTAAGTGCAAAGCTTCAGAGCCTGAAAACATCTAAAATTATACCCATGACTGACAGCTGGCCTAGGCTCAATGTCTTTGGAATTTGCTCTACTAAATTTGCTACTGTTTGAATGTATTCCCTCCAAAATTCAAGTGTTGCCAATGTGATGATATTAAGAGGTAGGACTTTTAAGAGATGATTAGGCCAAGAGGGCTCCTTTCTCCTTCATGGGATTAAGGCCCTTATGAATGAGGCTTCACACATTGGACTAGCTTGCTCTCCTGCCCTTCTGCCTGCTACCATGTGAGGATGAAACAAGAAGGTCCTGAGACACCAAATGTTGATATTTTCATCTTGGATTTCCCAGACTCCAGAACTGTCAGAAAATAAATGACTGTTCTTCATAAATTACTCACTCTCTGTTATTCTGTTACAATACTATAAAACAGACTAAGACAAATTTCTTTGAATGATTTTTCAGCAAGAGACAGTTTCACTACTTCTGGCAAGTAGTCTCTAAAATATTCTGAAATTCTCCTTTTATGCAAACATAAAATTTTTTAAACTCAGTAGTTTCTCTTCCAAAAAATAACCAAATACAGGTTAAGTACTGATTAGTATTAAATATAATTTTAGTGCTAAAAGTTAAGAGCTTTTGTTTTCCAGAAAATCAAATCCAAGAATTCAGATAAAACAATTTGCCCGAAGGCATATCATGAGTTAGAGGTAAAGCCAGAATTTATAAATTACATTCCATTCCAAATACGACGTGCTTTCAATTATTCCATATTAATAGTTATTTATAAAGGAGATTAGAGAATTACTCAAATGTCCAAAACTGAAGATATTTTATGATTTTTTTTGGTTTTTTTTTTGAGACAAGAGTCTTGCTCGTCACTCAGGCAGGAGTGCAGTGGCACGATCTTGGCTCACTGCAACCTCCACCTCCTGGATTCAAGCAATTCTCCTGCCTCAGCCTCCGGAGTAGCTGAGATTACATGTGCCTACCACCATGCCCGGCTAATTTTTGTACTTTTAATAGAGACAGAGTTTCGCCATGTTGGCCAGGCTGGTCTCAAACTCCTGTCCTCAGGTGATCCACCCACCATGGCCTCCCATAGTGCTGGGGTTACAGGCATGAGTCACCTCGCCTGGCCATAATGTTATTCTTATATAAAATACCCACTTCATCCATCTCTTCCTCTTCGTCTTCTTTTGAAGTCACTTCTTCTGTTGTCCCATTCTGAAATAGAGAAAGAATCTGCCAGAACTACACAGAACAAATATGCACATTAGAAGATTGGTGTCACAGCTTTAGGGACAAACTCCCAACCATCTGTCACTGCAGTCCCACTACCAAAGAGCTTATTAAAATTAAAATATGCATTTTTAAATCCAACTTTGATTTGACAAACAACAGTTCTCAGCTTTTAAAAATGAAACAATTTTGAACAATTCAACTTAATGGATGCCTTAGGAATAAAGAAAAGCAATCAGTCAAATATAAAGCAAAACTGAAAAAAATTCTAAAACATAATCTAATTTAAAATAAGAAAACATTTTACTTGTACGGCTATGTGCATAAGATCAAAGGCTTATTTTGTTTAAAATAAATATTCCAAACTATCAGTTCCTCAAAACAGCTACCTTTTTAACTTTGAAAAGCCTGAATCATTACATAAATTCAATTTCCTTACATTTTAAGAGGTCAGATGTGTTACTTACAATAGACGCTCCCCAAAACTAAGAGTTATGAATTGATTACCACCTCACTATAAAGCAAATTGTCTTTTTAAAAACATGTAATTTACTATCGAATATCTCTCTACAAGACACAATTTACCAATTAACACAAATTACAATTATCAAGTTCAGAAATGAATCTAATGAATTTTTAGGAGGGGCTTTCGTACCCAGTTCGGGCAAAGGTCAAAAGACAAGCTTCCTGGCCAGGACACAGTATATATATGCAGCTTTAACCATAAAGGCCAGTTCAGATTAGAACTCAGAATATGTAAAAGATCTAGAAACTAGGATCCAGAAATCAAGACCAACAAAGGTCTCAGCAGTATCTAAGCAGAAGCTTCCAAAATGTAATTCACCCCTTCTTCATTTCCCTAAATTCTTATATTCCAAAGCCAATTATTCTGGGTATCTAAAGAATATATACCTAGCCTCAAAGTCCCAAAAAATTTGGTTGCATCAATGGTTGAAAGAGCATTTTTGAAATGCTAATTTCAAAGCCTACCCAAAGAATCTCTTTTGCAAAATCTCTCTGAGGTGATTCTCACATGCATCTGGGTCTGTCACCACTAGCCCAGTTACTAGCCTTCATTTTACACATGAGAAAGCTGAGCCCCTATCCCGTCAAAAAGGGGAAGTAATTTAATCAAAACAAAAAGTGAGTTAGGGCTGTGAAATCCTAAGATTAATTTCATTTCAAGATGTGACCTGGTCCTCTTTCTAAAACCCCACTGAAATGACAGAATTTTATAAAAGAGAGTAAGTCAGCTGCAGCAGCAGCAAAACAACAAATACAAAAAGAATACCCTTAGTGAACCAAAACTATAAGGACATGCTAGAAGATACAAAGCAGATGGAATCAGACTGCTGGGCGCGAGAAAGCCACAAACACAATCCAAATAATGGAGGGGCCACTTCTGTTTGAAGGATCATTCCTCACTGTACTTGTCCCAACTATAGTTGGTAAGGATCACTCTGGTAATAGGAAGCCTGTCTTGATGGTCTCTATCAGTGACAAAACCAGAGAGAAAAGACAGAATGTTTTTTTAATATAACTCAATGCAGCAGCAAAATCTTATAACAGACTCTGCCTCTTCCTTTTAGCTCAAAATCTGGAAAGCTCACTGGCCAGCACCTCCCCACCCTCATGCCACAGGAAGAGCACAGGTCTGCAAACCAGGAGGGGGAGGCCACAGCAGAAAAGAGTAACAATTCTGAAGACACTCATAACAACTCATACTGATCAAAGGTATACCTCATCTATAAATGAACAGATAACCATGTATTATCAGAGAGTTGAAGAAAATTAGCAACCTGAAAGGAAGGTGCCAAGTCAAAGAAGCACGAATGACCTGAAGCACTGCTAATGAAGGAAATAAGCAGAATTTTAAAACCTAATTGGAATCTTTAGCAGTAATTGAGAAGATACTGTATCCACAAAATACAAAACAGATTACTATGCAAAAGACAATTCTAGGAGGTAAAAATAAGACCTCTAAACCAAAAAAAACAAAACAAAACAACACACCAGTTGCAGAAGGGCCAGGACACAATGACGTGACTCAGCAAAACATTAAGGTGGCTCACATCTGTAATTCCAGCACTTTGAGAGATCAAGGCGGGTGGATCACGAGGTCAGCAGATCGAGACCATCCTGGCTAACATGGTGAAACCCTATCTCTACTAATAATACAAAATTTAGTTGGGCATGGTGGTACATGCCTGTAGTCCCAGCTACTCAGGAGGCTGAGGCGGGAGTATCATTTGAACCTGAGAGGTGGAGGTTGCAGTGATCCAAGATCGCACCACTGCACTCCAGCCTGGCTGACAGAGCGAGATTCTTGTCTCAAAAAAAAAAAAAGAAGTAAAACCCCCACACTTTACAGTTACACAGAAAATCATACTAACTATCAGAAAGAACTAAGAATCAGATAGGCATCAGACTTTTCATCTACAACAATAAATATCAGAACATAAAAGTATAAAGACCTGGAAAGAAACTCAATTATGACCTCAGAATTCTATATCTAGCTCCGTCAAGACAGGAAGCGTATCTGTGTATGTTTGCCTCTGGATTCTCCACACTGATATGGATGGAGTACTTTATACAGAGTCAAATATTTGTTGAACAAATGATAACAGACAGCAAGTTCATGGAACACACTCCATACACATCCCCACAAACCCTTTCTAGGAAAAAAAAAAAAACAAAAACCCAGGATATTATTCAGGGATATACTCGAGGGGCAGGGAGCAGGAGACATGATACAAGAAGTAGCAATAAGCAAAGGCAACAGTAACACCAATAGTGAAGTCTAAATGATTGCTGATAATCTCGCTGAAAGGTCACAGGCCATATTCTCTGACCACACTGATGCACTAAAAACACCTCAAAAGCCACCTGAAAATGCTTTTTTTTTCTAGATAACTCTTGGGTAAAAGAAGAAATTGATCCTCATGCCTCAGTCATCCAACTCCTAAGTATGTGCCCCAGAGAAATGCTGGCACAAGGATACCATGAAATACAGACAAGAATGACCACAGCAGCAATCACTGTTCCTAATAACACTGGAAACAACCCACATGTCTGTATCTAGTCAAGGGGATAAATGGTATGGTATATTCAAACAATGGAGTAAATACAGCAATGCAAAAGAACTATAACTACACACAATGGGAACAAATTTCACACACAATGTTGAGCACAACAAAGATATGAAAAAATACATATAGTATGATTTTCAAAAGTTCAAACAATAGGCAACACTACACCGTATTGTTGAAGGATGCATATATGAGTGATAACACTAGAGAAATATAAGGCAAGATGAGCGTACAGAGGCATGGTGATCAGGAAGCAGCCTGCAGAAGGTTTCTGTAGTGCAAGCAATGTGCCTTCTCTTCACCTTGGTGCTGGCTAGGTATTAGTTCCCAAGTACTCGCTCTAACTATATGTTACACTAAGCTTATGTTTTACATAATTTCAATACATGTCTTTTTTTTTTTTTTTTTTTTTTTGAGGTGGAATTTCACTCTTGTTGCCCAGGCTGGAGTGCAGTGGCGTGATCTCAGCTCACTGCAACCTCTGTCTCCTGGGTTCAAGCGATTCTCCTGCCTCAGCCTCCCAAGTAGCTGGGATTACAGGCATGCACCACCATGCCCAGCTAATTTTTGTACTTTTAGTAGAGACGGGCTCTCTCCATGTTGATCAGGCTGGTCTCGAACTCCCAATCTCAGGTCATTCACCTGCCTTGGCCTCCCAAAGTGCTGGGATTACAGGCATAAGCCACCATGCCGGGCAAATAAAAAGTTTTAATAGTAAGAGCAATGTGAACAGAGGATGCAATAAAATGACTTGGAAAATACAAACTATTTAGAAAATAGATTTTAAAACTTGTGCAATAAAGTCAAACAGCACCCAAAGAAAATGTATACCATTACAGGTTTGTTTAAAAAGCAGTTTAAATTACATTGATCCACTAAACTAGAAAAAGCAAAATAAACAAAAAGGGGAAATAATTAAGACACAAGGAAAATGTGAAAACAACCCACTAAATTTAAAAAATAAAACTAAGGGAGGATTCTTTCAAAAGACTAAGATAATAAAACAGTCACGCCTCTGATAAGTGATCAAGATAAAGAAAACTTTGAAGACAAAAGGGCATATAGCCACATGTGAATATGATGCAAAAAGTGAAAACTTTACACATCTTTACAACACCTTAGAAGTATGGGAGAAGTGTTCATTTCTTTTAAGAATCTACAGTTACGAAAACTAACTGAAGAAATGGAAAATCTGGAGACCAATACGCAGAAGAAGGAAAAAGACAGACTCATCCTCCAAATTGGACATTTATTTAAACCAGGGTTTGTCAGCCTCAGCAATATTGATATCTTGGGCCAGACAATTCTTTGTGAGGGTTCTCCTGGTGTGTTGTGGGACATTTAGTAACATCCCCTCTACCCACGGAATGCCAATAAGACCTCCCGACCGTGACCAGTTGTGACCACAAAAATGTCTCCAGATATTTCCAAATGTCCCATGGGAGGCAAAATATTCCTGCAGTTGAAAATTACTGTGTAAACTAGATCTACATCCTAGGTCTTAGAAAAAAGATGTAAAGCTTCCCGAGTTAGCCCTGCATACCCTTGATACTGAAATAAGAGCCTTAAAAGAAACAAACAAAACTATAATCTTATTTTATAAAGAAGTAAAAATGCAAAAATAAAATATTACCATAGCCATTCTAACAGTGTTTATTATAGGAATGCAAGGATGATTCAAAATTAGGAAAATTTCATCAGGTAATTCACAAATTATATTTCTCCATAGAATTGTAGGCACAATCAAGAAAAACAAGGTAGCTCTATATGCATTAAGTCCACGTGATATTCAGTGAAAAACACAAGTTGCAGATGTCTTACAGAAAAAAACTGAACACTGAACACATATTTCCACCATCTGCTCTTTGTCCTGAGGCTCCACTAGAAATACAGTGAAGAATAAACAATATATAAACAAACAATTACAAAAAAAAGAAATGGGGTTACCCACAGAAGAGAATTCACCTCCATTAGAAAATGACAGTAAATGGAAAATGGTTAATTAATGGAGCAAGCAAACAAAAGTGGAGGTTGGGGGATACCAAAAACAAGGAAGCTAATTTGTCCCACAGCAACCTGGAAAGGTTCTAGACTCAGACACCAGGTACCCCCGAGAGTGGGACTGACAGGCAAGACTGAAAACAGAGATTAACCAAAAGCCTATATAGAGAACACCTTTTCCAGGCCCTGAAACACACTGCTCTCCTCCATCTCCTTAAGCAGAACCCAAGCAAACATATCTACCTCAGACAAGAGAATGTAGATTTCACCTCCAGAGGAATGGAGTAGTTCCAGCCATCATTTATGATTGCACTGGGAGATAAGATAGAGGGGTAGAGGATAACAATTAGGAATCAGCATACATTCCCCCCTAAAAGCTATCAGTTGCCAAGTCTTCGCCATGCAGAACTCCCAATCAATTCTTTATTTTTTTATTTGTATTTATTTTATTTATTTATTTATTTATTTGAGAAAGGATCTTGCTCTTTCACCCAGGCTGGAATGCAGGAATGCAGCAGCATGATCACAACTCACTTTAGCCTCAACATCCTGGGCTCAAGCGATCCTCCTGCCTCAGCCTCCCAAGTAGCTGGGACTACAGGTGGGTGTCACCACACCTGGCTTTTTTTTTTTTAATTTATTTTTTGTAAAGATGGGGTCTCATAATATTGCCCAAACTACTCTTGAGCTCCTGGGCTCAAGTGATCCTCCCACGTCAATCTCCGAAAGCACTGAGATTGTAGGTGTGAGCCACCACACCCAGCCTCCCAGTCTTTCAGTACCTCTCTCAAATATGAATGAACAAAAAAGGGAATTTAAAAAAAAAAAAGAATACAGGCCAGGCACAGTGGCTCACGCCTTTAATCCCAGCACTTTGGGAGGCCGAGGTGGGTGGATCACCTGAGGTCAGGAATTCGAAACCAGCCTGACCAACATGGAGAAACCCCTTCTGTACTAAAAATACAAAAATTAGCCAGGTGTGGTGGCACATGCCTGTAATCCCAGCTACTCAGGAGGCTGAGGCAGGAGAATCGCTTGACCCCAGGAGGCAAAGGTTGCGGTGAGCCAAGATCACGCCATCGCACTCCATCCTGGGCAACAAGAGCGAAACTCCGTCTCAAAAAAAAAAAAAAAGACTACAAATGATAAGCAACATAGAATAGATATTTAAGGAAAGGTTTTAAAAAGAAAAATAAGACCAAAATAAACTAAGAAAAAAATTTATTAAAGAACAAAGAGATGCTAGGGAGAAGACAAAAGAGCATCAAAATCACTTCATAAGGACACTTGTGAATATATTACATGAATAAAACAAAATTAGAATATGAATATGGAATAATCAGAGAAGAAAAAGTTCTTAGAACTCAGGGTTCATCTTGGGAGTTGGTCCCCAATGAGCCTAACCTCCTGTTATCATGTCCCTGGACAGGCCCATCCCACAGTGAATCTGGGTTGGCCTCAAGACTCACTTTAACCTATAGAATTTGGTAGAAATGACACTGGACCTGTTCCAGGTCTAAGCCTTAAGAACACCTGGCAGCTCCACTTCTGTGCTTCTAGTAGCCAAAATAAGTACTGACTATCCTCTTGGAGAAAGAGAAACCACACAAAGAGGCCTGAGAGGATGAGACGCTATGCAGAGGAGAAGGCCACAAGAAGAAACACCAAGGCAGCAGACCTGTGGGTGAAGCAGCCGTCTCAGACATTCCACTGCAGCTGAGCATCCAGATGACCAGTCTCTGACACCGTCTAACCGCACAGTGAGAGATGCCAAATGAGACCAGCAGAAAAACTGTCCAGCTACCCCCAGTTAGCCCATACAGTAGTGACAGATAGACAAATGTGTAGTTTTATGCCATTAAGTTTTGGGAAAATTGGTTAAGCAACAATAAATAACCAAAACAAAACTTAAAGTTATGACTGTCCAAATAAAATTTCCTAAAAGTCAAAAAATAAGAAAAATATTCCAGAACTTAAAATTTAAAAAAAATTAGAAATGACGTGAGATACAAGACTCAAACAAGAGGACTAAAATCCAATTAACAGACACTTCAAAATGAACAAATAAAATGGAAAGGAGAAAGTTAACAAAAATATGACAAGATTCAAGATTCCAACTTTGAAAGAGACGATCCATAGGCCTATCCATTTGGTGTACCCAGCACAGTGAATGAAAAAAGACACACACTAAGTACAATGTTGTGCTATTTCAGCTCACCAAGGAAAAGACAAACTCCTAAAAGCTTCCAGAGAGAAAGTCATGCATGAATGAGTGAAACTCAGGGTGACATGAGGCCTCACCACCATGACTGGTTAGAAGACAACAGCACAGACTTTGAAATTCTAAGGTAAAATTATCCTCAACCTAGAAATACATAATCAACCAAACTATCAATCAAGTGTGAGGGTAGACTATGACAAAAGTGAATAGTGATGGGGATGGGCTAAGCACCAGGCACTGTTCTAAATGGTTTACATGTACCAACTCATTTAATCCTCACAGCTCCCTAGAAACATAGGTACTAATACTATTACTGGTTCCCCCATTTTGCAAATGGAAATTGATGCATAGAGCAATTAGGGAATCTGCCCAAGGGCATACAGCTAATAAGTAGTAGAACCAAGATTCAAACCTATCTCAGACTGGCTCCAAAACCCAAACACTGGATTGTATTTTTTCAGAAGCTAGAGATCAGAAAATATACCACTCCATGCTTTCTTAGGGTTTTACTTGAGGACATAGTCAGGTAAAATGACAAAGGGAAAGCCAAAGAAGATGACATGGGATCCAGGAAACAATGGATGTACTCTAGGCGAGCAGATGAGAAAAACCTCAAGATGACATGTGCACAGCCAACCCGAAGAACAACCTGCCAAAATGGGCACAGAGGAGCCAAAGGCTTTGGAAGAGAAGGAGATCTCACAGAAAGGGCTACAACAGAATTTTTTAAATTAAAAATTACTGTTATGAGGAAGACACTGCAAAACAAAAAGCAACACCAAGGAAAGAAATATCCTATCCTAAATATTCTACAAAACTTGGCTTTACAAAGTCCTAATGATAATTAGTGATTACTTATATGACTAAAGAGGAAGGGAAAGTGGGTGGTATAAGAGCTAAATTCTCACATATTATACTAAAAAGTCAATAGCTGATGCCTAAATAGGTAAATCCAGGAAGAAGTTAGGGGTAGTGGTGAGCTAGTGGAGATTTCTGTTGCTTGCAGGAGATAACATTTGGGCAAGTCCTTAAGAAGCACAGACAGACTTAAGGAGACGGCATTTCTAGGTAAAGGCAAGTCAATGAGCAAAGACAAGCAATGAAAAAAGCAAGAACATTTATGGACACCAGGAATATTCACAACAAAAAGCTGCTGTTAGGGAAAAGGGCAATTGTTTGCCTGCCATACTAAATACCAGCAGCTCCAAAGAATGAAAAGGTTATTTTTAGTATCTAAAACAGAACAAACAATTTAACAGGTACAGAAAAACTAACTTCTAAATAAGTTGAATAATTTTTAAAAAATCATCCTAGTTTGACTTTTGTTTGAGACAATTTATTTTAGCTCTTGAACACTAGAGAATTTTTACTTTAGCTGACCCATGGGTAGTGGTTGATCTGGCATCTCAACATCCAGGTGCTTAGGAAGGTTATATAACCTGCAGAGTCCACATATCAACCACTTCAATTGCTGATGAAGCTACAAAACACATTTCAGTAAATAAGCATTATGTTAAAGAGCCCTTAGAAGACAGCAATAATGTTATGACTACTGCAATCAATCTAGTAGGAAATAAAAAAGTTTGTAACTGCTCAACTGCAGCTTACAGATTTTTAAAAAAACTCTTTGAAATATTTTCAGGAGCCTCTAGTTTAAGAAAGTTACTATGGCTTGGGCTATAATCACTACAACTGATACCTAATGGAACAACAAGAATAAAGGCAGAGGAAGGAAGTTCCAGACATTGTCCAATTTCGCACTGCTACCTTGTTTTCTTAGAAACTTACAACTTCAAACAAGAGAACATTACTGCATTAATGAGGCCACCCAAAAAAAAAAAAGAAAAAAAACCACACACAGGCAGTGTTGTTACACATGGATTATAAAATTATATATTCCAGTCATAGTTAAAAGTACAAAAGCAAATGTGATCCAGCAGACAGAGCCTGGAAATCTAGATGACCTTGGATATCATATCTAATTCCTTGAGTTTGAGTCTACTCATCTGTAAAACAAAGAAATGAAAACTTTCCCAGAATAGTAAAGATTAAATGAAACCTGTGAAACACTTGATACTTAGTAGGCTCTTAAGTGTCTGTCTAAAAAATAATCATTCACTAGGAAACTGCAAAGAATAACTGTAAATTTCCCTGTTTACGTCCAAATTGTGTTGTAAGCATGTTTAAGGAAATAAACAAGGTAAACTATGTGCACAAATGTGGTTTTCATTGTTTAAAATGTTTTTTAATGTATAAGGTGACTCAAATGGGATCTAATAAGGCAACTCACTTCACTTGGTCAGGAACAATTTTCTGGGTGTCTCTGACCAAGAAAAGAGATGAAGAGAAAGAAGCAGGTTTACAAAGGACAAAGTAAGAAGACACAGGATTAGAATGGGTTAACGAAGCAAAGAATAAGCCTTCCCAAAGTGAACAATGAAGCAAGTGGAAACAGGAAGGTTGAACCGTAAATTAGGATACACCAAAAATCCTCATGCTTAAAAGGAAGCCAAGGCCTAGTGTGGATTCATTATGCACCCAATGTGCTCTGTTTTGTGCTAAGTATATAATGAAGATGAGGCAGGGTGATCTGGACACAGACCTGGACACTCTGACCTCTGGCACAGAAGGGGCTACAGGAGTGCTGGGGTGAAACAGGAATTAAAAGAAATTAAAGAATGTGAAACTACCATCAGAGTGAACAGGCAACCTACAGAATGGGAGAAAATTTTTGCAATCTACCCCTCTGACAAAAGGCTAATATCCAGAATCTACAAAGAACTTAAAACAAATTTACAAGAAAAAAATCAAGCAACCCCATCAACAAGTGGGTGAAGGATATGAACAGACACTTCTCAAAAGAAGACATTTATGCAGCCAACAGACACATGAAAAAACACTCATCATCACTGGCCATCAGAGAAATGCAAATCAAAACTACAATGAGACACCATCTCAGACCAGTTAGAATGGCAACCATTAAAAAGTCAGGAAACAACAGGTGCTGGAGAGGATGTGGAGAAATAGGAACACTTTTACACTGTTGGTGGGGCTGTAAACTAGTTCAGCCATCGTGGAAGACAGTGTGGTGATTCCTCGAGGATCTAGAACTAGAAATACCGTTTGACCCAGCCATCCCATTACTGGGTATATACCCAAAGGATTATAAATCATGCTGCTATAAACACATATGCACACGTATGTTTATCGCGGCACCATTCACAAAAGCAAAGACTTGGAACCAACCCAAATGTCCATCAATGATAGACTGGATTAAGAAAATGTGGCACATATACACCATGGAATACCATGCAGCCATAAGGATGAATTCATGTCCTTTGTAGGGACATGGGTGAAGCTGGAAACCATCATTCTGAGCAAACTATCTCAAGGACAGAAAACCAAACACTGCATGTTCTCACTCATAGGTCAGAATTGAACAATGAAAACACTTGGACACAGGATGGGGAACATCACACACGGGGACCTGTTGTGGGGTGGGGGGGAGGGGGGAGGTATACCTAATGTAAATGATGAGTTAATGGGTGCAGGACACCAACATGGCACATGTATACATATGTAACAAACCTGAACGTTATGCAAATGTACCCTAGAACTTAAAGTATAATAATAATAATAAAAAGAATGTGTAAGCAAAAACTCAGTTATAAAAAAAAAAAAAACCCAATTCCCCCTAAGAAAGAAAAAGAGGTGGAGTCCTTTAAAAATTAACTGTCTGTTTTTCTGAGGCTAGTGAACCTTATCTCTCCTCGTCTCCCAGGCATTGTGAAGACCCTGATTCTCTAGCTGTGCAGCTGCAAGGTCACTAGACAGATAAACTCAGTCGAAAAACAGGTTTTTCCTTGAAAAGTAAGAAATAATGTAATGCATGTCTCAACTGAATAACTGTCTTTGTTTCTTGCTTCTGTAATATGCCTCCCCCTGCACAGATCTCCCCCGACCCGATAAAATGTTTAAAAGGTAACCTGACTCTTTGTTCAGGGCTCAGTCCTTTAGATGTTAAATTTGACTGGGCCGGTGCACCTAAATAATAATAATATATATCCTCCTCAACCCTTCAGTCTCTCTGATTCCTAAATTATCCCGCTGCAGGGGGAGAGAGGGAGCAGGGTAGTGGAGTCATACCAAGCAACAAGAAAGACAGGGTAGTGGCCAGGAGTTCGAGACCAGCCTGGTGAACATGATGAAACCTCATCTCTACTAAAAATACAAAAATTAGCTGGGCATGGTGGCAGGTGCCTGTAATCCCAGCTACTCAGGAGGTTGAGGCAGGAGAATCACTTGAACCCAGGAGATGGAGGTTGCAGTGAGCCGAGATTGTGCCATTGTACTCCAGCCTGGGCGACAAGAGCGAGACTTCATTGAAAGAAAGAAAGAGAGAGAGAGAGAAAGAGAGAAAGAAAGAAAGGAAGAAAGACAGGGTAGTACATTTTCCACGAATTTCAATTTTACTCTCTTCCCCCACCACACACACACAAAAAGCATTTGAGGGATGGGAAGAAGAAACTGAGATCACAGGGAAAATAGTAAGAGACATTTAGAAGGACAGGTCTTAGAAACGTACTTTGGGGGGGAGGTCAGAGAACAGTAGCATATAAAAGAACGCTAAGACAGTTCCCAGGTTGAGGCATGGGTGACTAGTTTGATTATTTCATTTTGTCCCACTCACAATGACAAGGAGAATTACTGATGGGACACATGATGGGGCTGATAGAGTGCTAGGAGGTGAATACATGAAAATTTAAATACCATCATTTTGAACACCCATGTCACTCCAAGTGAGATTCCCTAACATATATGATATACAGACAGATATATGGGTTTGAAACTCCGGAGATGAATACAAATTTAGGAGTCCCTGGAACACAGGTCATGACTTAAGTAATGGGAGTCAAAGATTACTCAGAGAAAGCACAGAATGAGAAGAGAAGAAAGAAGTAGGACAAGGAAGAAGAGATCGGAGGAGACCAAGGCAGGGTGATAAGATCAAAACAGGAGAAAACAATCTGATAAAAGTCCCATTCGACTATCATGTCCCTTCCCAGAGGACAGGGACATGCCTTTTTTGTCTTTTATACCCAACTATCACAGGTCCTGGCACAGAAGCCACACAGTCTTTTTTAATTGTGTTCTACTACTCACAATTTCCTGTATCCACCAGGGGAGAAAAAAGTAAGTATAAACTAGCACAGACATAGATTTTTTTACACTGTATACTAAAGAGGTCAGATTATACACAATATTTTATGCCTTACTTTTTTACTTAATACATCTTAGAAGTTTGCACATGCTTTTATGGAAAGACTGGCTGCATTTTTTTTGGTCTATAACAGAATATTCTATTATAAAACTGTACACTATAATTTTTATTTAACCAACTCTTTGCTGGTGGACATTAAGAACGGAGGAATGTTTCAACAAAGGAACAATCAACATTAACAAAATACTGCAGAGGAGTCAATTTGTGGACTAAGAGGGGAGCCACTGGATTTGGAAACGAGGAGATAAATTTTAGCGCAAAGATGAAGGCAGAATCCAGATTATAATGAGTTCAGTGAAAAAAGGTGAAGACATGTAGCTTATTCTCTCAAGAAACTAGGCTATGATAAACTGGCAGAGGCTGTAAGAGTGGGAAGTGAGTTGTTTTCTCCTTCATGTAAATATATTTATTGTTTTAAACACTAGGCCCAATTTTATATCCTACTTCATTTAACTTTTGAACATGTTTATGTATGTATGTATTTCATGTAATGTTTTAGACACTGAAAAAAACCTCATTTCTGCTATTATAAAACTGTTATCTTTAGATATTCAGAAGCAACTTCCTAAAAGGAGGTAGCAGTAATGGAGCTATGTCTATCAGTCTTTCCCATCAACCCCCTTGCTGGAGATGTAAACATGTGTCCATCAAGCCTTTAATTTTCACCTCTTATCTTCATGGCTCTCCATACAAAACTTAACTCTTTTTTTGTATCTCTATATGTATATTTATATGTATATCTATATCTAGAGAGAGAGAGTCTTGCTATGTTGCCCAGGCTGATCTCAAACTCCTGGGCTCAAGCAATCCTCCCAACTTGGCCTTGAAAGTGCTGGGATTACAGGCGTGAACCACTGTGCCCAGCCTCAGCCTTAACTCTTAAAATATCTTCAAATCGATGTTCTTCTGTTCTAATTTTTAAGAATAGATGTGTTTAAACCAACTACAACTTATTTTGACAAAAATTGGAGTTAAGACTCAAACTTCCTCAAATGGCCAGTTCTCCTAAAACTATTTACAGAATAATCTGTCTTTTCACTACTAAGTTAAAGCACCACCTTTTCCTTACACTAAATTCTCATTTGCATGACTCTGGTTCTAAACTTTCATTGCCTTTATCTGTCTGGCCCAGGGCTAGTCCACAATATTTTATTTAATATCTGGTTGAAAGAGTCTATACTTTATTAATTTTTATTATTTACTCTTCTAAACAAATTTTAGAGTCATTTTGTCAAATGCCAAAAATAAATCTGCTGGAATTTCTACTGAAATTTGTATATATACATATATATACAAAATTTATATATAAATATATATATGAAATATAAAATGTGTATATATATACACCCTTTTTTTTCCTGTGTGTTTTTTTTTTTTTTTTTGAGACAGGGTCTTATTCTGTCACCTAGGCTGGAGTTCAGAGGCAGATCTCGGCTCACTGCAACCTCTGCCTCCCAGGCTCAAGTGATCCTCCCACCTCGGCCTCAGAAGTAGTTGGAACAAGTGTGTGCCACAGACACCCAGCTAATTGTCATCTACCCACTTCAGCTTCCCAAACTGTTCAGATTACAGGTATGAGCCACTGTGCCCAGCAGAAATTACATTTATAAATTAATATGAAGACATGGTGATAACATATTTATAACATGAAATCTGCTCATTCAGGAACATAGAATGCAAATCTTTCATTCCTCTCAGCAAAATTTTGTCATGTCCTTGATAAAAGCCCTGCACATCTAAGTTTATTCCTAGGTATTTAATTTTTGCTGAAATACCTGAAAAAATACTTCATCACTATATGTTCTATGTGATTATAGCTAACATTGGGGAAGGCTATTGATTTTTATATAAAAGAACTTTTAACCAGTAATCTTAAAAATTGTTTTTTTTCAGTTGGTTCCTTTGGATATTTTTAGGTAAACAATCATGTCAACTGAAAATAATGATTGTTATTTTTCTATAAAGACTATGACATCATGGGAAAATACAGTAAATACTTTTTAAAAGAATATAAAAGGGCTGGGCACAGTGGCTCACGCCTGTAATCCCAGCACTTTGGGAGGCCAAGGTGGGCAGATCACGCGGTCAGGAGATCCAGACCATCCTGGCTAACATGGTGAAACCCCATCTCTACTAAAAAATACAAAAAATTAGCCGGGAATGGTGGCGGGCGCCTGTAGTCCCAGCTACTGGGGAGGCTGAGGCAGGAGAATGGTGTGAACCCAGGAGGTGGAGCTTCCAGTGAGCTGAGATCACGCCACTGCATTCCAGCCTGGGCGACAAAGTGAGACTCCGCGTCAAAAAAAAAAAAAAAAAAGAATATAAACCTATGGAGAATACGACCTCAACTATTTAAACATATATGTAAGGGTTATGTATTTTACCAGCAAAGAAAAAACATATACTGGTAGAAAATGGCCATCATGTCAACTGTCAATAGTGGTTATATTAGGTAAAGAAATTATGGGAGACTTTAATTTTTTTCTTTTTTCTGTACTTTACTAATTTTCTCAACAATGGTTGCTTATGAGTTTTATAATTTAAAAAAAGGTTTTTAAAATTTTTTCAACATGGAAAGTTATATTTCTTTATATACTAAAACAACAACAAAACTTTCTATTTGAATACCTATGGCAAAACCCTGTATCTACAAAAAATACAAAAAATTAGCTAGGTGGAGTAGTACACACCTGTAGTCCCAGCTACTCTGGAGGCTGAGGTGGGAGGAGCACCTGAGTCCCCAGAGAATGAGGCTCCAGTGAGCCGTGATCATAGCACTGCATTCCAGCCTGGGAGACAGAGAAAGACCCCATCTCAAAAATAAAAAAAAATAAAAAATAAAAAATATCCATAAGGATCTAAAATGCCTATCTGTATGAGATTGTTCTTTGTTCACATTTTTTCAAGCAAATATCACACAATAAATTGAATGCAGGTGCAAATGACATATCAAACATCAACGAAATTTGCAAAAGGTGTAAGATTGTACTACTTTGGGTTTAGAAATTTTCTTTTCATAAAAGCATTCATAACAAAATTTGGTGAGCTTTTAAGGAATATTTTAAGTATTTCTGATTTAATTTTTAGTGATAAATACCAATAGATATAACCTATATACAGAAAAGCTCCTTGGGCCCTCAATATACTTTTAAGAGTGTAAAGGAATCCTGACCTCAAAACTTTGAGAACTGCTGCCTTCCCCTCCACTTTCTTCCTTCCCTAGAATTTCTTCCCTGGAAGAAACATTCCTTTGTCATTCTACGTTAACTTACATAGTTCCATTGAGGCCAGTTTTGCTACCTCCCTCCCATCTTTCCACATTCCTCTCTTGACACAAAACCTGACCAAAGGACTCTACCGGCCCACCTCATTTCCAGTGATTAGCTGTCAGGTGGGCTAAGCCAAGAAAATCTGGGTTTTCCCTGAGACTAGACCTCTCTTTCTGGAAGATACGGAATCACAAGGACAAGGTTGGCCACCTACGGGTAGTGAGAATTCATCTTGCCTAAATGGGAAGAGGTTAGGCAAGTTTCTAGAATGCCAGACTGCTTTCTAGAAAGTCAAAGATAATTATACTTTCTGCCACGACTGTGAAAATGCCCATTTCATTGCACGCTTTCTAACATTTATACCAATCTGATAAATAAAAGCTGGTACCTAGAAGAAAAAAAGGCTGGGTATGGTGGCTTATGCCTGTAATCCCAGTAGTTTGGGAGGCCAAGGTGAGTGGATCACCTGAGGTCAGGAGTTCGAGACAAGCCTGGCCAACATGATGAAACCCCATCTCTAGTAAAAAGACAAAAATTAGCCGGGCATGGTGGCAAGCACCTGTAATCCCAACTACTTGGGAGGCTGAGGCAAGAGAATCACTTGAACCTGGGAGGCAGAGATTGCAGTGAGCCAAGATCATGCCATTGCTCTCCAGCCTGGGCGACAAGGTGAGACTTTGTCTCAAAAAAAAAAAAAAAAAGTTTCCATACAATATAATTTGTTCCATCTCTAAAAACCAATTCAGCAATAACTGAAAGCCACCACTTGGAAGGTTTCAAGGATTTAGCTCTACCTGTTGATGTCCAAAGCATTAGTTAAGGTAGAAAAAAAATACACACACACACACACACACACACACACACACACTCTCTCTCTCTCTCTCTCTCTCTCTCTCTCTCTCTCACCCTTATGTAGTCAGTACCAGGAAACATGAAAGACTAGATGGTATAGTTATCCAACACAAAGCACACAATAACTGAAGGCACTGTAGAGGAATAACTTATGACACAGATCTACAATATTGTTGAGTGAAAATGCAGATTATAATAAAAAATCTGATTTTTTTAAGGGAGAGGGAACACATACAAGCAAAGGAGAAAAGAGATGAGCAGATGACTGAAAGATACAAAATTCTGATAGTGGTACATTCTGAGTGGTAGAATTATTGGTATTATTTTCTAGCTTTGCCTAAAAATTTTCTAAATTTCTTAAAATAAGAACTTTTTGTTATCCATATTATCAAATATCCATCACCCCAGGAAACTTAACCTTGAGCACAAACTCTACAACAAGTTCAATGTTTGTTCAGTTTAATATTTAAGAGACAACCTACTTTGAAAGACATCTAAAATGATGACCAATATTTAAACCTATGCATTAATATTTTTCAATCGTATGCTTTACATTTTGTAATTTTGATAAGGTTAAGCTTTATATCCATCTTGAAAAGGTAAGTTTTCTATTTGTCTTTAAAATATTACCTAGAATATGCCTGTTTTTAAACAGTGAATGATGCTCTAAAATCACAATATAAATTCAGGCAGTGTTCCTTACATGGAATGTTTAAGTACTTCTAACACTGCTCTTTTTCACTTGTTATGAAAACACAGAACAATTATCCAAGCATCTAATTATTCAGGTCCTTTGTTTCTCCTCCATTCTATTAGTTTTATAGTAATTTTAGGGCCTGTGAGGATGAAGTTGTCTGTGACAGCTACCACAAAGGTTACCATAAGTGGACAAATTTCCAACAAGTTTATCATCACTACCATCCCCATCATAAAACTGTCTCTATCAAGGGCAACACAATTCAAGGTTAGCCAAGACAACCTCTTTACCTGTCACTGCTTAAGAAAAGGATTTTTTGGTCTTATTTAGAAATAACTTTCTGTACCTACTTTTCTCCACAAATCCACTGAGACCAGTGTGTGGCTCTATCTCAAGCACCAGCAAGCAAAACTGCCTGCTAGAAGGTTCAGTTTTTGTATCTTTCCAAATGTAGAACACAGCTATCTTCAGGGATTTCATAATTTTTTGAAAATTGATGCACAAACTTCTTGAAAGTTCAGAGATACAGCAGCTGTAATTCTTCTGAAGGCTGGTTATGGGACGCGTTACCTTCACACTTTCCTGTTCAATAACTGTGGGGTGGAGAATCAAGTAAACTGACAGAATTTCCACATAAAATTCGAAGTGCTCTGACAACAAAAGAAACTTAAAATACACACACACACACACACACACACACACACACACACACACACACGGTTTTCCCTGCTAATCATTTTACAACTAAACAACCAAGTTGCTAACCCAGAGCCCACAAAAGCAGAGTCAAAGTTCTAACACTTGGTAAAAGAAAAATGCATACATACCCCTGTGAGCTAAAATAAAATGCTTAAGTATTCAAAGACAGACAGCAATTACAGCTACTGAGAACATCATTGTAAGCAAACTGAGGCAGAGAAAACGAACCTGCTGATGAGGATTTGAAACACCTAAGCTGCAGAAACCCACTGGATGGTTTCCTAGGTTCTGAGTTGGCATTATCTTTCAGCACGATCTTCTAGAAGAGATCACATAACACTGTTACAAAGGATCTGGAGAAAGGGACCCTGGCTTCATCACTCTGGCTCTCCAGTCATGCTTTACATTTGGCAGTGACTATCTCCATTCAACTCAATTCCCTAACCCTAAACTAGCTGACATTTATCAAATACTGCCCTTTACCAGGTCTAAGTAAGTTTAACTCCCCCGACTCCCACCAAAAAAAATCAAGATACTAAGGGATATACTATTCACAAAAGGGAAACCTGTCTCCTCTTCATATACCTGTTCCTTTCAAGGAAGGCTATAAAAATGGGGATGAGAGAGGATAACCACTAGGAATTTGACTCTATATTATAAATTCAGATAAATGAAAACAATAATTCCTCTGGACTCAAAGTGATATGGCTCTGATGACTGGAGAAACATCGGGGTCCTTTGTGTCACGTCAGTTAAACGATATGGACACACAGGAGTGGTTTTAAGGAACAGAAAGTTTAATAGGCAAGAAAGAAGAAAGGCTCCCTGCGGTACAGAAAAAGGGGGGCTCCGAACAGAGAAAAAGCCCCGTGTGTGGCAGAACAGTACTCGGTTATATTGGGAGGCTGGAGGAGGTGGTGTCTGATTTGCACAGGGACCAGGGTATTGGTTTGACCAGGCAGGTCATTCATGCAGCCCGAGAAAAACGTGGCCCTCCCACCCTAGCCTTTTAATATGCAAATGTAGGTCACCATGTTGTCCTGCACACGTGGGGTCATCTGGAGGTGTCACCTTGAGGTGGTGACTAGAAGAAGAGGGTGGGAATCTCCATGTTGAATGGACACAGTTTCTAAGCGCTGGTATTTGCATATCAAAGCTTGGCAGCCTGTAGTCCCAGCTACTCAGGAGGCTGAGGCAGGAGATTCACTTGAACCTGGGAGGCAGAGGCTGCAGTGAGCTGAGATCGCACCACTGCACTTCAGCCTGGGCGACAGAGCGAGACTCCGTCTCCAAAAAAAAGATAAAAAGAAAAGAAAAAGAAATGTTTCTGGAGTTGTTTCTATTAAAAGGGAAAGCCTTACTGAGGCCTCCTTACCCTCTCTATCTGCCTAATATAATTTCTGAATAACTCCTCTATTAAAAGTACCACTTAGGTGCTTAATATGACAGTTCTGATATTTCCCAACGCTCCTCCACAAATTCAATTTGGAACGGTAATCTGTCCCAGGAGGGCAAACCAAAGAAAAAGTCCTAGGCTCCTGAATCAAGGTTTGTTTCTTTCCTTTGTACAAGTTGACAATAACATTCCTCCTGATAGTCCCCTACGGCTTATGCTAAAATATTGGAAAGAGAATGAAAGGACTCAATACAAGAAAAAGCAGCAAATGATAAAATATTGTTGTTTCATTTGGACTCAGGAATCAATCCTGAAAAGCAAGTCAGAAATTAACTCCTCTGAGAAAGATAAGGTCCCTGTTCCTAGACAGCTCACCAACACATGGAACCTCCTCCACCACCTTCCTCCGTCCAATACCCCTAAACCTAACCTCCCTCCCCCTCAAGCAGAGGCAGTTGTCCCAGACCCTTTTCCTACCCACATTGTTCCCCCTCTGTATAACCCTGCCTCCTGGGAATCGTCCCAAGAGCCTGCTCACTACCACCCTAAGTACTCTTCCCTGAAAGGATTTCAATGTGAGATAGAGCAATGTAAAAGGGATATTCAGAACTTCCCCTTCCCCTCTACCTCGGGAGAATTAGCTCCACCTCTCTTCCCCTTAAGACAGGTGTCCCTAGGAGGAGGAAGTATTCGCTTTGTAAATGCTCCTTTAACCAGCTGGGAGGTCCAAAACCTAAAAACAGAGTTCAAGCCGCACTATTAGACAACTCCTGTGGAACAGCAGATCAAATTAACCAATTTCTAGGACCACAGTTATATATACTTGGGCTGAGTTAATGTCCATCCTAGGCATCCTTTTCTCAGGGGAAGAAAGAAGCATGATCTGTAGAGCTGCTATGGTAGCCTGGGAACATGAACACCCTCCTGGCCAAAACACATTCATGCAGCAGATCAAAAATTCCCCAACCAAGACCCCCGGTGGGACAATAATAACACAGCCCACTGAAGAGGATATGCAGGAACTTAGGGAAATGATAATAAAAGGGATTCAGGAGTCAGTACTCCGAACCCAAAATCTTACTCGAGCATTCGACATACAACAAAGGAAAGATGAAGGGCCTATCAAACTTTTAGACAGCTTGAAAGAACAAATGAGAAAATATGCTGTTCTAGATTTAGAAGATCCTCTTAGGCAGTGAATGTTAAAGCTTCATTTTGTTACTAACAGCCAGATATCACAAGGAAATTACAAAAGATAGAAAATTGGAACGACCGTCCCATGAATGAACTTCTTAGAGAAGCTCAAAAAGTGTGTGTAAGGAGGGATGAGGAGAAGCAAAAAGAAAAAATGAAAACTATGTTATCCACCTTCCAACAGGGGGCCCCAAAGGATAAAACACACCAGTATTACTCTCTGTTACCCGGAGACCCACACACTCCCAAACAAAGCCTCCCGAGAGCCAAAACCTATAAAGATCCTAGGCCCCCACTTCCTAAGCCATATAAAGAACGTAAGGAGGCAAAGCCGAGAAACCCAAAAATAAATGAGACAGAATCAATGCTTCAATTGTGAGAAAGTAGGCCACTTCAAGAGGTATTGTCCCGAATTAAAATCAGAAAGAGAAGTCGTCCCACTTACGACCTTTGAGGAGGAATAGGGGGTTAGGGGCTCTCTCTCTTTTACCTTGAATCCCACCCACCAAGAGCCCTTGATAAATTTACAAGTGGGACCCAAATCTGAGCTTACGACCTTTTTAGTAGACTCAGGAGCAGCCTGCTCCTGTTTGTTACCTTCCCCACAGTATAACCTGGTCCTCAGAGGAGCTTGTAGTCTCAGGGGTAAAAGGAGAGGGAATCAAACTAAAAATTTTAGAAGAAACAGAAATTAGATGTAAAAACTGCTCAGCTAATGTTGAATTTTTGTTAATTCCAGGAACTAATCTATTAGGAAGAGACTTAATGTTAAAATTAGGTATAGGTTTACGTATTGGCTCAGAAGGATTCTACACTTCATTAAACCTGCTCACCACTGCAGAAGAAAACATACATTCATCCTGATGTTTGGGCAAGGGAAGGAAATTGGGGAAAACTCCAAATGCCCCCTATACATATAAAGTTAAAAACCCATGGAGAAATAGTAAGAAGAAAGCAATACCCTATTCCTTTAGAAGGCAGAATAAGCCTGAAACCTATAATTGAAAGCCTCATCAAGGATGGGCTCCTTGAACCCTCTATGTCTCCTTATAACACCCCAATACTGCCTGTGAAGAAACCAGATAGGTCATATTGACTAGCGTAAGACCTCTGGGCCATCAACCAGACAGTCTAGACTACCCATCCTGTTGTCCCTAATCCTTAAACCATTCTCAGTAAAATTCCATACGAACATCAATGGTTTACAGTAATAGGTTTAAAAGATGCCTTTTGAGCATGTTCCTTGGATGAGGACAGCTGAGACATTTTTGCTTTTGAATGGGAAGATCCCCACTATGGATGACAGCAACAGTATCGATAGACAGTTCTACCCCAAGGCTTCACAGATTCCCCTAATCTCTTTGGTCAAATTCTAGAACAAGTGTTAGAACAAGTTTATACCCCAAAATGTATATGTCTGCTCCAGTACGTAGATGACTTATTAATATCCGGTTAAGCTATAGAAAAGGTATCTGCTCTCTCCATCCATATCCTTAACCATTTGTAAGGAGAGGGACTATGGGTTTCAAAGAGAAAGCTTCAATTCATAGAGCCTGAAGTTAAATACCTAGGACACTTTATAAGTAACGGCAAACGAAGGATAGGGCCTGAGAGGGTTGAAGGGATTGTATCCATACCTTTGCCTAAGACTAAACAAGAACTCAGAAAATTCCTAGGGATAGCCGGATATTGCCACTTATAGACTGACTAATATGCCCTAGTCACAAAGCCTCTCTACCTAAAACTCACCCAAGAAAAGCCTAACCCTCTCCTGTGGACTTCTGAAGAACTCCACCAGGTTGAGGAGCTAAAACATCTGCTTATAACTGCCTCTGTTTTAGCTTTGCCTTCCCTAGAAAAGCCATTTCACCTTTCTGTTAACATAAATAAGGGGGTAGCTTTAGGTGTCCTTACCCAAGAACACAGAGGTCACCAGCAACCCATGGATCTCCTATCAAAAGTTTTAGATCCAGTAACCTGTGGATGGCCTGAATGTTTCAATCCATTGCAGCTATCACCTTGTTAACTAAAGAAAGCAGAAAACTAACCTTTGGGGGAAAGTTAGCTGTAAGCATGCCCCAACAGGTTAGAACCATCTTAAATTAAAAGCCAAGAAGGTGGCTTACTGACTTGAGAATTTTAAAGTATGAAGCTATCCTGTTAGAAAGAGATGATTTAACACTAATGATAATTCACTTAACCCAGAGGTTTCCTGACTGGAGATCCAAATCTAAAGAGACCTGAGCATAAGTGTTTAGATTTAATTATCATACAAAAGTTAGGCCTGATTTAAGAGAGACCCTTTACAAAACGGGGCAGGACTTATAGATGGCTCTTCCCAAGTAATTGAAGGAAAAAGGCATAATAGGTACTCAGTCGTAGATGGGGAGGCACTTGAAGAAGCAGAGTCCAGAAGACTGCCAAATAATTGGTCTGCCCAAACATGTGAATTGTTTGCATTAAATCAAGCCTTAAAGCACTTGCAAAACCAAGAAGGGACTATTTATACTAATTCCAAGTACGCCTTTGGGGTAGCTCACACCTTTGGAAAAATTTGGACTGAACGAGGTCTTATTAATAGCAAAGGCCAAGACCTGGGCCACGAAGAATTAATCATCCAAGAATTAGATAACCTGCAGCTGCCAGAATAGCTATTGTCCATGTTCCAGGACATCAGAAAGGTCTTTCTTTTCAAAGCGGAAGGAATAACCTAGCAGATCAAATAGCCAAACACACTGCCGTTTCCTCTGAAAATGCCTGTTTTTCACTTAGCCCCTTGCCTTCCTCCCTCGACTGCAGTCCCCATCTTTTCTCCCGCTGAAAAGGAAAAATTAACAAAAATAGGAGCCAAAGAAAATTCAGAAGGGAAATGGGTGTCACCAGACCAAAGAGAAATGTTATCCAAACCCCTCATGAGGGAAATTCTCTCTCATCTGCATCACGGGACTCATTAGGGACCTCAAGCTACGTGTGATGCAGTCCTCGGGGTCTACAGATATATAGGAATTTATATTTTGGCAAGACAAGTTACAGATAGTTGCCTAGTATGTAAGAAGACTAATAAGCAGATCCTCAGAAAACCACCTGTTGGAGGGAGAAATCCAGGATTAAGGCTGTTCCAAAGTGTCCAAATTGATTACACCGAAATGCCCCCAATTGGTCACTTAAAATATTTATTAGTGATAGATCACCTTACTCATTGGGTATAAACTATTCCCTTTTCAAGTGCAACTGCTAGTAATGTACTCAAGGCATTAGTTGAAAATATTATACCCAGGTTTGGATTAATAGAAAATGTTGATTCAGACAATGGGACTCATTTCACTGCACATGTTCTTAAGAAACTAGCCCAAGTACTAGATATAACATGGGACTACCATAACCCCTGGCACCCACCTTCATCAGGAAGAGTAGAAAGAATGAATCAGACTCTGAAAAACCACCTAACCAAATTAGTCCTAGAGACTCGGTTGCCATGGACTAAATGCCTCCCCATGGCCTTGTGAAGATTCCAAACTGCCCCTAGGAAAGATGTCGGCTGACCTCCTTATGAAATGCTCTATGAGTTGCCTTATCTACACTCCACTGCTGACATTCCTCGTTCGAAACAAAAGATCTGTTTCTCAAGAACTATATACTTGGTCTATCCTCCACTTTCTCTTTCCTTAGGACTAAAGGCCTCTTGGCACATACACCACCCCTTGAATTTCCAGTTCACCACCACCAGCCCGGACAGTGACCACATTCTCATCAAAGGTTAGAAAGAAGGGAAGCTCAAGCCCACCTGGGAGGGACCTTATCCTTATCCAGTGTTTCTAATGACTGAGACAGTCTTCCACACCACCAAAAAAGAATGGACTCACCATACCTGAGTCAAAAGAGCACCACCCACTCCAGAATCATGGACAGCTATTTCAGGGCCAACTCCAACCAAGTTAAAGCTAAAACGGGCTTGATCCTCTTATGCTGTATTTCTTTTCCCCTTCTATTGCTAGTCCTCTCGTTATTAATGTAACTAGGTCGAGCTCACCCCAAACTATTACCTTTGATGCTTGCCTTGTTATACCCTGTGGAGATCTCCAAAGTCAAAAGCAACTCTCAGCCTCAGAGAAGTATCTCTGCCCCTTTCAGACAAAAGACTCCCCCGTTACGACTCTTGTTCCTTAAGAAATTTAGGGAAACAGGCCTGCCATAGCTGGAATGATATTATGTGGACAACTGAACATCAGGGCTGGACCTTGTCAACAGTAAGTCCCTAAAACCATGTTTGCTTTGTTAAAGGAAACATCCCCCGCCCCCCAACTGCCAGTATAACCAATGTAATCCAGTGCAAATTTCTATTCTTATCCCCACTTCTGCCAACCCTAAACCTACTTTAAGTCGCTTATACGGCATGGGAGCCAAAATAGCAGGGACACATCTTATAGAATCCTTTGAAATGTGTTTCATTACTTTCTCACCTCCTCCACCTCCTTCTACACTCTCTCCAAACGAAACCACTGTTCTTCCTTCAACCAAGGATAAAATCAAGGTAGCCATTGTAGAAGTTAAAAATTTGAAACCAACCATAGCAATTGAGACAGGGTACCAAGATGCAAATGCTTGGTTAGAATGGATTAAATATTCTGTCCGCACTCTAAACAAAAGCAATTGTTAGACTTGTGTGCACAGTAAGCCAGAGGCCCAGGTTGTCCCCTTTCCACTCGGATGGTCTTCCAGCCAACTGGGCATGAGCTGTATGGTAGCTCTTCTCCAAGACCCCACAGCCTGGGGTAATGAATCCTGCCAAGTTCTCTCTCTGCTATTCCCTGAAGTCCAACACCCTGCAGGTCAGCCCCTGAGAGCCATCCAGCCTCCGTCTACTGACACCAATTTTTACCTCGGGTCTCTCACAACAAGGGGAAAACTTGGCATTTCATGGAGACCTAAAGGGATGTGGTGAACTTAAACGTTCCCAAGAGCTTACCAGTCAGTCTGCCCTTGTTCATCCTCGAGCATACGTATGGTGGTATTGTGGTGGACCCTTACTGGACACTCCACCAAGTAACTGTAGTAGTACTTTTGCTCTAGTCCAACTGGCCATCCCTTTCACCCTAGCATTCCATTAACATAATAGAAGAGAAAATCATAAGAGAAGAAGTGCCCTTCATGGGTCCTTTGACTCCCACATTTATATAGGGGCTATTGGAGTTCCACGAGGAGTACCAGATAAATTTAAGGCCCGAAATCAAACAGCTGCAGGATTTGAATCTGTGCTGTTTTGGTGGTCAACTGTAAATAAAAATGTAGAGTGGATAAACTACATTTATTACAACCAACAAAGGTTTGTTAACTACACAAGACATGCTATTAAGGGAACAGCCGACCAATTAGGTCCCACTAACCAAATAGTCTGGGAAAACAGGATAGCCCTAGATACGATGCTAGCAGAAAAAGGTGGTGTCTGTGTCATGATTGGAGTCCAATGATGTACTTTTATTCCTAATAACACAGCCCCTGACGGAACAGTAACAAAAGCTTTGCAGGGCCTAACCTCCTTATCCAATGAGTTAGCAAGCAATTCTGGAATAAATGATCCCTTTACAAGTTTAATGGAGAAATGGTCTGGAAAATGGAAAGACTTAACGTCCTCAATATTTACTTCTCTTGCAATCGTTATAAGTGTGCTTATTCTTGTTGGATGCTGTATCATACCATACATTCGTGGACTACTGCAAAGACTCATAGACACAGAACTTACCAAAACCTCTCCTAACTCTCCTCCACCCTATTCAGATAAGCTTTTCCTTCTAGAAAACCAAGCAGAACAGCAAAGCAAAGACATGCTAAAAAAGTTTGAAGAGGAAGAATTACAAAAATTAAGAGGGGGGAATTGTTAGGTACAGTAAGTTCCTCTTCAAAGGTTTAACTTGTTCAACTTCCTTGTTCTTTGTTCCTAAGAACAATTTCCCTGTACCTTCTCGAACCTACTTACCAGCTTAGTTACCTGCTTAGTAACCTGCCTTGTAAGCAACTCTTCCTACCAGTCCCAACCTGTAACTCACATTCCCCCTCCCTTTCTTATTAGAGAAAATATTCACAATATCCAACTGAGTCAGCTAAGATTGTGCAGTCCTACCCCAGCCCATGTTGGAATGACACAGAGGCAGGGGCTGTGTTAGGGATAAGAACCCCTGCTCCACCCCGTTTGGTGTGCTCTTGCAATCATGACTAATGCAAGCAGCATACTTGCAGAAGCAAATTGTCTTGCTGAGAAAACTTTTTTGCCTGAGTGCTGCTTCTTCCTCACAGCACCGATCATTTGTTTCTAACAATCTCGCTAAAAGCAGCCTAGAAAGCAGCCACTTATGCAGAAAGAGTAATAATTTAGGCTCTACAAGTCATATAAAAAATGAAGTTTCATTTGTTTACTGGCTAATTTACTTCCTGGGAGATATTTTTCATTCTAAAACAGTGATTCCCTACCAAGAGTTCACAGATGCCAAGAAGTCCATAAAAGGAGTAATGGAATTGCCAAATTATGTTAAATACTTCAAAAGGACTCAAAGCCATATACTAGCTCCCAATAGGCCTGCATAAGTTATTAGAACAAGCTGCTTTGCATTTTGGGGTGATCAGAACCAGTAACTAGATGGCAATCACGTCTGTTACTGAAGATGGAAAAACTATACTTAAGTTGGTATAACAATCTTTCATAACATGGCTTCATAGAAAAGAAGTATAAAAAGGATTCCTTGAGGTTGAAAAAGAGTGCTCTTTTCCCTTCATTATTTAAGATTAGGACAAATTTATAAAACAGGAAAAAAAAATAGCACAAATCCCTTGGCAAACAGAGTAAAACATCTACTCTGTTTTGCTTTTTTTCACTTCTTACACTCTCTTTCATAGGAAGTCAATTTACAGACTTCCATCAAGCCCTTAGAGACCTTTTTGTACTATCCATGACAAGCTCTTGATGTTATCTCTGCACTTTTGACAAATTCTTAGCAGTTAACTTACAAGGCAGTTAAGATTTTTGTTCGCTTTCTTTGCTGCGTCTACTGCGAGAATGAAGACTATTCTCAGCAATCAGACTGTCGACATTCCAGAAAATGTCGACATTACTCTGAAGGGACGCACAGTTATCGTGAAGGGCCCCAGAGGAACCCTGCGGAGGGACTTCAATCACATCAATGTAGAACTCAGCCTTCTTGGAAAGAAAAAAAAGAGGCTCCGGGTTGACAAATGGTGGGGTAACAGAAAGGAACTGGCTACCGTTCGGACTATTTGTAGTCATGTACAGAACATGATCAAGGGTGTTACACTGGGCTTCCGTTACAAGATGAGGTCTGTGTATGCTCACTTCCCCATCAACGTTGTTATCCAGGAGAATGGGTCTCTTGTTGAAATCCGAAATTTCTTGGGTGAAAAATACATCCGCAGGGTTCGGATGAGACCAGGTGTTGCTTGTTCAGTATCTCAAGCCCAGAAAGATGAATTAATCCTTGAAGGAAATGACATTGAGCTTGTTTCAAATTCAGCGGCTTTGATTCAGCAAGCCACAACAGTTAAAAACAAGGATATCAGGAAATTTTTGGATGGTATCTATGTCTCTGAAAAAGGAACTGTTCAGCAGGCTGATGAATAAGATCTAAGAGTTACCTGGCTACAGAAAGAAGATGCCAGATGACACTTAAGACCTACTTGTGATATTTAAATGATGCAATAAAAGACCTATTGATTTGGAAAAAAAAAAAAAGATTTTTGTTCAAGCACAATATAGCTAGACTAGTGTCATATACTCAATGAAACAAATATTGACCAAGCATTTATTGAGTGGAAGATAAAAAGCACAAAGCATAATTATAAAATATTTTCCCCTGCCACCATAAAGAAATTGAACAGGCTTACAGAATATAGCATAAGACAACATGACCAAAGCAAAAATAGTAAGGACTAAAGAGGGGAGGAAGGGGAAATATCAACATGAACTGAATATGACCCAGAAGAGCCTTCATGGATGGTCAGACATGTAAAGACAAATTGGGTAGGGTTAAGGGGTGGAGTTCAGGGCACATTCTATAGGGAAACAGCAGCTGATACAGAAGCCTGAAAGGAAAAGCAGGCAGAGCACCTGGACAGGACTCTTCAGGAACGAGCACGCACCTGTGTGAAAAACAACTTAATGAGGTCCCATTCACCCAAACATTAGAGAAACCGCATAAAAATGCTTCTTGGTAAGCAAGAAGAAGGCAGTGCCTGGCTTGTAGAAGAACTCAATAAACATTTGAACTGTCTAAAGAGGAAAAGTTAATGAATAGGCCAAACTCACTCCTTTCTTTGTTTTAAGAGCTACAACTTTAGAGAATAACAAATCACAAACCCAGTAGACAGGTCCTGGCATTTCAAATCCAACCCCATTTTTCCCTTAATCTTTCCCCTCTGAGCAAATGGTATCGACATGAACAAGCCATGTTGATTTGATCAAAACACTCATCCATGGTTAAAAGAGTCTTTACTTTCAAGAGATACAAACAGAAATATTTACAGATGAAGTGATCTGTCTGGAATCTGCTTCAAAATAATCCAAAGTGGAGTATAAATGAAATAAGATTTGCCAAAAGTTTATCACTGTTGAGGGTGGCTACAGTACATAGTTCAATTTTTGTTGAGGCTAGGCGTGGTGGCTCACACCTGTAATCCCAACACTTTGTGGAGGCAGAAGGATCACTTAGCCCAGGAGTTCGAGACCAGCCTGGGAAACATAGGGAGACACCGTCTCTCCAAAAAAAAAAAAAAAAAAAAAATTAGCCACCATGATGGTGAGTGCTACTTGTGAGGCTGAGGTAGAAGGATCACTTGAGCCTGGGAGGTCAAGGCTGCACTAAGCTGTGATTGTGCCACTGCACTTCAGCCTGGACAAAAGAGTGAGACTCTATCTCAAAACAAAAAAAAAAAAAAAAAAGAAAGGTGGAACATATTATAACTGTCAGACCATTTGTTGCAACCTGGGCTGCAATCTTTTTCTTTAAACCCAAAAGAACTTCTGACCAGGTAAATGTAGTCTTTTTTTCTTTTTTAATGACAAATCTACTTTATAAAGTACCTTCCCTTATCAGTGAGAAAGAAAATATAAAAGAGCTGAGTCAAATCTGGAGTCAATAAAGGTTTGTAGTTCTTCAAACAAGAACCCTTGCTCTGAATTCTAAAAGTAAATAACAGACATGCTGAAAAAATATTTCATTTTATGAAAGGTTCTGCACCAAAGCCTTTTACAAAAACAGTCTACAAAACCTACTAAACATCCTGTTCCATCTTCCACTTTGAAATCACTGCTTGGTCTAAATTCAGTTTCATTAATAAAAATGAACACAATAAAACAGTACTCTATGCCCCCATTCCACCCCAACAATTATCTTCAAAGGATGTCCAGATTTCTGTACGCTATTTGCCAATCCTACCTACATATTAAAAAAACAAATCTCAGCTTTAGAGGAAAATCACTGGTTAATTAAAATGTCATTTAGGGTTGTATTTGTTTTCTATGAAGGGATAATAATGGGATATTTTATTTTCATTTATTACTAAAGCAACACCTTTCATTATTAGAAATGTATTTCCATTTCAAGCTACGTTTCAAAGCAAATTATAGTCTTCAACTAGCCACTTTCATAGGTATTTTGAATGCAATATTTTATTATAAAGCTTTAGCTGGCCTCCGGTGTTAATTAGCACAAAAAGATGGGTTTATTTTCAAAAGACAGGACAGTCTTTTCAGCCTTCAAAATGTTTTCATCAAAAATTACTATGTACCATAAAAATAACACGCTCACTGTAAACACTTAAGCGATTCAAAGATAAAGTAGAAAGTCAAAGTCTCCACCTACCTGCCCTCTAAGATGTTAATACTTATGCTTAACATATTTTATTTTTTAAAAGGAGGGGAAATCACATCATAACTACTTTAAAAGGCCTTTACAACTTCTTTGTAATTACACACACACACACACACACACACACACACACACAGAGTGGGGAAGGAGAGGGAGGGGGTGGGGGAAGGAGGGAGAGACAGACAGACACATACACTTCAATGTAAGGCTTATTATAAAACGTACAAAAAAGGTGAGAAAACAGAGATGGGTGGGAGACGGGCCTGCAATTTCAATATCTGAAGTCAAAACAACTTATTAGGAGATAATTTAGAATGCTTCTTGTCAACCCTATTTGGGGAAAATACTGATTTGATAAAAGGTTACGGACTAAAATCAAAAAGTAGCTGCCTTTTGAAGGTCAATTAATCCTTTGGTTTTAGGAAAAACTAAAATGTTACAAAACACACACAGTGAAACACACAGAGAACTCAAACTGACCTAACTACATTTATCCTCTCCTACCCAATTATCCTTTATCACTAATTTCCCCAAACTACTACTCTATTAGTTTCCTATTGCTGTTAACAACAAATTATCACAAACTCAGTGGCTTAAGACAACACAAATTTATTATCATGTTATCATTTCTGGAAGTCAAAAGTCCAAAATGACTTTCACTTGTTTAAAAATCAAAGTGCCAGCAGGGCTGTGTTCCTTCTAGAGTCTCTATGTGGAGAAAGTGTTCTTTTGCTATTTCCAGCTTCTAGAGCTGCATTCTGTGGCTCATAGGCTCCTTCCTCCATGTTCTAAGCCAGCAGTGTAGCATCTTCAATCACCTGACAAAATCCAACACGTTTTCATCATAAAAATGGTCAAAGTAGGAATAGAAGGGAACGTCCTCATCTAACAAAAGGTACCTGTGAAAAACCCACACCTAACAACATCATACTTAATGGGGAAAGCTTGGATGCTTTCTCTTTAAGATCAGTAGCAAGACAAGGATGTTTGTGCTCACCACTTCCATTCAATGTTGTACCAGAGATGCTTCTCAGGGCGATTAGGCAAGAAAAAGAAATAAAAGGCATCCAGATTGGAAAGGAAGAAAACGATCTCCAACTACTTCATCCTGTACATAGAAAATCCTAAGGCATCCACTTAAGAGCTGTTGCCAAACAAACAAGCCAGATTATAGTCTATAATTGACCTCTGAAACAAGGCTACAGTTTCAGAGACCGGTATGCAAAAATCAATAGTATTTCTATATATAATCAATGAACAATCAAAAACTGAACAATTAAGATAACAAAATTAACAATCGCATCAAAATGAATAAAATCATAAGCAACAAATTTCAAGAAAGTACCAAGTTTATACAATGAACACTACAAAACACTGTTGAAAGAAATCAAAGACAACCTAAATGAAAGGAATCAAATTCAGCATCCAGAAAAAATTCCTCACATTTATGATCAATTTCAACAACGATGCCCAAGACAATTCAATTGGGGAAAGAACAGTCTTTTCAACAAATGCTTCTGGAACATCTAGAGATCCACATGCAAAAGAAAAAAGTTGGACTCTTCCCTTACAAAACACACAAAAATGAACTCTCACATTACATACCTAAATGTAAGAGCTAAACCTATAAAATTTCTAGAAGAAAACATAGGAGTAAATCTCTGTGACTCTGGGTTAGGCAAAGAATTGTTCTTAGATATGATGCCAAAAAAAAATCAACAACAGAACATTATCAAAACTGAAAATTTTGCTTGAAAGGATAGCATCAAGGAAGTGAAATGACAACCCACAGAATGAGAGATAATTTTTGCAAGTCATGTATCTGATAAGGGACCTGTAGTCAGAATATGCAAAGAACCCTTACAGTTCAATAAGACAACCCAATTTAAAAACAGGCAAAGGATGTGAATAGGCATTTCTCCAAAGATACGGAAAAACGGCCAATAAGCACATAAAAAGATGCTCAAAATCATTTGCCATTTGGGAAATGCAATCAAAACCACAATGAGGTATCACTTCACGCCCATTAGGGTGGCTATAGATCAGAAAGTCAGATAACATGTGTTGGCAAGCACATGGAAACACTGAAGTCCTTATACACTGCTGGTAGGAATGTAAAATGGTGCAGCCACTGTGGAAAACAGTTTTCCAATTTCTCAAAATGTTAAACACAGTTATCATACACCCAAGCAATTCTACTCTTAGGTATATACCCAAGAGAAATGAAAACATATGTCTTCACCAGAACTTGCTGTTCACAGCAGCATTATGCATAATAGACCAAAAGTGGAAACAACTCAACTGCCCATCAACTGGTGAATGGATAAGTAAAATGTGATGTAACCAGTCATTGGACTGTCATTCATTAATAAAAAGAACAAGGTACTGATTCATGTTCTAACATGAGTGAATCTTGAAAACACTATGCTAAATTAAAGAAGCCAGTCACAAAAGGCCGTGTATTGCATGATTTTATATATACATGAACTTTTATATATATATAATTATATATTATATATAACTTTATATATATAAATTTCTATATATAAATATATAAAATTATATATCATATATGATATATATTTTTCATATATATCATATATATCAAATATATATGATATATCATATATATTTACAAAAATTATATATCATATATCATATGATATATGAGATATATATCATGATATATATCATGAGATATATGATATCATGAGATATATGATATCATATGGTAGATATATTATATATGATAGATATGATAGATATATTATATATGATATCATATGATATATATCATATGATATATATATCATATGATATATATATCATGATATATATGATATCATATGATATATATATCATATGATATATATATCATGATATATATGATATCATATGATATCTATCATATATATACCACATACATCATATATACATCATATATACATCATATATATCATACATATATATGAACTTTCCAGAATAGGTATATCAATAAAGACAGGAAGTATACAAGTGGTTGCCACAGCCTGAGAGGAGCAGGGAATGGTGAGTGACTGCTAATGGATATGGCACTTTTTTTGGGGGGTGATGAAAATGTTCTGGTCAGACAATGGCAATTACAAAACTGTATACACACGAAAAACCAAAGAATCACACACTTTAAAAGGGAGGATTTAGCTCGGCATGGTGGCATGCGCCTGTACTCCCAGTTACTCGGGAGGCTGAAGCAGGACTGCTTAGAGCCCAGGACTTCAAGGCTGCAGCGAGCTATGATCGCTCCACTGCACTCCAACAAGGATGACAGTGCGAGACCCGTTTTCTAAATAATAATAATAATAATAATAAATAACCCAAGGTACCCAGTTCACATGCAAAACCACTGGTAAACATAAATTATCTCCAAGTAATCTAGAAAGAAAATGAGCACATAAGACGTCTTCTAAAAACACACATATATTTCTTTACATGTTACATTTAACGTAAAAATCAGCTATGCAGAAGTTACATGAACATTTTATGTTGGAAAGGTAAATGACTATTATTAATACAGAATGGTTAAGTACATTTATGTTTTTATGTACAAACGCATAAAAGGAAAAGCATCCTTAAATTAAACACCATCAATGGCTCCTCGGTGGTCACAAAACAAAATCCTCACACCTTTGTCTTCCTTCACAATTGAGCTTTATCCACCTTTTCAGGCTTATCTCCCATTATTACCTGACACAAACTTGGGTGGGCCAGAGTTTCCACTGACCATCCCCCCACTATTCATCCAACACTATGTTCACTGCCTCCCATTCCTGACCATTTGCCTTTTGTCTTCAACTAATTCTGGGGACGTTTTGTCCAAATAAATGATCCATATTCTTGAAGGCTGGAATCAAGTCCTATTACAAATATATTTTCTCACCCTCTCCAGAGCATAGCAACCCAGCATCTACTGGCCTCTCACAGCTCTAACCATCCACAACCCTAAGCTGGCTTCTCATCAAACGGGTACTTTTCACCACCCAAATTCAATTAATTCACTCTTACAATAATGAAGAATAGTCGCCTACAGCCTACCTTTTCCAGCCTTGATTCAATCATTTATCAATTTTATCTTCAAAGTCCCTCACTTCAGGGAGATGATATATCAGCTTTCACCCAGAGTCCTAAAGAACACAGCACTCTTGCCAATGACATAGTGCCACCTAGTGGCAACATAACGTAAATCACAGTGGCAGTAGGAGGATCTCCACACTACTTTTACAGGAATGCACTGCAGGTAAAAAATAAGAAGCTACAGTACTGTTTGGCAGGACAATTTGTTTCATACGTGCATACTATCGCCCTGACTAAATTAACTCGCAAGTCTTACAGGTATTATTTGTTTTCAGTTCCATGCACAGATTAGCCATTTAGTACTTACTAAATCAAACTCAATTTCTGAAGTGTCTTACACCAATATATTCATGCACATATGGTTAAAATTTTCCTTGAGGATCTATCATGTGAGAGTGTGGCTTATTATAACAAGTAAACAGAACAAATAAATACAAAATGAAAAGAAATCGTATGATTTACTCGCATATAAGGGAGCTTGTTGTGGATTAAGTTTCATGACCCAGGACACTGAAACAGAAATGGAATAAATGAGAATAAAATTAAAAGTTGTCATCAAAAATATAGAAGCCATCTAAAGACCTAGGTGTCAAGCATAGCTCTATGAGTACAATCCCGTGCCTGAGATTACCATATGCCCAGCTGTATGCTATACACTAAGAGATTTAGGAAGGAAGCGGGGTCAGGGATTGACCCCAGACTCAATCTTTTCAAGTGGGGAAGAAAGATCTTCCGATTGAAAAATAAAGACAAAAAAGGCTTCACCGTCACAGAAGTTTCAACAACCAACAGGATATTTAAAACAGTTATCAAAGCAAAACCATTGTATGTTCACTTACATTTTTACATAGTCCCTCAAACTCACAAAATGCTGTTTACTCAGGGACTTCTTCCGGTCTTACTAGGGAACCTGGAAAGTGAGGGGAGGATTGCAAGGGACCACTAGAACCCTCTTCCTCAATTCCCCTTCTCTGAGAAGGGAGGCTACAGCTTGCCTCTCTAACCACTAAAAGGCATGACCCTCCTCAAAGTTAATAGCCGGATTCCCTGATAGATATTTTCACTAAATGAATTCTCATAAAACTCTCATTAAGATTTAGAGAAGGCTTCCAGGGTTGAATTCCTGAACATTAAGAACAGCATGTTTTTTAAAAGTTTAACTTGGTGATTGGACCAGGACTTCATCTAGGCTATGAATGCTCAGAATGGTAGGTCCTTTACCAAACAGCTTGAGTTTGTGTATAAAGTGATCTCATCCTCTTAAGAGTCAGAGAAACAGAACCAAGCGACTTCACTATAATTTGATCTGAGGAAGTTTCTTACTCACAATAGGTAAATGAAGGCACATACTAACCAGCAATATAAACAACAATATCAAGTGTCATTCACACATGCAAAAAACAGACAAAATCCCAAACTCTGTGTTCTAACAAATCGCAAAAACCTCACTAACAATAAATTGAAATGACCAAATGTTTGGACTGAAAAGCAATGCCTTGGTAGCCTAGCCATGCCTAACTCAAATAACAGAACCATCTCGATGTTAAAATCCTCACAGATCAAGCTGTGTATGTCTCGGGTCAAGACTTCGCCAAAAAGCAGTGAGCACACACTTAAGAGGGAAAAAATCTACCTCAGCCTCCTAAATGCAATCATCTCTACACGAGTTGCAGGCCCCAAGCTTCAACGTGTTCTGCTGGACAACGCAGTAGAAAGCTGACAAGCAGGTGGCCTTCCCACACTGACTGAACCACCTCCATGCCCATGTCCATTCATTTTCTTGTCCACCCCATGTGCTGTAACAGACCTCCTGGCTCAGGGCACTCTTTCCTTCCTGACTGCCTTCACTTAATGACTTTGTACTTTTAGGTGCAAAAATTATCTGCAGAAATCCACACTGAAAACCAAGCTTGAGAAAGGCAGCAATAACCAACATTTTTACAAGAAGAACAAGGTCAATATCAAGCCCATCAGATTCAAATAGCAAGCATGGATGAAAATGAAAGATTGAAAGGCTTGAGTGCCTTCTTAATGTATTAAATATCCATTTAATTTACAATTAAGCTCACTGTGCTCACTGGCCTTTTAATCAGCTTTCCAGGTCCTGCTCAGACTTGCCTAGGACATGGGAATGAAAGAACCTATAAATTTATGGACCAATCTACCTTAACTAACTTGTCAAGTGTTCCTGCATCAAGCAGAAGAAACATCAGTGAAACTGATACAGGAATTAACCCCTTGTTAATCCATAAAACTTAAAGAAGCGGGATCCAATCTTCTGGCTTCCCTGGGCCACGCTGGAAGAAGAATTGTCTTGTGCCACACATAAAATACACGAACACTAATAATAGCTGCTAAGCTTTAAAAAAATTGCAAAAAAGGAAAATCTCATAATTTTTTGTTTGTTGTGAGGTGGAGCCTCACTCTGTCACCCAGGCCGGAGTGCAGTGGCACCATCTTGGCTCACTGCAACCTCTGCCTCCTGAGTTCAAGCCATTCTCCTGCCTCAGCCTCCCGAGTAGCTGGGATGATAGGCGTGTGCCACCATGCCCAGCTAATTTTCGTATTTTTAGTAGAGACGGGGTTTCACCATGTTGGCCAGGCTGGTCTCAAACTCCTGACCTCAGGTGATCCACCCACCTCGGCCTCCCAAAGTGCTGGGATTACAGGTGTGAGCCACCGTGCCCGGCCAATGTTTTAAGAACGTTTACGAATTTGTATTGGGCCACATTCAAAGCCTTCACAGGCTGCATGCAGCCTGCAGGCTGCGGTTGGACAAGCTTGGATTAGAGAAATCTACAGAGACAAACTAGTGACTTAGTAGCCCTCTGATAGCTCATGATTTGCAAGAAACTTAGGATGACTATGTGTAAAGACCACAAACATCAATTTAACTGAATGGTTCCCGCCACACTGGAATGAGGAAGCTGAGCAAACTCAGAGGACTCTAAGAAAGGGCTGATGTCATCTGAACTGTTCGGAATTATAAACTCCTCTAAACATGTTTCAAAGCCAGAACTTGTAGGAGTTGTTCTGATACACGGATTAAAAGAGGGATGACAAAGTGTCTGTCCCCCACACTGGTCAAAGGGACAGGTCATTGTTATGCTGGCAATGCAGGCTGCTGAAAAGAATGTATCTGTCAAAAGTAATCAAAGTAATGACCCCAGAAGGCTCCAGAAACAGACTGGTAAATTCAGGTTGCTTTCAGACTTCCACAATGCTGGCACACAAGGGGAAAGACAAAACTAACATTTACAGAGCATTATATTTGATATTACATTTAATCCCCATTAAAAAGATACTATTTCCCGTTTCACTAGTGAAAAAGTTGATCTTTCAAAGGTTAAATTATTTAACACCAAGGTCAAAGGGTAAGTTGGAGAGACCAGATTCAAACCCAGTCTGACATTAAAACATGTGTTTTCCCCCCACATCGTCTCCTGCTAATAACCTCAAATCTAAAAACTGACTTGCCCTACACCTTGAGCCCCATCCTACAAACTCTCCCTGACGTTATTAATTCAGCTGTCACTGTGCACCTACAACGTGCCAGACACCATACTCCTCAACACTCTGTAGGCACAGAAGGAACAGATAAAAATCCCTACCTTCATAGATATTATTCTAGGGGTAACACAGGTAAATAAAACATTAAAATAGTTTTCACATAGTAGCAAATTCCATATAGCAAAATAAAACAGAAGAAGGAATAGCAAATGAGGGAGATGCCCTCTTAAACATGGTGCTGAGGGAAGGCCTCCCTGAGAAAGATATCATTTACCCCAAAAATAAAAAAGCAAGTAATAGAAAAAACAGGTAAAAGGTGTTCTAGACACTTAAACCTGCCACATTGAGAACTCAGGGTTCTGATGCAAAACCTCGCTGCATAGAATGCATTAACTTATTTTTATACATTTAAACAAACAAACTCTACTTAAGAACTGTGTTCTAAAGGAAGGAGCATATTACAGGAAGGCAATTTTTGGTCAGAGTAGACACACTTAAAAACTAAACCTATTGAAAGACCAAGAACAACTGAAAGTCTTTGCTTTGTCAGATTTTTGACCAAAAGGAAAATTAAAGAAACACACCGTGCCCATCCAATGATTTCACCAAGGAATTTTAAGAGAGAAAATCCTACTTCTTCCTCACCCAGTAGCCAGTGAAATGACTGAGCAAATTCACAAGTTCACTGGGGCTGCTTTCATGTAACACAGGGACAACACATGACAGACACAGTGGAACCCTACAGGTTGCCTAGTATTTGAAAGACTGTGAAGAGGAGGAGATGTCAAAATTCAAAGTCTTAAATGATGTAGTTTTAAGTATGTTCAGCAATTTCACCACTCAGTAGTAAAGCCAGCTACAGTTGAAAGGAATCAGAAATTTGAGGGGTGTGAAATAAGCAGAAGCACAGAAGTTAAGGATTTGTATTCTTCCCACATTTTCCACTTTATTTTATACTGCTGAGAAAAAACAAATTTAATAGTTTTCTGCTGTATAAGAGACACATTCACTTTATGTCACAGTAAGAGTCACTCAATTTTAATACAACTATCTCAATGTATAAATTAACGTTTTCCCCCATTGCCCACACATAGTAAGTCTCTTATGATGCTGCTGATTAGAGAAGCAAAAGTTGCCGCTACAATTCTCTTCCTGCATTTTAATATAAACAATCATCAGTCTTTTCTTCATAGAGTGCAGTGTGGGCACTATCATCAGAATGTACCAGCACTGGGTGTACAAAGTTTACAAAGATTAGCAAGAGCAAAAGCGTTGAGATTTTTGAAATTCATGCTGCTGCAAAGAAGTATGTAAAAACTCACTCACTATAGAGGACCACACAGAAACTCAGGCATGAAGTTATATGGCTGTGTGATTGGTTTGGGAGAAGGAACAGAAAGCACTTCCACCAACCTATATGCCTGAGCAAATTAATGCAAAACCTCAGAAGCTACAAAAAAGTTTATCTACCTAAATTAAAATTGGTGTCCACAGCAGTAGCCAGCAAAATGCCTGCGAAGCGCAAAGTGGTAAATATTTTAGGGTCTGTAGGTCATATGGTCTCTGTTAAACAATATGTAAATGAATGGGTGTGGCTGTGTTCCAATAAAACTTCATTTATAAAAAGAGGCAGCATGGTACATCCAGTCAGCAAGCTATAATGTACCAACCCCCGGTCTAACACTAACCAAATACCTCTTAATAAGCCAAAGAAACTGTGTCCTCTTAGGCCGGAAGCGGTGGCTCACACCTATAATCCCAGCATTTTGGGAGGCCGAGGCAGGGAGATCACCTGAGGTCAGGAGTTTGAGACCATCCTGGCCAACATGGTGAAACCCTATTTCTACTAAAAATACAAAAATTAGCCAGGCGTGGTGGCGGGCGCCTGTAATGCCAACTACTGGGGAGGGTGAAGCACGAGAATCGCTTGAACCCAGGAGGCAGAGGTTGCAGCGAGCCTAGATCACGCCATTGCACTCCAGCCTGGGCAACAAGAGAGAAACTCCGTCTCAAAAAAAAAAAAAAGGAAATAAAAGTATACAAAGTGAAAACAAAGAAATTAAACTGCCCTTATTTGCCAGTGACATTGCTGTCTATGCACAAAATTCCAAAAATCTACAAAAAAGCTTCTAGTACTAAAAATGAGTTTAGCAAGGTTGTAGAATCCAAGGTCAGCATATAACATAAAATCATCTTCCTATATACTAGCAATCACCAACTGGAAATTGAGAAGTATCATTCACAACAGTACCACAAACATGAAATAAATGTGTAAGATTACAAAATGCAAGCAAGATCCAATTGCTAAAAACTACAAAACACTGACGAAAAATCTAAGGTCTAAATACATAGATATACCATGTTCATGGCTCATTATTAAAATGTCAGTTGCCTCCTAACTGATTTCCAGCTTCAATGCAATGTCAATCAAAAACCCCAGCAGGCTGGGCATGGTGGCTCTCACGCCTGTAAGCCCTACACTTTGGGAGACCATGGTGGGAGGATTGCTTCATCCAGGGAGTTTGAGACCAGGCTGGGCAACACAGAGAGACCCTGTCTCTACAAAAATAAAAAAATTAGCCAGGCATGGCGGTGCATGCATGTGATCCCAGCTACTTGGGAGGCTGAGGTGGGATAATCGCTTGGTTCAAGGCTGCAGTGAGCAGTGATCCTGCCACTGCGTTTCAGCCTGGGCAACTGAGTGGGACACTTTTTTTTTTTTTTTTTTTTTTTGAGACAAGGTCTCGCTCTGTCGACCAGGCTGGAGTGAAGTGGTGCAATCTCGGCTCACTGCAACCTCCATCTCCTGGGTTCAAGTGATTCTCCTGCCTCAGCCTCCCAAGTAGCTGGGATTACAGGTGCCCGCCACCATGCCCAGCTAATTTTTCTGTTTTTAGTAGAAACGGGGTTTCACCATGTTGGCCAGGCTGGTCTTGAACTCCTGAACTCAAGTGATCCACCCGCCTCGGCCTCCCAAAGTGCTGGGATTACAGGCATGAGCCACCGCACCAGGCCATGAAACACTTTCTTCCACCCACGGCTTTCTCTTCTCTCCCCATTTACAGCAATAAGACAGCCTAACCTGGGAAAGAGAGAGAGAGGGAAGCTACTTCCAAATGGATGCCTGTCCCCATCAGTAATAACCAAGTCTATTCAAGTGCTAGATGTTAACTTTAAAAGAAGGAAACATCAAAAGTCCAAGTTTCAGCCGGGTGCAGTGGCTCATGCCTGTAATCCCAGCACTTTAGGAGGCTGAGGTGGGTGGATCACGAGGTCAGGAGTTCAAGACCAGCCTGGTCAATATGGTGAAACCCCGTCTCTACTAAAAATACAAAAATTAGTCAGGCATGGTGGCGTGTGCCTGTAGTCCCAGCTACTCGGGAGAGGCAGAAGATTCGCTTCAACCGGGGAAGCAGAGGTTGCAGTGAGCCAAGATCGTGCTACTGCACTCCAGCCTGGGTGACAGAGCGAGACTCCGTCTCAAAAAAAAAAAAAAGTCCAAGTGTCTTCGCCTAGCTTTGTCAGGAATGTTTTTACCCTCAGTCTGTAAGTGTGACCAAATATATTTTTTAAAGGTTTACCCTCTCAATCTGTTAAGTTCAAAGGTTAACTATAATCTCTTCATAAGAAAACTATTGGAAAGATGGAATAAAATACACAGAAATGTCCTTAACAGGTAAATATTTATTTTTCTTTCTTATTATTATACTTTAAGTTCTGGGGTATATGTGCAGAACGTGCAGGTTTGTTGCATAGGTACACACGTGCCATGGTGGTTTGCTGCACCCATCAACTCGTCATCTACACTAGGTATTTCTCCTAATGCTATCCCTCCCCTAGCCCCCCAACCCCCAACAGGCCCCAGTGTGTGATGTTCCCCACTCCCTGTGTCCATGTGTTCTCACTGTTCAACTCCCACTACAGGTAAATATTTCTAGAATGTATCTACTCCATCAGCTAGTGTAAGTATTCTAAACTGTGCTAGTATAGCTGCTTTAAATCACTGCTTTCTTCTGCAAATGGTGGCACCTTTAAAGTGTTATCTTGAAGGGGAAGTGAGTGATTTGCTCATGTCTCTGCTGAACTAACACTGTTAACACCCAGTCCAGTTCTACCTTAAACAAGTCTGAGAAATACAGACATAATCCATACTTGTTATTTGTCAAGACTAAGGTAAAATAAGGAAAGTTGGAACTCACTCATATCCTCTTATGACTGATGTACTGAAAACAATCCATCTCTCACCATTTCCTAAATAGCATAGTCACAAAGAGCTCTACCCTACCAAGTACTCTGCAAGTCCCACTCTCAAAGGAAGACTCACAGGTGACTGAGAAGATAAATTTGCTATTGTTTCCATTATCCTTCAGTTCATCTGACACCTTTGAAGAAACGCATTTGGATAAGACTCACAAGTCTCAGGGCCCCTTCTTTATGAAAGAAATAGCTAAGCCTCCATACTCAGAAGCATCAGACTTTTCAGAATGCTTAAGTCATGTAAAAACGTATCAAAATTATTATCATTACAGCTACCAGGAAATAGCTACCTACTCCATGTTAGATACTGCAGTTAAGTATCTCACACAGTTTCACTGATTCCTAACAACACTGCAAAGCATGTTACTAACCCTTAAGGAGTAGGAAGCTGAAGCTCTGAGAGGCTATGCAACTACTCAATGGAAATGTGGGGATCTGAACTCTACCTAGCTCCAAAGGGCGTACTTTTTTCTAAAATTTCTAATTTTTTTCCAATTTCACAATGGAGGCAGAGTTTTCACTACAATTTTAATAATTTCACCAGCTGGGTGGGGTGGCTCACGCCTGTAATTCCAGTACTGTGGGAGGCTGAGGTGGGAGGACGGCTTGGGTCCCGGGGAGACAACTGGGCAACAGTGAAGATTCTGACTCTAAAAAAAATAATAATTTCACCAAAAGGGGGAACAGATTTCTAAATCGGAATCTCTTGTTAAAATCCTTAGAGCACTAGTTAAGCCCCACTTCTTTTCAAAAAATAACCGACAGATTAAAAAAAAGGTTAGAAGTCCTTTTAAAGTAAATTTCATCAGAGATCTGCAAGTGAATTGTCATTTTGGACAAGTCCCCAGAGTTGGTGGCCCTCTCCTGTGTACACCAGCTACCACTAGGCAGTAAAAGTAATTTACCCAATTCAAACACATACCGGGCCTGCACTATGTTAAAACCACTGGCAAAGAGGGTACAAAGTTAAATAAGGTCTATCACAGCCCTCAAGGAGTTAAAGGACTAGAGGAGGAGTCCATTTATAGTATAGTATGTGTGCAGTTACCATTTAGTCAAGGCAAACGAACTGTGAGAAATCCTACAACAATAGTACCTACAGTATAACATGCCATCACCGCCCACAGAAGGAAAGCAACTGGTGCCCTCGTCACGTTATGTTGTTAGTACTTGCTTACATGATGTCCCTCCCTGACAATCCCTTCCAACCTCTGTCAGCCTCCTTCCCCACAATCACACACACACACAAAACCACACTGCCAGGAAGGGAAGCCATTGAGTGAGTATTGTGAATCCTACAAGTGGCTCTGTAGTTTAAAAGGGCAATGCCTGTGCCTGAAGAAAATTTGTCTTTAGCTTCATCAGGTGAAGAAAATTGGTTTTATAACACAAGGCCCACCAAACCAGAAAAGCCCAGGAACGCTTCTCCACAGGACTCACTTAGCACGAGAAATCACTCAGAGCAAACTGACGCACACAGTATTTGTCAAATTTTTCTTTTTCATTTAGCAGAAGGTAAGGTAAAGGACTACAACTGAAGTTAATAAATGACACTCTAGCCATTTTGATCATTTGTCACTATAAATGATAGACATTTAAGCTAGTTCCATCTGGGGAAGTGAAACAGAATCATGTTCATATAATAAGCCAGACGAACCAAATTCAGTGGAATACGTGCACCCAAAACTGGACCAGACTTGTACTTAATGCAGCCTGCAAATCCCCAAGAGTCCACGACAGAATACAAGAACAGTAACACTGGTTTATCTCAACTCATCTTAGCTCCCTCACAAACTTGCCAATAATGACCTTTCAAGAACTGCACCGTTGGTCCTCATCTGGGCAATCCCGTGGCTTAGAAAAACTGAATAAAGTGCTTCTTCGAAAAATAAAACAATGCGGGGAGGGGGGAGTAGTAACAAAAAAAAAGGCACACTGGTTTTTACTGTACTGAAGCAATAAATTCTCCAACGAACTTCATTAATGAGTATCAGCAAAGAATGAACACCAAAATACCGCTCAATCCAACTTTCATCGTGAATTCTTGAATTCACAGTAGGATCATTAAATGTGACGGTATCACTCTGCTATAAAAACTATTTCTAAAACAAAACAAACCTATCTACCCCCTTTCTTGATTTAAAAAAAAAAAAAAAAAAAGAAGGAAAATTTGAGGGTTTTTGATTTTTTCAACTTCACATACCGGTTTGCCTTTGCAAAAAAAAAAAAAAAAAATGTTTAGTCTCAAAGTATAGCTGCAAGGTGGACCGGCTGCACGGGTCCCAGAGGGCCGCTCGCCTCCGACGGTCGCAGTTTCAGCCGGGCCGCGCCCGCGAGAAACAGCGGAGAGGCCCCAGCAGGCGGGCGCCGCCGGACAGGTTTACCGTCCGCGTCGGCCCCGGGGAACCGCTCCCTCGCGCCCGCAGCACTTGTTCGCGGCGCGGACTCCACACCGCGGCCGCCCGCCCCAGGGGAGGAGTGAGTCCGCCCCAGCGGCGCCAACCCGGGGACCCGGGGCAAGGGTTCGGGGCCATCCGCCGCCGGGCGCGCCCCCCATCCGGAAAGCGGCGACGGCCCCCAAGTTGGGCTGCGGAGTGGGAGGCGCGCCGAGCCCCAAGCAGACAATGCGGGAGAAGGGTGATGCGCAGGGAGGAGGGGTCCGCAAAGCTGAGGTCCCCGCGCCGCCCGGCTACCCATCCGTGCCGCCCGCCCCTGAAGCCCCGCGCAGCCCCCGACCCTCCTCTGGGGCCCGCCCCACCGAGCGGCCGCAGGGGACGGGCCGCGCTCCGCACCCCGACCCCTCCTCAAATCACAAAACTTCCCCCAACTCCGCCAACTAAGTTGCGCTCTCACCGTGCGGCTCCCGGGGCTCCCCCGCGGGCCGAGCCGAGACAGCTCCTCACCTTCGCCGCGGAGAAAGACAATAGGCTGCCTCTCCCCCGGCGGCGGCAGCAGCGGCTGCGGCTAAAGCGGCGGCAACCGAGGCGAGCAATGGGCACGGCGGTCTCGGCCGAGCCGAGGGGCTTCACCGCTGCTGTTCCGGCTCCGCGACAGCTCTGCACGTAGCCCCAGCCACCCCGCGCACCGGCTACAAGCCGCCCGGGGGTGGCCGGGGCACGCAAGAGGGCAGTAACGTCTGCGAGTCCTCCCGTGAGTACACGCGGGGCAAGGGCTGCGAGCTGGGATTGCACGGCAGAGCTGCCCATCCCGCTCCACGAGACCAATAGTAAGGCACCTGGGCGGGGCGCTCAGGTTGCTAAGGGAGGCTGAGGTTGACCGCCGGGGCTGCTCTGTGGCAAAGTGATCACAGCAGGGTGGCTGGCAGAGACTGCTCTGGGAAATGCCCACTCACGGTCTCCTCTCCGCCCTGTTTCTAGAAACTGCCCTTTCTCTGTGTGCTCGTGGTTACCTGAGCTGTAGCATTTAACCACACATCGTGAAATGATTTACTCCTCTATTTCCCCCACTTCAACTCAGGAAGTGGGGTTTAGTCTTCTGTGTCCACAGCCTAGGACAGTCTAAGGTATTAGGTATTAAATATAGGTATTAAACAAGTGTTGGATGGATGCACGGCGCTATGGCGGAATCACAATTGTGACAGTGCATTCCGTGAACTTTTGGCTACTCGATCACCACAGTCGTTCCGTGTTCAAGCTGCAAAGGACCTCAGAAATCATCGGATTGCTTTGAGAAACAAAATGTGGTCCGTGTACCAACGGCGGCCGAGGAGAATATATTAGCTGGTACACGGAGAAACTTCTTTTTTCAAATAGTTAAGTGTTTTAGTGCTCATTAGGAGGGAAATGCCTATCACGTCAAATCATTGTTTCATTAATGTTACTTCTTAGGTCAAATAAAAAGTGGCAAAAAACAAGTGTATTTCAAGAAAAGTGTTAAGTGAAACTTGAGACACTTTATATGCAGTTCAAGAATGTAAAATACTAGTTGACAGTGATTGAAGTAAGAACAGTTGGTTAGGTAGGAGGAGAAGATTATTGGCTGGGAAGGAGGAGGAGGGAACCCTCTGTGGTGCTGATTCTGTATTTTGACCTGGGTGATGGATAACAAAAGTATGTACATCAATAAAAAATACATCCAGTGCACTTTAGATTAGTGCACTTTACACATTTTATACATGTATTTTTAATGTGAATTTTTAAAAAATCTGGTATGGTATATACCCCCACAACCCCCCCCCCAAAAAAAATGCAAAGATGCAAATGACTGCCATTTGGGAAACACTGATCCAGGCAGGCTCACTAGCAGTGACCAAACACCTGAGAAAGGGTATTGTGAATACCTGATGTATGTGCCAGGAACTTCCATGGTTGAATAGCTCCAAATCTCAGAAATGCTCCTAACCTAGTGTTGAGCTCTGGTGCATAGATATATTTTCTTTTCTTTCTTTCTTTTTTTTTTTTTTTTTGAGGCAGAGTTTCACTCTTGTTGCCCAGGCTGGAGTGCAATGGCACGATATCAGCTCACTGCAACCTCCGCCTCCCAGGTTCAAGCGATTCTCCTGCCTCAGCTGCCCGAGTAGCTGGAATTACAGGCACATGCCACCAATTCCAGCTAATTTTTTGTATTTTTAGTAGAGACAGGGTTTCACCATGTTGGCCAGGCTGGTCTCAAACTCCTGACTTCAGGTGATCCACCCACCTCGGCCTCCCAAAGTGCTGGGATTACAGGCTTACAGGTGTGAGCCTCAGCATCCAACCCAGAATAGCTTAAAAAAAAAAAAAAGCCAGGCATGCCCAGTTCTTCATGTGAAATTATTTCTGTATCACCTCATCATGCTGCTCACCCTCTTCCACTGTTCTCTAATTTGTCCTTGTTGATATTTAAAAGCTGGCACAAGGCCGGGCGCAGTGGCTCACACCTGTAATCCCAGCACTTTGGGAGGCTGAGGAGGGTAGATCACTAGAGCCCAGGATTCGAGACCAGCCTGGGCTACAGGTGAAACCCCATCTGTACTAAAAGATACAAAAATTAGCCAAACGTGGTAGCCCAAATCCCAGCTACTTGGGAGACCGATGTAGAAGGATCGCTTGAGCCCAGGAGGAGAGGTTGCATGAGCCAAATCAGCAGGGCAGCTGCAGAGTGGGGTGCAAGGTCCTCAACCCAGAGGTTCCCTAGGCCCCACTTGCCCCAGCTCATGAGAGCCTGGTTCTGAGCTCTGCCAGGACCGGGGCTCAGCACTGCCCATGAAAACAGGCGTGGCAGGGAAGAAAATCATAACCAAATATTTGTAGTCATTCCAGAACCTCCCTTCTGGAAAGGGAGGTTCCCAGGTTTGTGGGCTCTTTGCCTCCTGGACATTATTGTGTAGTGAAGGGAGAAAGGTTGAGATGCAGAGTTGGAGAAACTAAGAGAGGCCGAACTGGTCCATTTGAGGAAAGATGACTGATCCCAGAAGGGGAGGAGGGGACACCCTGGGGAAGCAGGGGGCTTCCCAGATGGTCCAAGAAGAGGAGGGCGGGATATAGAAAGTCAGAGCATGGTTTTGAGTTTTGGAGACAACAAGAGAAAAGAGGGAGGGATTTGGACAACTATGGAGAGGACTGGGCTGTGGAGAGAAATGTTTAGAGATTTGGAAGATGGTGTGTCATGCGATGTATTGTGAAAACCCCTTCTTCATATCCCTAAAAGACCACCGCTGATGGTGATTCATGGTACAATTGATGATTGTATCATGATATAATTCAGTGCTTTTGCAGAGGGATTGGTGCCTTTTTAAAATAATAATGATGCTTTGGCTTGGCTCCATCTGAATTAGTAGAGACAGACATCTTGAGCAGGTTTTATCAGAGTTCCATTAGCTAAATATTGGGTTTCCTATTTTGTGGCTTGCTTTAAACCACTTTGTAGGCCCTTCCGCACTGAAAGCCACTACAGAAATCACCTCTTTGGTCTGCAGCTCCACGTCCCCAAGCTCTGGGCTTTCCTGAATGAGTGGCCTCATTCAGAAGATAATACAGCATCCCTCATCCGAAAATCCAAAATCTGAAATGCTTCAAAATCCAAAACTGTTTGAGTGCCGACATGATGTTCGAAGGCCAGATTCAAAGGAAATGCTCATTGGAGCATTTTGGATTTCAGATTTTCGAATTCCAAAATCTGAAAAAAATCCAAAATCTGAAATACTTCTGTAATTTAACCTGTAATAGACATTTGGTCCTGACCTTCCAGCTGAGGCAGCAAGCAGTCAACAGAGGCTCACCATGCATCCCTCCTGCTCCTCACCCTCCCACGGGCTTGTGCCTCACCCCCCAGCCTCCCTTGCACCTGCTGGGGAGGGGACAGGATGCTCCTGCTCTGCCTTCTTGGATCTCGGGCTACTGTGATAATTGCAGGATTCCAGCCAGGGAAAATGCTACAGGTAGAAGTACTTGGTACTCTCCATAGAGAAGTTTCCAGCAATGGCACATCTGCCCCAGGAAGTGTGCTGCCACACCCAGCTAATTTTAAAAACTTTCTGTAGAGGTGTGAATTCACTATGCTGCCAAGGCTGGTCTTGAATTCCTGACTTCAAGTAATCCTCCCACCTTTGCTTGCCAAAGTGCTGGGATTACGGCATGAACTAGAGCTCCCAGCCGAGAGTTTAGTTTTGTTTGCTAGTGGTGTTCTTGGTATCTTTTCATATTTGAGGCTTTGGTGCTAGTGCTGAAGTATTACACTCACCATCCGAGGTTTGCAGGACTTTTGTTTCAGTATTGAACAGATGGAACTGTTTAGTTCTTCATCTTTGCAGGTATACCAAATGTGCCTACCAGGAGTCTGCTTTATAGCCATTGAAAAGCAAGAAGTAATATAGTAAAATTTTGCCTGGCTAGAGGCTTTGGAAGACAAGTATTTTGGCTTAATTCTATTAACGTGGAAGGATGAAGGTGAAAAAAATTCAAAACTTTAATATCCTGTTTATTGCAATTTGAAAATATAGCCAATGATTCCACTTTTCTTCTCCAGTAAGTTTGGACATTCTGATCTACTTGGTGTTTTATTACAGAACTGCTAGTGTGCCTGAGTCTTACATTGTGAAGATCCTTCTCTAAAACTTCACATGTAAGAGAATATAAATGATATTGGATAAGATCAGGCTGGATGAGAACTGATACCTGTAAATATGCGATTTAGACAAAATCTCTGATTGTTTTCTTATTTAACTCATAAAAATAAAACACATTGGCTGGAAGGTGGGAGCAGGAAGGAGATTTATGTCTTTTAATTGCACGTCATTGTTTCATATAGAGAAAACATATAGTATCCCTGGTTTTGGACCTACAGAAGGAAACACATTTTTCTACCTGCTGTATGCCAGAGGTTCTTGAACACCTGGAGGGATTACTGCAGCACAGATTGCTGAGCCCTACTCCAGAGTTTCTGATTCATCAGGTCCAGGGTGGGGCCGGAGGATGTGTATTTATAAGAAGTTCCCAGGTGCTGCTGGAGCTGCTAGTCCAGAGACTACATTTTTGAGAACTGCTCTCATATACTAACTGTAAGTTGCAGAGCTCTAGAAAAAAAGCTTAGTTTGGTGTGGGATAAGAAGCACACAGGTTATGGAGAAAATCATGAAAGATTCAACCCTTGATCCCAGCCTAGTGTGGATTTCAGGTAACAAGCAATACACAGTGACATAACAAATTCTTGGTTTTCATGACTGCAAGTGAGAGCCAAGTATCAAGTGAGAAATTCAGCTTCATTTGCAAGGCTTAGAGAGGCCAGGTGATTCTAGAAAAATGGGCCTTGTAATTCTCTTAAACCAGTAAAGAGCTTTAAGTGGTTATTAAATTGAAAGCTTTGTGTTCTTACTTATTTTGTATTTTATTTTATTTCTTTTGAGATGGAGTCTTGCTCTGTCGCCCAGGCTGGAGTGCAGTGGCGTGAGCTTGGCTCACTGCAACCTCCATCTCCTGGGTTCAAGTGATTCTCCTGCCTCAGCCTCCCAAATAGCTGGGATTACAGGCACCCGCAACCACGCCTGGCTAGTTTTTGTATTTTTAGTAGAGACAGGGTTTCATCATGTTGGCCAGGCTGGTCTCGAACTCCTGACCTCAGGCAATCCACCCACCTCGGCCTCCCAAAGTGATGGCATTACAGGCGTGAGCCACCGCACCCGGCCCAAAAGCTTTGTGTTTTTAAAGATATTAGACATGTTTCTTGTTTTTAAAAGAAATCTTAACAATAATGTAGGAGAATAAGACAAACATTTTTCCAAAAAAGAGAAATTGTTGTGATTATTTTGTCTTATTGGAATGTCGGATACTATAGTCGGCTTCATTAATCATCAAGCATGCTATGGATTTTCCATTTTTATAGGATCTATATCTCAGTTAAGGTAATACTGGTAATTCTTGTACTCCATTTGAAGATGAAAAATATAGGCCAAAATCACAGACTTTGCACAGAAGCTGCATAATGAAGACAGCTCTGGAGGAACACATAGATACACACACACAGACACACATATATATAAAGTATATACACATATATTTTTTAAAGTTTATTTTTTACAGTTTTAAAAGTTTTAAAGCAAAACCCAGCCCTTCCCCTCTCCCAGAGTGGGCGGCCCCTCCCCTTTCTCTGAGTGGGCGGGGACAGCGGTTGCATGGGCAGCTTTCCTTATGATGCCACAGGTCCCTCTGGACATGCTGCTGCCTGGCCACGCCTCCTTTCCCTTTCATCTTTCTCACTGACCAATGGGCTTGGAGCATTAAGGCCACGCCCCTATTCTGCGTTCCATTGGTGCCCTGGTTACGCCACCTGTGGCTCAGTTGCACAGCTGCCTGGTAGGTGACTGGAGGCATTGAGCAGTGCTCACTGGTATTTCGCTGATGTGGCCCCAACCCCGCCTCCCTCCCCACCCCGCGATGTCAGAAAAAACACAACAGGGGAAATTGGCCGCAGCCAAGAAAAAGGTAAAACACACCAGGTCATGGCCCCCAACCCAGCCACAGATCCCCTCCGATGACAAGACCTGTGCCAGAGTCCATACCACTCCTGAGGCATACCAGATGGGGCCCCCCAACCCCAGCCCCTCTGGGCTCCCCCAACCAAAGCCTAGTCAGTCAGCCCCACCCCTTCAGCAAGCAGCCCAGTCCCTGCCCTTGCCAATCACCCCAGGGTGACTTTGGGCAGGTGACTCCTGGGGCTCCCTGCTCCATAATCAGCTCTCACCTCCTGCCACCCCAAGCCCAACCTCCCTGGGCTCTTTGGGCTTGCGTCTCCCAGGACCTGGGTCCCCCAGCCCCAGGCCCTGCCCTCACCAGTCATCCCTGGGTGGCTTTGGGCTGGTGACTCCCGGGGCTCCCTACTGCAGACTCTGCCCTCCCCTCCTGCTGCCCCAAGCTCGACCTCCCTAGGCTTCTTGGGCTGGCGTCTCTGAGGACCTGGGTCGAAACCGTGTGTTTCCCTCCCCCATCGTGGAGCAGCGACTCGGGCATCGCGCTGATGTGGTCCCCTCCCCTGGGAGGAGTGGAATGCAATGATGTCACAGTGCCCCTAGGAACTGTCATTACTGCTGCAAGACCAGCCTTTGATCTTACAACCCAGTCCCCTAAGTTTTCTCACCCCATTTCTGGTTCCTCTGGTTGCAGCACAAATTTCCAGCTGGAAGGGGAGTGGAGACTATGGGACCTAGGAGCAAGAGGTTTCAGGCTGCCTTACTCCCTTAACATAGACATTGACAGTGGGAAAAGCCTACACTTCCCCTGTGAGCTCAAAATGTTCACAGTATCTCTGGGTGGCAATGGGAGAATGGGTTTGGTTTGGTTTTTTCCCAGGCTTCTACTTTCCAGAGAGACTTTAACATTTTTTTCTGAGTTCTCCACGGTTCTGGGACCAGACTGCCCTTCAGTCAGTGGCCTCTGAAGTGAGATTTGCTCATCTTCTGTGGAATAGATCTTGGGAAACTGAACTTGACAGCTTGAATCTTCCTCATATCGTCTCAACCTGGGGTACTTTGAGTGCCACAGGATAAATGCGGGACATCTTTCTGAAGCATCATTTTCCCTTGATTCTCTTGAGAAAATGCATTAATGTACTTGGGGATGACAGACACATAGGTTTCCAAGCGTATACCAGACTTTGCTCTGAAATGAGGCTTGGGTTGTCCTCTTTCTGATAAATTCCCAGATTTAATAGAAAAGCTGCCTTCTGCCATGAGGACACATTGATATGAAAGTGTGAGAGGTACTGGTACGCTTCTTCACGCTAGCAGACCTGTGAGGATGTATGACTCTAAACCACACGGCCTACAGTTCCTGCCTGCTTAATGTGTGCTTTTCTACCTCTGCCCCTGGTTTTGGTCCCTGGAAGCTGCTGATTCATGGCAAAACCCCAGAGCGTGGAGTCAGAGGACTGAGTTTAAGTTCCAGTATTGCCTTTTTTGATCTTTCTTTTTTTTTTTTTTCTATCCATGATATGAATCCCTCTCAGTCACTGATTGTGACAACACCTTGTACGGTTGTTGGTGGCATTACATCAGATGGTATATAAGGGTATTTTGTCAAAACTGTAAAGGAGGATGTGGCTGTAGGGGCTGATCATTCTCATGAGTGTTACTGCTCTTCTTTCCCACAGTTAAAAGCATATTGGCAGAGGAAGAGCCCTGGCATTCCAGCAGGAGCTAACAGGAAAAAGAAAGTCAATGGCAGTAGCCCTGACACAGCCACTTCTGGTGGTTACCACTCACCTGGGGATGTGAGTCTCGGCGGGCCAGGCTCCTGGGGACAGGGGGCCCAAGGGGCAGTAGAGGGTAATTGTTAAGATTGTAGATGGACTGTTGGGTACTGGTTAAGAATTCTGGATTTGAATCCTGCCTCTCCGTCTGCTAAGAATTGATTAGGGATTGATTAGCATATGATTTAGGGCAAGTTGCTTGAGGTCTTTGGGCCTCTCTTTTCACATCTGTATAATAGAGGTGGTATTTTTTGACTTCCATTTGTGAAGTTTAAATGAGATTCGTTATTGTTGCTTTTATGTGAATCCTTAGTACATGGCCTGCTGCAAACACCCAGGACACTGAGGAAATGGTCGTTGCTGTTTGATTTTCCTCATCCCCAGTCTCAAGGGGAAGCCAGGCCAATGAGAAGAGCCACTTGCCATCAGGCTGTCCCTTTAGGAGTCACTGAAAGGGCCCCAGGGTGGGATGGTGGGGAGATAAGAACCACGAGAGAAGTTGGCACAAAGGAGTTATGGGGAAAAGGGTCCAAGATAGGCAGAAAAGAAGCTTTTGCCAGTTGATGGGGGAAGAAAGGAAGTCAGAGGGCTTAGACAGTGAGGGGGGACAGAACATCTCCATGTGCACTCTCATCTCTTGCAGTCAGCAACAGGTGTCTACGGGGAGGGCCGTGCATCCTCTACTACCCTGCAGGATCTGGAGGTAAGAGGCCCTGGGCCGAGGTGCAGTGACCCTGCAGGCCAGCCCTCCAACCTCCTCCCACAGCAGGGGCTTGTTGCCCCTCTGCCAGCTGAGGCAGCCCACACACCCCCACCAGCCCTAATGATTATTCTCTCTACCCCTCCCCACAATCTTCCTCCAACTCCTTCTCTCTGCATGCACCTCAGAGCCAGTACCAAGAACTAGCAGTGGCCCTGGATTCAAGCTCCGCAATAATCAGTCAACTCACTGAAAACATCAATTCACTGGTAAGAGTCCAGTGGGGTCCCCTGATTACAGCTGGTCAATCCTGGACTCCAGTTTCCTCTTGGGGCCCTGAAGAAAGGAGCTAAGGGCCCCTGATGCCAAGGGCAAATGGGGAGCTGGGCACCCAGGTCTCACCTGGAGGGACCCCAGAGCACAGAACATGCAGCATGGGTCTTCTGCACTGCCCTCTTTGCTGACTCTCTCTTCTCCAGACACCCCTGCTCTAGTCCTTGCCACACATGCCCTGGGGTTGTCACCTCTCTGGGAAGCACTAGCCTGACTGGTTGTCAGGGGTCCATATTTCTGCCCTGCCTCAGTCCCTAATTTGCTTTTTGAGTCTGGACAAGCCATCTCTCCTCTTTATGCTCGTGTTTCTGGAGGAGGTAGAGAGTATCAAAGGTCTTGGTTAGCTCTGAAAGTCAGAGATTTAAAGGCCCCTAGAATGGAAACCTCAGGGCCAAGGGCTCCTGTCTGTCCTTTGCTGTTTTATATCTCTGCTATGAAGAACTGTACCTGGCCTGTACATGCTCAGTAAATGTTTGTTGAATGAATGCACGTTTCTAAATCACAAACTGGCAGAAGGGGGGTGGGCCTTTCTCAAACTCTGTCTCTGGACGTTCACCAGCCCCTCCCTCCAGGGCCCTTTTCCCCCTTTGCTTTGGGCAGGTTCGCACATCTAAGGAGGAGAAGAAGCATGAGATACATCTGGTACAGAAGCTTGGGAGGAGCTTGTTCAAACTCAAAAACCAGACGGGTAAGATGGGGCTGGCATGACCTGGCAGCTGGACTGGCATTAGAGGGCTGTGGGGGTGACTTAGAATGCCCCAGGGAGGTGGGTGGATGGAAGGGCTTTGAGGCAGAGGGAAAGAGGTCTGTGCCAGGGGAGGACAAGTCTTGTCATCTCCATGAGCCTCAGTGTCCCCATCAGTAAAGAGGGAGGAGTGCCCATTGTCAGCCACCCACAGTGCTCTCTATCTGAAAGTGACTTGGAAGATTGTCTACCATCCGGGTGTGAGGAGTCATTAGCAGTGAGGCCAAGTTTGGGAAGCCTGAGAGGAGGAGCTGTGCACCAAAGGGAGGATTTTTTTTTTTTTTTTGAGAATCCAGAGGCCCTTATTCTCTGCTTGCTTTCTCAGCTGAACCCCTGGCCCCAGAGCCCCCAGCAGGGCCATCTAAGGTAGAGCAGCTACAAGATGAGACCAACCACCTAAGGAAGGAGCTAGAGAGTGTGGGAAGACAGCTCCAGGCTGAGGTGGAAAACAATCAGATGTTGAGTCTCCTGAACAGGAGACAGGAGGAGAGGCTACGTGAACAGGAGGAGAGGCTACATGAACAGGAGGAGAGGCTACATGAACAGGAGGAGAGGCTGTGTGAACAGGAGGAGAGGCTACGTGAACAGGAGGAGAGGCTGTGTGAACAGGAGGAGAGGCTACGTGAACAGGAGGAGAGGCTGTGTGAACAGGAGGAGAGGCTACGTGAACAGGAGGAGAGGCTGTGTGAACAGGAGGAGAGGCTACGTGAACAGGAGGAGAGGCTGTGTGAACAGGAGGAGAGGCTACGTGAACAGGAGGAGAGGCTGTGTGAACAGGAGGAGAGGCTACGTGAACAGGAGGAGAGGCTGTGTGAACAGGAGGAGAGGCTACGTGAACAGGAGGAGAGGCTGTGTGAACAGGAGGAGAGGCTATGTGAACAGGAGGAGAGGCTGTGTGAACAGGAGGAGAGGCTATGTGAACAGGAGGAGAGGCTGTGTGAACAGGAGAAGCTGCCAGGGCAGGAGAGGCTGCTGGAAGAGGTGGAGAAGCTGTTAGAACAGGAGAGGCGGCAGGAGGAGCAGGAGAGGCTGCTGGAGAGGGAGAGGCTGCTGGACGAGGTGGAGGAGCTCCTGGAGCAGGAGAGGCTTCGGCAACAGGATGAGAGGCTGTGGCAGCAGGAGACTCTGCGGGAGCTGGAGAGGCTGCGGGAGCTGGAGAGGCTGCGGGAGCTGGAGAGGATGCTGGAGCTGGGGTGGGAAGCCCTGTACGAGCAGCGGGCCGAGCCACGCAGCGGCTTCGAGGAGCTGGTACGTTGCCCCACCTGGGGAGGCTGCCCTCTTCCCTAGCCCTCAAGGCCTTTGTTTCCCCACCTGTAAAATGGGGCATTGTAGCCTTCACATGAAATGGTACTTCTAAAGGCATCTGTGAGCCAGAGCCCCGCTCTGATGGCTGTGGGAGAGAGGGGATATTTTTCTAACCTGCCTCCACCCTTCCCGGTGCCATGGGAGGCAGACACTAAGTTCTGGGGTCTCCAGTTTTAGTGGGTGGCCACTGATTGCTTCTCTCTGTCCAGAACAACGAGAACAAGAGCACACTGCAGTTGGAGCAGCAAGTAAAGGAGCTGGAGAAGTCGGGTGAGCTGAAAGAGACTGTAACCTCCGACCCATCCAAGAAGATGTGGGAGGCGGGCACCAGCCTCTGGGGAGGGGAGGTGCCAGGCCACAGGCAGCTGCAGCCTGGGGACAGGTGACCCCAGCACCCTCCGGGGCAGTCCTATGACTGTTTCTTGCTTCCTGCCCTCTGACTTTTAGAGGTGGGTAGCCCTGGGGCCCTCCCAGGTCTGGACATCATCATCATCCCAGCTAGAGGCATGGAGCCCCCCAATCACAGAGGAAGAGACAGTGGTATAAGAGGCTCCTTATGTCGGGTGTGGTGGCTCACGCCTGCAATCCCAGCACTTTGGGAGGCTGAGGCAGGACAATCACTTGAGGTCAGGAGTTTGAGACCAACATGGCCAACATGGTGAAAGCTCATCTCTACTAAAATTAAAAATAATAATAATAATTAGCCGGGCCTGGTGGTGCATGCCTGTAATCCCAGCTACTCAGGAGGCTGAGACACGAGAATCACTTGAGCCCGGGAGATGAAGGTTGCAGTGAGCTGAGATTGCACCACTGCACTGCAGCCTGGGACACAGAGTGACACTCTCTCAAAACAAAACAAAACAGAAAAACAAAAAAGACTCCTTAGATTCAAACTGGATTCCGGCCTCGGTTCCACTGGTCATAATTCAACTACTTTGCATCTCTAAGTCTCTGTTTCTTTAACTTCAAAAGGAAGTTAGCCTTTTCCTTGCAGAGGTGCTGAGGATTAAATGAGATAATACGTGGAAACATTAGGCATGTAGCACACTTAGCAGATGGTGGTTGGCTCCGCCTGCTTTTCCACCAGTCTGTGGCCTACAGTTTACATGCTGGGAAAAAGGACGTGAGATTTGATGCTAGGGAAGGAGGCATGGGGTTCTAGGCAAGGGAGACAGTCTCTTAGGCCTGGAGCAAGGGGCCAGGGGCCTGGGCAGGCCACAGAGCCCCACAGTGCCCTCGCTACCCTATTAATGGGCCAGGAATCTGGAAGCCAGCCACCACATGTCCTCATGCCCAGGGTCTTCCGGCAGGTGGAGCTGAAGAGCCAAGAGGCTCCGAGTCTGCAGCAGCAGCCAGACCAGTACCTGGAGCCCCAGTCCCACAAGGAGCTTGGATGTGCGGACAAGCAGGGTGGTGAGTAGAGCCCTCAGGCGGGGTGGGCAGGCAGGAGCAGGGGAGGCTCGCACTGTGCCCAGATTCCCACCCCCTCCCTCTCTCTGAAGATCTTAGTGAGCTGAGCCTCACTGATAGCATGGAGGCTGCACCGGGACAGGACAGGGAGGGTTCTCCCCCATGACAACCCCACTGCACAGCAGATCCAGCAGCTGCTTCCTCTAATGCAGGACTCCCCAGGAGCACCCAGGCTTGAGTGGAGAAGCTGTTGGTACAGGAGAGGCGGCAGGAGGAGCAGAAGAGGCTGCATGCCATTCTTTTCGGGCTGCGGAGAACAGGGAGCTAAACATCACCATCATCTAAGAGCGGGTCAAGAAATTGAAAAAAAAAAAAAACAAAACATTTAAGGGGTTAATATCCTACACAATTCATTTACTTCATTTGAATGTTAGAGCCACTTATGTTTATTTGTGTTTCTAATTTATAGTTTAAATTTATTTGTGTTTCTAATTTATAATTTAAATTTATTTGTGTTTCTAATTTATAGTTTAAATTTATTTGTGTTTCTAATTTATAATTTAAATTTATTTGTAAAAAGTTAAATGAGAGTGGGTCTTTCTCTCATGTTCACTCTGGCATCTTTTAGCATTTTTTTAATTTGATAATTATAGGACGTTAGCATGCATATCGAGTTTGCCCTTATGTGGTGGGAGTTCAAACACACAAAGACCCACTGTATGCACACAACTGTTCTTGCTGGTTTGGGATAGGCTGCCATGCTTTTTTAATGTTAGTACAGCCTGTATATTCATTACGGAATTCAGATAAAATTTCCTTATGTTCTGCTGTTATGTTTGATCGAATCCTAATCACAGTGAGCTCTTCATTAGCTCAATATGTGGTTTGCCCTCAAGTGCGCGGTCTATTACTTTGTAATATGCCACTGTGAGTACTGACATTTACAGTTGTTTAAAGGTGGAGCACTGGAAACAGCCTTTCCCCCTTTTTCTGTGTATTGGGGATGGGAGTAATAACATTTTGGGGAGGTTTTTAAATCTCCCAGAAGAGGAAAGTGGCCTGCTTTGGCAGGTGTGTGCAGGATAGAATATGTTTCATTTGTTCTGGTGCCAAGAATGAGCGCTGTACTACGGTAGTTCCCTTAGGATTTGTATGTGCTCTGGGCTCATGAAGATACTGCCTCATGAGCTGTGGCAGTTGTACTCTTTTTTGATGACCTGAAAAGGGATTATTTCTGAGGAATGAAAGGCTCCCATCATGACTGTGGATGTGGAAAACCTTTTCTAGCTGAGAGCATTTATATCTACAATACATTTTAAAGTCAGAGTTCATGTTCCCTGTTTTAATCACATGACTACATGTCCCAGTACACAAAAGGGCACTGGTTGGCGTTCTCCTTAATGTATTTAGTAAAGATCAGAAGAAATCCTTTAAGAGTTTAAATGCCCCTGGAACAGGCATATACAGGCTCTAGTCAAGAATGAATTCGAGTGAAGGAAAGCTGTGTGACACCTGGCATTCCTCTGTGTTCATGGAGCTTATTTGAGGCTAGAAGATGGATTTTACCATCTAGACCTCTCTGGCTAATAGCTAGTCTTCAACCATCTGACATAGGAATTTACTTCTTTTCCTTGAATGGAGAACACTTTAAAAATAATAACAAACATTATTATAAACTAATATATGTGAGAGTACTTAGTTGAAACAAAAAGGAGTTTTAGTAGACAGTATTATACTACATTTGAAAATCAAGGAGCAGTTTATGCAACGTAAAATGTTTACAAACTGCAGCGCAATCTACTGTTTGTGACTGTCAAAGTGTCATGAGGAAAGTGTCTATACAATCACAGAGTTATATTTCCTCACAAAGTTCTTTACGAAGAGTGAAATATGTTTTTATACCTCTCAGTTTCAGTTAGAGGCATATTTTGTGTAATATTTATGGCTTAAAATGGACTAAAGGTCCTGTTCTTGCCTTGTCTGAACTTGCCGCTTTTGCATTCTTTGAGTTCAGTTTAAAGACACTTACTTTAACTCCATTTTAAACCCTCGGGCTAGAAATCGTACCACTGTTAATTAGCCACGTTATTTGGTCTAACAGTTTTTGTTTATCATTCTGAAACTGAGCTTATCTAATACATTGATAAATTATTTCAAAGGTATTTTTATAGTTCAAATCGCTTCACTTTTACCCTGACACGTATAAATGACTAGGAATGACCTTCAGATAGCGTTTAGCAACTGTAACCAATCTGACAATAATGTGTTCATCAGGTACCTGTGGATTAAATCACATACTGGCATATTTAAGCTGAATGTCAGTCTGAAAAATAAATGTACTATATTAACTCAAATACCACTCTCTGTGTAGGTATTTTGTCATATGTTTAAGAAAAAGCTAAAGAGAATGGAAATCCTATGACAATAACTCAAGTCTTTCTTCAAAGTGCATGCAGTCTCTTGCAGTACCTCATTCAGCCAAGTATTTGTTCTCTTCCTCATTCAGTATAAGGCAGCTTTCAATTTGCTTAGAAGGCAATATTAGAAGGTTAGAGTTCAGCAGAAAGAGAGAATTTTAAAATGTGAGTTCGACTGAATAAATTTGAATTTCTGTAGGAAGTAAAGAATCAAAATACCTATTTAAAGACTGCAATATATGATAATTATTTTTAAAGTAATAGATTAAACCTGATAGGTTTTCCTGAAATGAAAAACAATCAGTTCTAAAACCAAAGCTGATTTTTAGAAAATGTGAAAATGTAAATCAACCCTATCCAAAATAGATTCTCTAAAACTTTATCTTACAGTCACTTTCAAATAACTATTCAAAAATGTAACTGTTAAATTAATGTCTTAAAATAATTTAAAACATTTTAAAATACGAATACTGTAGCTTAAAACAAAGAATCTAGGGGAAGGAAAAGTAGAGAAAGAAATGCCAATTCCAGTCCAAAGCTGTATTTGCCAAGTTTTCTTAGAACGACTTTTACCGATTTATGAATTCTTATACACAGAATGCATGATGGAAATACTGATTTTTGTCTAAAGTGGCATTATTGACTGCTTCTGTGATGCTACTGTAATGTAATAAATTATTAGATTGTTTCAAGGTGCTGTTTTGCCTAAAAATTTTGTGTGTCTTGAAAACTATAGTATTAAAGGTATTGAGACTGTGCAAATGCTGGGCATGCTTGGCATGAGATAATCGGTTTTTATTCTTACAAAATTGTAACCATGTAAGTGTGTTTATTAAAAGAACACAAACTAAAAAATTACAGGAATTAAAGTTGTGGGATGAAAAAGTTACGGGATAAAAAATACTGTGGAAAAGTTGTGGCAAAAAAAGATGTGGGAAAAAAGTAAAAAAAAAAAGTTTTATGAAAAGTTTTTTTAAAAAGTTCTGAAAAAGAAGTTACGGGATTTAAAAAAACATCATGGGATAAAAATAAAAATAAATAAAAGCAGGCCCCTGTCAGCATAAGCCTGGAGAAGTGGGTCTGGAGTCTTCACCCCCACCATGTCCCTACAACCCCTCCCCAGTCAGCCCTTTACCATTAGGGTAGCAAGACAAGACCCCTGTCTAATGGAGGGAGACAAACAGACCCTTTACCACCTTGACCAAGGCTGAGTCCTTACATTTCTGGATGATGATGTTTGTTATTTAAGAGCCAGAGGTTGGTGGAGTTGGTTTGTTTGGAGGAGGTCTGACGGCCTTCTTACTCTCACCAAAGCAACTTTTCCCTCAGGGGGGCTCCCATCTTCTTACTCAGAGAGGCAGCTGAGGCGGGACAGTGGAGTTAACTGTAGACCAGGCCAGGGCACAGGCTGCTGGGGGTGGCCCCCCTTCCCCCGTGTACATACTGTAGCTGTGTAACATTCTGTATCGTACCTAGCGGAGGTTGCAGCTGGCATATGAGGAAGAGGTTCTTATAATTATTCGCGACTGGGAAACTTATTTATTGCTAGCATAGGAGCGAGGAAGGAGGCGGGGATGGGGTCATGGCTCCCTGGTGATGGGACTCCTGTTTTTTTTTTTTTTTTTGCTTTTGATTTTGGAATAAATGGATTTAGCCATACTGCTCGGCCTGGTATGTTCCCATTTCCCTCACTGGGTCCTGCAGTTTGTCCCACTGAATGAGGAGCCCCAGAGTGTCTCAGCATGTCCAGCTGGGCTGTTGGGGACCTTCCAGGCCTGTTACCTGTATGCTGCCTGGTGACACCTGGTGGATTTCATGGGGACTGCCATGGCGCCTACGGAGTACACTCTGGCCCTGACAGCCAACTGGTTGAGAAGCCTGATCTAGCTGTGGCAGGGAAGACAGATACCAGTGCCCAAGGGCACTGACTTCCATCCACCCCAGGTGTCTTCCGTTCTGTCCCCCTGCCTCCCTCTCCTGTCTGCACCGGGTGGCCTGTCTGTCCCTCCAGAGTGCCGGCTGCCCCGCAGGTTCCCTCCAGGCTGAGTTCAGGGCCCTGTCCCCTAGTGGCCAGAGCCGGCTTCACAGGGTAAGAGCCAGCTAAGCTCCAGGGACTTTCCAGGAAAAGTGTCCCTTGAAAAGGGTGTGACCTTTTCACTGCTCCCAACAGCACCCTAAAAATGGCTTGGCCTTTTCCCTCCCCTGAGCTCCATAGAGAACACAGCCAGCAGAGGACACATTCTCTGTCATCCAGAAATGGGTTTCTCAGCCAAGGGACAGCAGGACTGGTAGAGACTGTCAGGCCACACAGCTGCCTGCACAGCACCGCCATGCTTGGCCAGAAGGGCGGGAGGGATGGCGGGGGCTGGCTGTCCACAGGCCGCGCATGTCCCGGAAGCTCACTGGAGGTGGTGCACTTTGGAGGGGCGATGTCAGGAGACAGCTTCCTCTTGCTGGGCTACAAGACTCCACAAGCACAGCACGGGGACTGATTCCCAGTGCTAGAGGCGAGGCAGTTGGCCACGTATATATATGTATATATGTGTGTGTGTGTGTGTGTGTGTGTGAGAGAGAATTTATAGCTATTTATAGAACAGGGCAGGGGCATACCACAGAGGGGGCACAAGTTTCAGCAACGGTCAAACCTGGACGTGTCAGCTCACCACTACAACAGACTAAGTCACAGAAGAAGGGGGCTGGCTTTGGGGCTGGGGGAGCCACTGTCAAGTCACAGGACACCCACCCAGGCAGGCTTGGAAAGGGAGGTCTCTGAGAAGAGGAGGAATCTGTTTAGAGGTCGAAGTGGGGCCTGGGGCTCCCCGGATGGGATGGACTTGCCTGACCCAATCAGCTGGCAGTTGGAGAGAAAGCAGAGAGAAAACGGGTTAGAGAAAAGCCAGAGCTGGTGAGGCAAGTGCAGAGTATGGGTGCGCTGCAGCAGCTGTGGAGGGCCGGGGAGGGGAGGGCGTAGGTGTGGGCATGGCAAGGTTCCTGGAAAAGAGGGGCTGGAAGGGAAAGGGGAGGAAGATGGAGGGAGAAGCCGGAGCTTCATAGGTAGTGCCTGGGGACTGCGGCGGCCCTCCCCACCCCACACACGCTGGCCTCTTTCATGGCACCCAGGCAGTCCACCCATAGTTCAGATGAATGCTCAGCCCCCTCGGGCTTCTCTCTTCTCTGGTCACCCTGTCTTCCAACTCACGGCCCAGGGCCACCTCTTGCTTGGAGAGCCCCATCCAACAGCCACCAGACCTGATAGAGAAGGAACACTGATTGAACCAAAATGGTGGAGCTATAAGGGATGGCTGGCTGGAGTGAATGCCAGAGGCCCCTCTGGGCCATCAGAAAGCCCAGGGTCCTCTGAGGGACCCTGGGGAAGGCAGGGAGGGCAGGTAGCCAGATGCCATTGGCCATAGACTTCTAAGTCTAACAGGGCAGCCTCAACTGGTTGGCGGGGGGCTGCAGGTTACATAGGTGAGGCTGGGCCCTTCCTGCTGGGAAAAGCAGAAGAGGGAGACTCCGCGGCAGGAAAGGGAAGTGAGCTCTCTAGGTGGAGCTCAGCTGGGCCAGCAGCACTATTGGCTGAATAGCACAGGCGACCCCTAGAAGCAACAGGCCAAGGTGCGTGAGCCTGCTGGCCAGCAGTAGTGCTTCAGCAGGGGCCAGGGACCCTGCCTTCAGTCGCACGCTAGCAGCTATCATGGTACCTGGGAGGGAGGGAAGGGGGCTGTGTGTCCTTCCATGGCCTATGAAGTGTGTTGTGGGATGACCGCGTGTATAGGACTCTCAGGCTTTTATCCTAGATCACCACTGGATTGCTGACAGATAGAGGACGTGGGACCGTGACTATCACCCCTAATCTGCAGTGGATTTGGCTCTTGGCACTCCCAGGCTGGGAGCTGGATACCTGCCCTGGCAGCATGACTCAGACTGCATGACAGGTACGGCGTGCCCAGGATGATGTGCCCAGGCCTCTGGCCGCCTGAGTCCAGCCCCCCACACAACCCCCTCCAAGCTCCCAGCCCCTACACCATAAACCATGAGCTCTGTGCCCTCTCTGATGGTTCCACATCTGCCACCTTGGGCATGGAGCCTGTTGTAAGAGCCCCCAGGCTCAGCCATGGAGACCTTGAGCAGTGGCAGTGAGTCCCGTGGCTCACAGGGAGCAAAGTGAGACAGCCAGCAGCACAAGGACAGAAAGAGGAAAGAGCAAGTCTGCAGCTCCAGAAGGGAGGGGCAGGGAGCCTGGCTCTGAGGCTCCAGGTATGCCCCCTGTGTGGAGCTGGGGCAGCGGGGCAGGCAGACCATTCATGCAGCAGGCAGTGAGGCATGTACCTACCATGGCTGACGCTCCTCAGGGGCCACTGATAGTGATTCTGAAAGACAGCTTCAAATCACATGGCAGGTCACATGCATGGGTGGGGCAGGCCTGGGGGTGGGGGACACACACACGCACATGCCGGAGTGTGCACACACATGCTGTGAGGCCCCACGGCCCACATGCACACGCTAACACACATGCCCACAAACAACACGCATACGTCGCCCTCCCCGCCACCTCCCAATGCCCAGCACCCTCACCGGCCGGCACGTGCCACATGGATCTGGGGCGTGCAGCCACTCGGCACACTGAAGCACATGCGTGGGCAGAGTCACAACACAGATGCTCACCCGCACACAGAGGCATTTGCACCAGCTCCCTGCACACTCGTGCCTGGCGTGCTCAGAGGACCACCCATGCTGCTCACGGAGACAGGGCTTGCTCACTAATGTCCGGCTGTCATTTCTCCACCTCAGAGCCTTCCATGGCTCCCTACTGCCTACAGCGTTGAATCCCAACAAGTCATACTCTTTGGACTTTGAAGGTTCTCCACCCTGTGCCCCACCCTCCCCACAGAGCTCTTCCTCATTCTGTCTCTGTTCCCTGCTTTGGCCAGTGGCTATCCGCGATGTGACCCACACTACACCTCTGCCCACACTGCAGCTCTTTACCCAGTTACCCTCCAGTTCCTCACCATGTATGCCTACCTCAGTCATGCCCCAGACTGCATTGAAGCCAGGCTGCCTTGAAGAAGCTCTCCCAGACTGCCCTTTTCCCCAAGGCAGGGTCATGATTTACCAAAGGTTTCGTGTGTGTTAGCAAGACTGGAGTCGGAGCAGGCATCAAACTTTACATCCCATATGTCACACCTCACCATAGATCTGGGTGCCAAATAGCCTGAAGAGTCTGAACTCACGCTGGAAGTTAGCAAAGTGCTCCTACAGCCGCATCTGCAGTTAACATAGTATCCCTATGGCCACTGTCTCCCTTGATCCCCACAGCCATCCTAGGAGAAAGGCAGAACGTCATTTGCTAGAAGGGATGCTGAGGCTCTGGGAGGGAAAGGGACTTGCCTAAAGCCCCAGGGTGAAGCAGCATCTCTGGACTCTCATAGACAGCCTAGAGCTGCCAGCATTCCCTTAGGATCTGTGCCCTCGGGCCTGGCTTAATTTTTTCCTCTGCAAAGAGCCATCTGTAGGGCCAGAGGCTGGCAAAGCCTGACTCATTACTGGACGCCAGTTCCTTTGCCTGACTTTCAGTGATTTCTACCTTACCCTGGGGTTTTATGTTGCTTGTCTCAACACTGTCACTTCTCATTCCTCCACAAGTTGAATTGCTCACTCCAGCCACTTGAAGCATGCTCTTCTTAACACACTTAGCTCTAGGCACATGGTTGGTGCTAAAAAGGAAAAAAAAAAGAAGAGCATTATGTCAATTTCATTGATTAACAAAAGCGATGGCTCCACTGCAAAGCAAAGTTGATACTCCTGGGCCTCTGAGTTCAAGAGCCTTTTAGACAAATGGCTCTGAGCTAAAACATGATCATGCATGCATATGCATCTGTCTTGGTCTGATGAGATAATCTGGATACTTGCTTGTTATCCTTGAGCATTTTCCTGCCTCATTAATGTATGTGTAGCCACCACAATAATAATCATAGCTAATAATGGCTACAGCTGAGGGCTTTCCTGAACCAGGCAGTGGTTTTAAAAACTTTAACCCCTAAAGCTGAGGACTTTCCTAAGCTAGATAGTGGCTTTGAAAACTTTAAAGTTTTCACATAGACTGTCATTGAATAATTTCTGTTTTTCAGATCAAGAAACTGAGACTTACTATCATATTTGGGATTAAGCTAAAAAAAAAAAAAAAAAAGAAAAGAAACAGAGGCTGAACGCTGTCAAGTATTTCACAGCCAGCAGGAAATCGGAACTTGAACCCAGGCAGTCTAGCCCTGGGATCCTTTCCCCTTACCCATTATCCAGTGTTGGCTACACAAAACTAATGAGTACATATTTTCAACTATAGTTTAAGTGGGTGACATATTTTTCACTATATTTTATGTAGGTGACTTTCAGTTTGGGGGTATTCTACTTACACAATCTATTGAGCTGGATATTAACTGAGAGCAAACAGAAACTAATGAACTCTGAAAAACATAAAACATGAGCAACATGACGTCACTGCAAGAGACAAAACAGCACATAGCCTTCTTGTGACTGTATTTTGCTGACAGTCCATGAGCTGATAGCCTGAACTCAGCAGTGCTGTTCCCTTGGGAGACACACACACACACACACACACACACACACACACACACACACACACGAGTTGGTGGTTTTCTGCCCCCCACCCCCACCCCAACACACACACGAGTTGGTGGTTGTGCTGCCCGGAGCCTCCAGTCCGCGAGTGTGAAGAACGGACCAGATGGGTCCAGCAGTGCTGGGTCAAGGCGAGGAGGGGGCAGCCGGAAGCGCGCGCATGCTCTGGACTCCTGCAGCCGCCGAAACGGGTGCGCAGGGGGCGCGCGGGTTGAGGGGTGAGGGGCGACGGGTGTGAGGGGCGAGAGGGACGGGAGCGGGGTAGGGGCAGCCCTTTCCCAGGCGGTAGCGGGGACTGTGGTGCTGTTGCCCTTTTAAGCTGCGGCTTGACAGGAGCAGCGCCTCCTGTCGGTGGAGTCTGTTACAAGGGGAGCAGCCGCCCAGGCCGCCACACAGCTCCCCGCAGAGGCCTCGGTGCCCCTTGCCATTTTCCAGCCCTACTCCGAATAGAGTTGAGGCAGCAGGGAGAGGCGGAGCTGGGAGAGCGCCGCCGAGAGGTCCCGCGGGTGGTTGCGGCCGTGACAGCGGCTCCCGACGGGCTCACCTTCCGCGCCCCTCCCGCCAGAGGTGAGAGTAAAATGTCCGTGTGAGGGTTCAAGGCCAAGCTGAGGTTGTTGGCCTCTATCTTCCACAAGAACCAGGAGCCCCCGCCACAGCTCACGCTCCACTGCAACATCACGGTGAGGCGCCCAGTGGCGGCCTCACGGGCCAGGGCGAGGGCGGAGAGGAGGCGCCCAGAGTCCCGGGACAAAGGGGAGCCTGCCCGGGAGAGGCCCCGGTTCCCCAGGCGGGGCGAGCGCGCCCCTTTCTCCCGCGTCTGGCCCGCCCCGCTGTGTGAGGCTTGCGTGGGAGGAGGGGGAGGGCGCGTCTCTCTGGCTCCTTGCCGCGGGGCTGGCTTGGGGGCTGCCGGCACCTCTCGCCCCAGTCGCTGCGCCCTGAGGTGGGAGCCCGCGTCGCCCGCAGACCTGTTGGGGCCCATGATCGCCCTCAGTCAGCTAGCCTGCTCCCCTGGACCGCGACGGGGCGTGGCAGGGCGGCTCCCGCTGTTGTTTGAGCCCAGTGAGGGAAGGGGAAAGGCCTTTAAGATTTTCGGTTTTTTGGCCGGGCGCAGTGCTCATTCCTGTAATCCCAGCACTATGGGAGACTGAGGCAGCTGGATCTCCTGAGGTCAGGAGTTCTAGACCAGCCTGGCCAACATGGTAAAACCCTGTCTCTACTAAAAATACAAAAATTAGCCGGGCATGGTGGCAGGCGCTTCTTGAGATGGAGTCTCACTCTGTCGCCCAGGCTGGAGTGCAGTGGAGCGATCTCGGCATACTGCAGCCTCCATCTCTTGACAGTCTGTGGGTTCAAGCGATTCTCCTGCCTCAGCCTCCCGAGTAGCTGGGATTACGGGCGCCCGCCACCACGCCTGGCTAAGTTTTGTGTTGTTTAGTAGAGATGGGGTTTCATCATGTTGGCCAGGCTGGTCTCGAACTCCTGACCTCAAATGACCCATCTCTGCCTCCCAGAGTTCTGGGATTACAGGCCTGAGCCACCGCGCCCAGATCCAAGGCCCTTAAGCTTAAATGCCTCGTTCTTCAGTCAGGTTTTCCTTGTTCCCGCATGTTCAGCCAATCGTGTTTAAGGAGAAACTAACAATGAAAACGGACTCGTTGATGGAGGAAAAGTTGGAATGCAGCCTCTGGTGCTGTTTGAGCGATCCCTCTACCCCGGGTCGCTGCTGTGTTCTGGAAAGGCGCATTGTACCCTGGATGCAGCAGGTAAGAGTCCTGTCCAGGTGCTCTGCCCGGTTTTCCTTTCAGGCTTCTGTATCAGCTGTTTTTCCCCTGTAGAATGTGCCCCTGACAGCCACCCCCTAACCCTACCCAATTTGTCTTTACGTGTCTGACCATCAAGGCTCTTCTGGGTCATATTTAATTCATGCTGATATTTCCCCTTCCTCCCCTCTTTAGTCCTATTTTTGCTTTGGTTATGTTATGCTATATTCTGTAAGGCTTTAAAAAAATTTTTATGGTGGCAGGGGAGAATGTTTTATAATTATGCTTTGTGCTTTTTATCTTCCACTCAATAAATGCTTGGTAAATATTTGTTTTATTGAATGTATGACCCTATTCTAGCTATATTGTGCTTGAACAAAAACCTTAACTGCCTAGTAAGTTAACTGCTAAGAATTTGTCAGAAGTGCAGACATAACATCAAGAACTTGTCATGGATAGTACAAAAACGTCACTTAAGGGCTTGGTGGAAGCCTGTAAATTGACTTCCTATGAAAGAGAGTGTAAGAAGTGAAAATGTAAAGCATGACTGGAGAGCCAGAGTGATGAAGCCAGGGTCCCTTTCTCCAGATCCTTTGTAACAGTGTTATGTGATCTCTTCTAGAAGATCGTTCTGAAAGATAATGCCAACTCGGAACCTAGGAAACCATCCAGTGGGTTTCTGCAGCTTAGGTGTTTCAAATCCTCATCAGCACGTTTGTTTTCTCTGCCTCAGTTTGCTTACAATGATGTTCTCAGTAGCTACAATTGCTGTCTTTGAATACGTAAGCATTTTTTTTTAGGTGACAGGGATATATGTGCATTTTTATTTTACCAAGTGTTAGAATTTTGACTCTGCTTTTGTGGGCTCTGGGTTAGCTACTTGGTTGTTGTAAAATGATTAGCAGGGAAAGCTGTGTGTGTGTGTGTGTGTGTGTGTGTGTGTGTGTGTGTGTGTGTGTAAGTTTTTGTTGTCAGAGGACTTAGAATTTTATTTTATATGGTAATTCTGTCAATTTACTTTATTCTCCACCCCACATTTATTGAACAGCAAATTATGAAAGTAATGTGTCCCATAAGCAGCCTTCAGAAGAATTACAACTGCTGTATATCTGAAATTCTTTTTTTTATTTTTTATTTTGAGATGGAGTCTCACTCTATCACCCAAGCTGGAGTACAGTGGTGCAATCTTGGCTCACTGGAACCTCTGCTGCCCAGGTTCAAGCAATTCTCCTGCCTCAGCCTCCTGAGTAGCTGGGATTACAGGCACCTGCCACCGCACCTGGCTAATTTTTGTAGCTTTAGTAGAGACAGGTTTCACCATGTTGGCCAGGCTGGTCTTGAATTCCTGACCTCGTGATCTGCCTGCCTCAGCCTCCCAAAGTGCTGGGATTACAGGTGTGAGCTACCGCACCTGGCTGAACTTTCAAGAAGAAGTTTGTGCATCAGTTTTCAAAAAATTATGATATCAAAAGATAGCTGTGCCCTACATTTGGAAAGATACAAAAACTGAACATACTGGCAGGCAGTTTTGCTTGCTGGTGCTTGAGATAGAGGCACACATTGGTCTCAGTGGAATTATGGAGAAAAATAGATAAAGTTATTTCTAAATAAGACCAAAAAATCCTTTTCTTAAGCAGTGACAGGTAAAGAGGTTGTCTTGACTAACCTTGAATTGTGTTGCCCTTGATTGAGACAGTTTTATGGTGGGATGGTAGTGGTGATAAACTTGCTGGAAATTTGTCTGCTTATAGTAACCTTTGTGGTAGCTGTCACAGACAACTTCATCCTCACAGGCCTTGAAATTAGTATAAAACTAACAGAATGGAGGAGAAACAAAGGACCTGAATAATTAGATGCTTAGATAATTGTTCCGTGTTTTCATAACTGGTGAAAAAGAGCAGTATTAGAAGCACTTACACATTCTATAGAAGGAACACTGCCTGAATTTATATTGCGATTTTTGAGCACCATTAACTGTATAAAAACAGGCATATTGTAGGTAATATTTTAAAGACAAACAGAAAATTTATCTTTTCAAGATGGATCTAAAACTTATCAAAATTACAAAATTTAAAACGTGATTGAAAAATATTAATGCATAGGTTTAAATATTGGTCATTTTAAATGTCTTTCAAAATAGATTGTCTCTTAAATATTCAACTGAACAAACTTTGAACATGTTGTAGAGTTTGTGCCAAAGGTTAAATTTCCTGGGGTGATGGATATTTTGTAATATGGAAAACAAAACCTTCTTATTTTAAGAAATTTAGAAAACTTTTAGGCAAAACTAGAAAATATTACCTATGTAATTCTACCACTCAGAAGGTGCCACTGTCAGAAATTTGTATCTTTCCAGTCATCTGCTCACCTCTTTTCTCCTGTGCTTGTATATGTTTCCTCTCCCTTAAAAATCAGATATTTGTTTGTAATCTGCTTTTTCACTCAACAGTATTGTAGATCCATGTTATAACTTACTCCTCTACATTGCCTTCAGTTATTGTGTGCTTTCTGTTGGATGACTTTACCATGTAGTCAGTCATGTTTTCTGGTACTGAATACATACGGGTATGTGTGTGTGTGCGTGCGCGTGTGTGCGTATTTTTTTGTAACTTAACTAATGCTTTAGACATCAGTAGGTAGACGTAAATCCTTGAAACCTTCCACGTGGTGACTTTCAGTTCTCATTGCTGAATTTGTTTCCAGAGATGGAAGAAATTATATTGTATGGGAACTTTTTTTTTCTTTTTTTTTTCTTTTTTTTTTTGAGATGAAGTCTTGTTCTTGTCACCCAGGCTGGAGTGCAATGGCGTGATCTCACTGCAACCTCCACCTCCTGGGTTCAAGCAATTCTCCTGCCTCAGCCTCCCGAGTAGCTGAGATTACAGGCGCATGCCACCATGCCTGGCTAATTTTTGTATTTTTAGTAGAAACGGAGTTTCACCATGTTGGCCAGGCTGGTCTTGAACTCCTGACCTCAGGTGATTTGCCCACTTCAGCCTCCCAAAGTGTTGGGAATACAGGTGTGAGCCGCTGTGCCCAGCCTTTTTTTCATCTCAGTACCAGCTTTTATTTATCAGATTGGTAAAAATGTTAGAAAGTGTGCAATGAAATGGGCATTCTTACAGTCATGGCAAAAAATATAATTATCTTTGACTTTCTAGAAAGTAGTTTGGCTTTCTAGAAACTTGTTTGAATTCTCCCTGTTTAGGCAGGATGAATTCTCACTACCCCAAGGTGGCCAACCTTGTCCCTGTGATTCCATCTCTCCCAGAAAGAGAGGTCTAGTCTCAGGGAAAACCCAGATTTGTTTGGCTTAGCCCACCTGACAGCTAATCACTGGAAATGGGGTGGGCTGGTAGAATGCTTTGGTCAGGTTTTGTGTTGAGAGAGAGGTGGAAAGATGGGAGGGAGGTAGCAAAACTTGCCTCAGTGGAACTATGTAAGTTAATATAGAATGGCAAAGGGATGTTTCTTCCAAGGAAGAAATTCTAGAGAAGGAAGAAAGTGGAGGGGAAGGCAGCAGTTCTCCAAGTTTTGGGGTCAGGATTCCTTTACACTCTTAAAAATACATTGAGGTCCCAAGGAGCTTTGGTTTATGTAGGGTATATCTATTGGTATTTATCACTAGAAATTAAATCAGAAATATTTAAAATATTGTTTAAAAGCTCACCACATATTGTTATAAATGCTTTTATGAAAAGAAAATTTCTAAACCCAAAGTAGTACAGTCTTACATCTTTTGCAAATTATTTTGATGTTTGATATGTCATTTGCATGATGTTTGATATGTCATTAGCAAATTGATATGTCAGTTTGCTTCTGCATTCAATTTATTGTGTGATATTTTCTTGAAAAAATGTGAACAAAGGCCAATCTCATACAGATAACCATTTTAGATCATTGTGGATATATATATTTTTTTGAGATGAGGTCTTGCCCTGTTGCCCAGGCTGGAAGGTAGTGGTGTGATCACAGCTCACTGCAGCCTCAGTCTCCAGGGACTAAGGTGATCCTCCCACCTCAGCCTCCAGAGTAGCTGGGACTACAGGTGTGTACCACCACACTTGGCTAACTTTTTGTATTTTTTGTAGAGACAGGGTTTTGCCATGTTGCCTAGGCTTCTTTTTTGATACTCCATCAAATCTTGGTTTTTCTTGAACTTTGGATCTTCCACCCTTGCATGATATTACAACATCGTGCATTGGTCACTTATAAAACAGTGGTTCACTAAGATCTTCTACATGTTGATACATTTGTACAGTATCAAAATACATTCATCAGTACCACCATCAATCTCATCAGAATACTTTTGGAAAGCGATGGTGGGCATAAGTTTTCTAAAATTCTAATTTTTTGTTCAAAAGCTTGAATTTTATTAGTAATTTTGTTATTGAATTTTATTATAGCCTGTCTGTTGTTTTCCTTGAAATGACAGAATCTCATGTTTTGAGAAAATATCTGCCAGAAATGCGAGTTAAAATAACATTTTTTGTCAGTCAGCCTTTCAAGTAAAAATGGTATTCCATTAAAGTGGTTAATTCACTTCAAGACTTAGTCACTCAAGGGTTTTTCCTCAGGCAGCCTGTAGGAATGCTCATGTATACTTCCCATTTCATCACTTGAAATATTAAAAAGATATATTCAATGATTTAGATATAGTAAAATATTCACTGCTTCATCATAGACATTCTTTTTTTTTTTTTTTAATTTTCGAGACAGGGCCTTGTTCTGTCACCCAGGCTGGAGTGCAGTAGCGTGATCACAGCTCACTGCAGCCTCAACTTTCTGGGTTCAGTCAATCCTCCTGCCTCAGCCTTCCAAGACGCTGGGACTACAGGCATGCAGCCACTGTGTTCAGCTAATTTTTGTATTTTTTGTAAAGATGAGGTTTCACCAGGTTGCCCAGGCAGGTCTTGAACTCCCGGGCTCAAGGGATCCCCCTGCCTGGGCCTTCCAAAGTGCTGGAATTACAGACATGAGCCAAAATTCCCAAACTTATCATAGACATTCTTAAATGAAACTGACCTTTTGTTGCCCTTCCTTTTTATTTTTATTTTTGGAGATGGAGTTTTGCTCTGTTGCCCAGTCTGGAGTTACATAGGTGCAATTTCAGCTCAAGGCAACCTCTGCCTCCCAGGTTCAAGTGATTCTCCTGCCTCAGCCTCCTAAGTATTTGGTAATACAGGCATGCACCACCACACCGAGCTAATTTTTGTATTTTTAGTAGAGATGGGGTTTCACCATGTTGGCCAAGCTCGTCTCAAACTCCTGACCTTAAGTGATCCGTCTACCTCAGCCTCCCGAAGCACTGGGATTACTGGTGTAGGCCACCATGTCCCACCCACCCTTCCTTTTTAAACCTTTCCTGTGCATAATGAAGAATACCATGACTACTAGTAGTTTGGTGTTACTGCTTTTGTTTGTGCTAAAGTACCAGCATTTTTACCCACCATTGTATTTGCACACTTACAGCAAATGTCACCATGTTAGTATTCCTGTCAAAATAGTTTGGACTTGGGGGTCTGAGGGCCGCACTTTGGGAACCATTGAAATAGGTACTTAGACGTACTAGATATCATATCTTTTCATCTACAAGGTTTTTAAAAACTTGATTTCAGTTAATTTTTTTTTGTAATTTTTAAAATATGGTTTTGAGGGGTTTCAGTCCAGAGCAACAACACGTATTTTATTTTGCTTATGCTGAAGTTTACTAGAAAATACTAACCTAACAGAATGAAGTCCTAAATCTAATTGAAATTTCCTTAGCCAAAAGTAAAAAAAAACGAAAATTAAAAGTGTAAAAATAGTCCATATGGTGTATTCTCAGTGTATGCTGAAGAATTTATAGAAGAAAATGCAATACTGAGGAACTGGTGTTCTTTAAGAATAGGGTTGGCTGGGCGCAGTGGCTCATGCCTGTAATCCCAACACTTTGGGAGGCCGAGGTGGGTGGATCATCTGAGATTAGGGGTTCGAGACCAGCCTGACCAACATAGAGAAACCCCGTCTCTACTAAAAATACAAAATTAGTGGGGCATGATGGCACATGCCTGTAATCCCAGCTACTCAGGAAGGCTGAGGCAGGAGAATTGCTTGAACCTGGGAGGTGGAGGTTGTGATGAGCTGAGATCGTGCCACTGCGCTCCAGCCTGGGCAACAAGAGCGAAACTCGGTCTCAAAAAAGAAAAAAAAGAATAGGAGTAATTCTGAAGAGTTTCTTTTAGCCTGTAAAGAGATTTGGAACACAGTAAGAGAGGAATGAGAAGAATGAGAATAGTAAAATAAACCATTATTGAAGAGATATACTGTTAATGATGTCCTCCATCAATACAACTTGTTTTTCTTTTTGTTTGTTTGTTTTTTGAGATGGAGTCTTGCTCTATCGCCAGCCTGGAGTGCAGTGGACATCTCGGCCCACTGAAACCTCTGCCTCCTGGGTTCAAGTGATTCCCCTGCCTCAGCCTCCTGAGTAGCTGGGACTACAGGCACCCGCCAGCGCGCCCAGCTAATTTTTTTGTATTTTTTTAGTAGAGATGGGGTTTCTCCGTGTTAGCCAGGACGGTCTCGATCTCCTGACCTCGTGATCCGCCCACCTCGGCCTCCCAAAGTGCTGAGATTAGAGGCGCGAGCCACCGTGCCCGGCCCATCTTGCTTTTCTTAAAAAGGAACCTTCAGTAAATATTTGGTTTCTGTGGCTTCAGCTTTAACTCAGATTACAGTTTTCAAAGCAGTGTTGCCTAAAGTTGTTTGTGCAAAATTGTTTTCTGTGACTTGAACCTAGTTATTCTGAAACTAATATATAATAATAATGGTTTTTCCCCAATTTATAATAGAGAACAGTACAAAGTAACAGCGGGAACGTCTGTTAGTGGGTGAAAGCACATAATGCATAGTTCATTAGCTTTTTTAAAAAATCACATGTAATTGTGTTACAAAAATATATGTATAGTAATGGCATTTACTTGGTATTACTTGGTTTGTGTGATAGAATAAAATATTAGAATTTTATGGTGTTTGAGTTAGTTATCTATTGCTCTGTAACAAATTGAGCAGCTTAAAATAACAAACATTATCTCAGTTTCTGTGGGTCAGGATTCTGTCCAGTTTACCTTGGGTTCACTGGCTTGGCCTCTCACCAGGCAGTGAAGGTGTTGATGGTGGCTGTGATCATCCCAAGGCAGGATAGGGAGAGAATCTGTCTCCAAGCTCAGGTTGGCAGGATTCATCTCAGAGGCTGCTGGACTGGGCCTCCGTTTCTAGATGGCTATTGGTCAGAGGCTTTTTACAATACCTTGTCACGTGGGCCTCTCCATAGGGCACCTCATCACATGGCAACTGGCTTCCATCAGAGGGAGCAATGGAAAGAGCAGGAGAAGGGTGACTAAGGCAGGCATCGTAGTCTCCTTGTAGCCTCACCTCAGAAGCGATGTTACTTTTGCTGTATTCTCTTTGTTAGAAGTGAGTCACTAGGTCCAGGGGTGGAATTTTACAAGGGTGTGAATGGCAGGAGGTGAGGGTGATCAGGGCCATTTAGAGGCTGCCTACCAGTGTTGAAGAAAATTGTTGACTTCTATGAGCTGTAGCAGCAGACAGTGCTATGCAAGGAGAATGGCTGTCTCAGAAGTCCAGCTCCTCACATGGGTTTAAACGTGTTGCCTTTTCCCCCTGATACATTTTGTTTAAATCCATGGTCATCTTGCCATTTAGTGGTGTGGTTTAATTGCATATTTGGGTTAGTCTGTATGTAAACATTTAACATAGGTGTCTCTGGGTTAAACAGGAATCCTATTCATCTTCTTCACCGATATGGTCTGTGGACTCTGATGAGCCAAATCTGACATCAGTTCTGGAACGTCTAGAAGATACTAAGGACAACAGTTCGGTAAGGAAAGAAACCAAGCTATTTTCTCTTTTCCTCATGAACATTATATTTAGAAATTAAATGTTAAATGATAATATTATATAAAAACATGATTAATAACTATAATCTTAGAGGAATTAAAGTCTGGGTATTTTAAGTCCTCCAAATCTTATTTACTACCTGGTTTCTCTTTATTATTTCCCACATGTATAATCTTAGTTTAGATTAGCAATTCGGGATCTCTTTTTCCCTGAATTCTAACCATTAAGCCAAGCAAGCATTTTGGGTGGAGACCACTAGCCAAGGTGGGAAGTAGAAAGAAGACCAAGGTGGAAGTGAAGGGAGAGATGGGGAGAATGACACCAGAACTAGTGGGAGGGAATTGCCTTTTCTTTCAAGGGTCTGTAAGTCTGCAGTAAAAGTCAAAGGTATTCAAATAGGAAGTTTTGTTTTTGTCTTTAGTATATAAAGAAGCATAACTTTCCATTTTGCAAAAACTTTAGAAATCTTTTTTCTTGATTATAAAACTTATAAGCAACCATTATTGAGAAGATTAGTAAAATATAAAAAAATAAAAATCTCACATAATTTCTCTACCTAATATAAGTACTGTTGACATGATAGCTAGTTTCTATCAGTATGTATTGCTTCTTTGTTATCAAAGTACTTATACCCTTACAGATATGTTTAAATAGTTGAGGTCATATTCTATAAATATCTATAAATAGCTGGGTGCTGTGGCTCACACCTGTAATCCCAGCACTTTGGGAGGCCGAGGCAGGCAGATCACAAGGTCAGGAGTTTGAGACCAGCCTGGCCAATATGGTGAAACCTCATCTCTACTAAAAATACAAAAATTAGCCCGGTGTGGTGGCAGGTGACTGTAGTCCCAGCTACTCGGCAGGCTGAGGCAGGAGAATTGCTTGAACCCAGGAGGCAGAGGTTTCAGTGAGTCGAGATCGCACCACTGAGGTCCAGCCTGGGTGGCAGAGCAAGACTCCATCTAAATAAATAAATTATGTATACACACACATACACACACCCTCATATATATATACACACATATGTGTGTGTATATACACACACACACACACACACACACACACACACATACACCTACACATGACCGATTGCCTCGCCTCTAGCATTGGGAATCAGTCACCGTGCTGTCCTTGTGGAGTCTTGTGGCCCAACAAGAGGAAGCTCTCCCCTGACATTGCCCCTCCAAAGTGCGCCACTTCCAGTGCGCCCCACTGTCATGCCCGGCCTGTGGACAGCCAGACCCTGCCATCCCTCCCACCCCCGACCAAGCATGGGGGTGCTCTGTAGGTAGCTGTGTGGCCTGACAGTCTCTACCAGTCCTGCTGTCCCTCAGCTGAGAATCAAACCCATTTCTGGATGACAGGGAATGTGTCTTCTGCTGGCTGTGTTCTCTGTGGAGCTCAGGGGAGGGAAAAGGCCAAGCTATTTCTAGGGTGCTGTCAGGACCGATGAAAAGGTCACACCCTTTCCAAGAGACACTTTTCCTGGAAAGCCCCTGGAGCTTAGCTGGCTCTTATCCTGTGATAAGCCAGAGGCTCTGGGGGGTGAGGGAGCAGAAACCCTCCTCACCCCAGCCAACGGGGACCTGTATACCTCTGCCAGTCTCTCACTTGGCCTTGCTGCTGTCCTCTGAGACTGCCTGTTCCTCCCTCTCTGTGACTCTACACCACCATCACCTCCTCCAGGAAGTCCTCTGGATTGACTCCTAGCTTATTACATCTTTATTGTGCAGACCCTCTCCATTCAAAGCCCCTCTTCAACTGCCCCCCCCCCCCACTACCTCCAAGACAGAGATTCTGGGTTCTTGCAACTGCAGCCCCTCAGAGAGTGTAAGAGGGGCAGAAAAAGGAGATCAGGAGGTGAGGGAAGCAGCGCTGTCAGAGTTTCCAAAGCCCCGGCCAGCAAGGCCTCAGAGGCCTCTGTTGGAGTGGGGGCCTCCCTGGCTATGCGCTCCAGCTGCACAAGGCAGCCTCTGTGAGCCTCTCCCACTCAGCCCTACAGGAAGCAGCAGGGCCCAGCCTCAATGGACCCATTCAGACCCCAGCGCTCCGGAAAGTACCTCTGCTTCCTGCCACCATTCCACTCTGGCCAAACAGGCTCTACTCTCTTCTGATGGGAGGAGGCCGCAGGCAGGTGGTTCAGTGGTTAGGGCCAACCATCTACTTCAGTTCCTGTCTGGCCCAGATCTCTGACCTTGACCATGCCCTAGTGGGTGTATGTATACCTTTAGTGCAAGGGTGGTGTGACAGTTAATACTGAGTGTCAACTTGATTGGGTTGAAGGCTGCAAAGTATTGACCTACTGGAAGTGTCTGTGAGGGCATTGTAAAAGGAGATAAACATTTGAGTCAGTGGGCTGGGGAAGGCAGACCCACCTTTAATACTGGTGGGTACCATCTTTCTAATCAGCTGCTAGCGAATATAAAGCAGGCAGAAAAACATGAAAAGGTAAGATTGGCCTAGCTTCCCAGCCTACATCTTTCTCCCATGCTGGACACTTCCTGCCCTCTAACATCGGACTCCAGGTTCTTCAGTTTTGAGACTCGGATTGGCTCTCCTTGCTCCTCAAACTTGCAGACAGCCTATTGTGGGACCTTGTGATTGTGTAAGTTAATACTTCATAAACTCCCCTTTATATATCTATCTATATCTATATCTATTATCTATATCTATATCTATATCTATTATCTATATCTATATCTATATCTATATCTATATCTATATCTATATCTATATCTATATCTATATCTGTCTATATCTCCTATTAGTTCTGTCCCTCTAGGGAACCCTGATTAACACAGGTGGGTAGGCACAGGGAGATGTGCCCCCTTCCCCGTGGGTGCTGGGTAGGTAAATGTTTCGCAAAGGGCTTTGTTGGGGAGAGGGAACCCTGATTTTCAGTATTTGCCTCTTTTCCTGGTATAAATATTCCCACTGTGGGCAGTATCACCTGCCTCTCAAAATTCCTGAAAATTCAACAGTTGGCTCCTGGCAGCTGCTGTGAGCCGTTCCAGCCGGTGACTGTGGTGGCTCCATCCTGCAGGGCCATGTGCCCCCACCCCTTGTGCTATGGCCTCCCTCACTTTAGTGTGCTGTGTTTTGCTCTTAGGAATCAATGTCTTTGCAGATAAGGCACCCCAGTAGCTGGCCGCCACCTGCAGTTCCCTGGTCTGTCTCTTGCTGGCACCAAGCTGTGCTGTGCCTGCTGAGACTGCTGGGCCACCCCCGTGCAGATGGTCTGCGGGGCTTGCTTGATTCCCTTAGCTTCCCAGCCAAGGTGCTGGTGTTGCCAGCAGTGCTGGCAGGAGGAGGGGATAACTAGAGGGGATTTAACTCAACCCGAGGGGCTCTTACGGGATCTTTCCTGGATATCCCTCCAGGTGGGACTGGCTGCCCTGAGGGTATACAAACCTCCAACTCCTCCAATGGCTGAAGCTACTTCCTCGAGCAGATGGCAGCTGGCTCAGGCTGGCTAGGGACCAGTGCATGTGAGGTCGGTGCTGGATCACCCCATCAAGGCCATCAGCCTGTGCTTGTTCTTGGGGTTTGAGGGAAACCCAACAGGGATGAATCACAGTTTTTAACCTGTGTTTGCCTGCCCCCCAGCCCTGGACATCTGCAGGCAAAGTTAAAGTTATATTTGGCTCTTATCACCGCAAAAGGCATAGACCAGAAATTATGGCATCGGGTTGGAAGTCAGGGAGGCTAATTTGGGGAAACTGCCTGGAGGAAGCAGCAACTCAAAAGAGGAGGAGTCCCAGTGTGGGACAGAACAGGCCCTGCATAAGAACCACTAATCCCAGGCAAGCCCAGACATGGCCTTCTGCCTGGGGAGGCCCTCTTTGGCCTGCTCAGCAGACCCTCAGCCCCTTCTAGGCCCTGTCTTCAGCCTCAGACTGAGTGGTGGCCTGGGGAGGTTGGGAGCTGAGCTGTTCTCATCCCTGGTTCCTTGGCCACGGTGGAAACAATGGGGCCGGATCTGACTGCTCAGCGGGGACTGTGAATAGCTCTCTAGCAGGAAGCAACAGCAGGGGTAGTGGAGGAAGTGTGGGCCCACTTTGGTTTGACACTGCATATGGTCCCCATCTGGCCTGAGAGCCTTTACTCCTTGGCAAACTCAGGCCAATAAGCTCCTGCCCCCACCCTCAATGGCAGCTGGAAGAATGGCCTGAGGGAGAAGCAGGGATAGGTGGGCTGCACTGACATCACCCCCAGATCCCAGCTGTGGCCCCAGCCAACCCATGGAGGTGGGGCATGGCACGGCAGGTGCTGCACAGGAGCCCAAGCACAAGGGCACTTAGGAGAAGGAATCTGAGCAGGGATCGATCTGGCCTGGTGGTGATTCTCCAGAAACTCCATTCCTCAGGGCTGTGACCACCAAGCCAGGTGATCAGGCCAGTGATGTTTCCCTTTGGGCCAGGTCGGGGAGCCAGACCTGGGAGGGAGACTCCTCTGGGGCCCAGGGGAGGTGAGTCAGAGCTGGCAGAGGCCTCTGGCTCCAGGAACCTCCAAGGAGGAGACCTGAGTTGCTGGGAATTTCTGGGTCTGACCTCCTGCCAAGTCAAGGTCTGGGCTGGACACAAGGTGAGGCTGTGCCTTCTGGTGCCAGGACCAAGGAAATGCTGGGATCTGGGCAGTGCTCAGAGGCAGCACCGTATGGCAGAACCATGAGGGTGCACCAGCACGGACCCCTTTCTGCAACCCACCCATCCCTCCCTGCAGCACCTCGCCTCCTCCAGGCAAGAATCTGAGCCTTGACCACAGCTCCCTCTCTCACACAGCTTCCTTCTTTGGTTAGAACCACCCGGAGGTGACTGTGGCCATGGCTCTGACTGACATAGACCTGCAGCTGCAGTTCTCCATGTCCCAACCCGAAGCCCTCCTTCTCCTGGCAGCAGGCCCAGCTGACCACCTCCTGCTGCAGCTCTACTCTGGACACCTGCAGGTGAGTGACGTCCCCCTGGGATTGGGGCGAGATTCCTTGTCTAGCTTTGAGTGAACCCCAGCTGGCTGTTGACCTTGTGTAAGTCACTTTTCTTGGGGTCTCAAGTTCTCCACTGTGGGATGGGCAGCAGCAGCTCAGAAATGGTAAATCCTTCATGAACTGGCTCTGCCCACCGGCTCCTTCCAACCATGTTTCCCACCACAAGCCCTCACTGGCCCTTTGTGCTCTGACTGCACTGAACTGCTTTCAGTTCCTGGCCATCTTATGGTCACTTGCTGCCAGGCCTTTGGTCATCACACTCCTCCTGCCAGGTGTGTGACCCACCCATTCCCTGTACCTGCCGAACTCTAGTCTCTCCTTGAAGTTTCAGTGTGGGCATCCCCTCCTCCTCGGCGAGACCCCCTCCTGGGCCCCCATGACCCCTGCGCATCCTGGTGGCACTGCACCAATTTATCTGCAGCACCACTGTCTGTCCATGAGAGTAACAGCACCAGTACTGCCTCAGCTTCATTTTTCCATTTCATCCTTCAAGACACCACAAGCTTTATTATCAAGGAGTCTTGTGGCTCCTACTTGAGTCTTACCCCATACCAGGAAGAGTTTAAGAACCCAGGGTCTTAGTCCAAATTTGGGGCAGGCTGGGTGCAGTGGCTTATGCCTATAATCCCACCACTTTGGGAGACCAAGGTGGAAAGATCACTTGAGCCTAGGAGTTCAAGACTGGCCTGAGCCACACAATGAGACCCCATCTCTATTTTAGAAGGAAAAAAAAAACAAATTAACAAATTTGGGGCAGCCATCTCTTTCCACACCCCAGTGGGAAGAGGACTAGGGCTTGGTCAGTCTGCTGCTGTCATTGCTGCTCATTGCCACAAGGTGTCACTGTTGAACACCTATGTGGTGCAGTCTGGTGCTGATGGCTGTTGAGCTCTGCAGGTAGTGATGCCACATCCCTACAGAGATGCACCATACCAGGACTCCAAGATCATGGTTCTTAGTGTTCTGCCTCTGCAGTTCCCATACTCTGCCATCACCTATTCTAGCATCTGGGAGCACCATACCAGAGCCATTTCTTGTGTCAATGTCATGGTGACAGAACTATGTCCTTCATCTCTCCTTGAGATATTCCTCCACCACAGGTCAGGCAGCTTTTTTTTTTTTTTTTTTTTCCCAGAACACAGAGCATCTGCCTGGGCTCCCTGTCCCTGAACAGTTAGCCTGGCTTCCTTCAGTGACCTCGAGAAACTTTGCCAAACTTAGGGGGACTGATCAACGGATTCTCAGTTACCCATTATTCCAGGGGTGAAATCTAGATTCCAAGACAATATTTCTGGTGCTTCTCACTCAAGGAAAGAGGAGGAGAATTTAAAAATACAGGTTGGGTTTCTAGAAGAGCATCTTGCTATATGTCAGTTCCTTGTGGGCAAGGACCACATCTGATTCACACCAGGGTCCCCAGAGCCCATCCAGGCCTGGCCCAGAGTTTCCTTTGGTGAGTGTTTGGAGGATGAATAAAGAGATGGCAGGAAGGCAAGAGGAGTGGCACCAGAGGCCCTTGTCCTAGGTTTTCTGCTCTGGGGCCCCCTGTGGGGAACCCACTGTGCTTTTATAAGGGAAATGATGGATTCAAAGTGCTGCCCCCCATCTCCCATTCCCCGTCTCTCCTCAGGTCAGGCTTGTCCTGGGCCAGGAGGAGCTGAGGCTGCAGACCCCAGCAGAAATTCTACTGAGTGGCTCCGTCCCCCACACCACAGTTCTGACTGTCTCAGAGGACTGGCCCACATTGTCAGTCAATGGGTTTCTGAATGCCTCCTCTGTAGTCCTGGGAGCCCCCCTAGAAGTCCCTATGGGCTCTTTGTTGGGAGCACTGGGAGACTTGGCCTGCCCTACCTGAGGGGAACCAGCCATCCCCTGAGGGGTTGCCTCCATGCAGCCGCTCTCAATGGCCGCAGACTCCTCCAGCCTCTGACCCCCAATAAGCATGAGGGCTGTGCTGAAGAGTTTTCTGCCAATGATGATGTGGCCCTGGGCTTCTCTGGGTCCCACTCTCTGGCTGCCTTGCCTGCCTGGGGCACTCAGGATGAAGGAACCCTGGAGTTTACACTCACCACACAGAGCTGGCAGGCACCCTTGGCCTTCCAGGCAGCAGGCTGGCATGGGGACTTCATCCATGTGGACATATTTGAGGGCCACCTGTGGTCCATGGTTGAGAAGGGCCAGGGTACTGTATTGCTCCTCAACAGTGTGCCTGTGACTGACGCACAGCCCCACAAGGTCAGCATCCACATCAACATTCACCAGCTAGAAATCTCCATGGACCAGTACCCCACACGAACTGAGGAGTCCTCAGCTACCTGGAGCCACGTGACAGTCTCCTTCTTGGGGAGCTGGTTGCAGAGGCCTCTCATCACCTCCAGGAACACCGCTCAGGCCTGACACCAGGGGCTGCCAATGCCTCCCTGCTGGGCTGGCTGCATGGAAGACCTCAGTGTCAATGGCTAGAGGCAGGGGCTGTGGGAAGCCTTGCTGACGCACAACATGGTGGCTGGCTGCAGACTGGAGGAGGTAGACAATGCCTATGGCCATTATGAAGCTTTCTCCACCCTGGCTCCCAAGGCTTGGCTGTCCGTGGAGCTAGCTGAGCCATGCGTGCCTGAGCCAGGGCTACCTCCTGTCTTTGCCAATTTCATCCAGCTGCTATCAGCGCAGTGGTGGTGACCGAGGGTGGCACAGCCTGGCTTGAGTGGTGGCATGTGCAGCCCATGCTGGCACTGATGGAGGCTGAACTGCGTAAATCCCAGGTGCTGTTCAGCGTGACCTGAGGGGCACACTACAGCGAGCTCGAGCTGGATGTCCTGGGTGCCCAGGCATGAAAAATGTTCACCCTCCTGGACGTGGTGAACTGCAAGGCCCGCTTCATCCACGATGGCCCTGAGGACACCTCTGACCAGCTGGTGCTGGAGGTGTCAGTGATGGCTTGGTTGCCCATGCCCTCATGCCTGCGGAGGGGCCAAACAGACCTCCTGCCCATCCAGGTCAACCCTGTCAATGACCCACCCCACATCATCTTCCCACATGGCAGCCTTATGGTGATCCTGGAACACACACAGAAGCCTCTGGGGCCTGAGGTTCTCCAGGCCTATGACCTGGACTCTGCCTGTGAGGGCCTCACCTTCCAGCTCCTTGGCACCCCCTCTGGCCTCCCCGTGGAGCACCGAGACCAGCCTGGGGAGCCGGTGACTGAGTTCTCCTGCTGGGAGTTGGAGGCCGGCAGCCTAGTCTATGTCCACTGTGGTGGCCCTACACAGGACTTGACATTCCGGGTCAGCAATGGACTGCAGGCCAGCCCCCCGGCCATGCTGAAGGTGGTGGCTGTCCAGCTGGCCATACAAATCCACCGCAGCACAGGGCTGCATCTGGCCCAGGGCTCTGCCATGCCCATCTTGCCTACCAACCTGTTGGTGGAGACCAGCGCCGTGGGGCAGGATGTGACCGTGCTGTTCCGTGTCACCGGAGGCCTGCCGTTCAGGGAGCTGCAGAAGCAGGGGGCTGGTGGGGTGGAGGATGCTGAGTGGTGGGTCACACAGGCGTTCCACCAGCAGGATGTGGAGCAGGGCCACGTGAGGTACCTGAGCACTGACCCACAGCACTACACCGAGGACACCGTGGAGAACCTGGATCTGCAGGTGCAGGTGAGCTGGGAAATCCTGAGCAATCTGTCCTTCCTAGTGACCATCCAGAGAGCCACTGTGTGGATGCTGCAGCTGGAGCCACTGCACACTCAGAACACCCAGCAGGAGGCCCTCACCACAGCCCACCTGGAGGCCACCCTGGAGGAGGCAGGCCCAAGCCCCCCAACCTTCCACTGTGAGGTGGTTCAGGCTCCCAGGAAAGGCAACTTTCAACTACAGGGCACGATGCTGTCAGACGGTCAGGGCTTCACCCAGGATGACGTACAGGCTGCAGAGGTGACCTATGGGGCCATGGCACATGCCTCAGTGGCAGTGGAGGACACCTTCTGTTTCCATGTCACAGCTCCACCATATTTCTCCCCACTCTGTACCTTCTCCATCCATATTGGCGGTGACCCAGACATGCCTGTCCTCGTGGTGCCCGAGGGTGGTGGGTGTGTCCTCTCTGCTGACCAGCTCTTCATCAAGAGTCTCAACAGTGCCAGGTACCTCTATGAGGTCATGGAGCAGCCCCGCCATGGGAGGTTGACTTGGCGTGGGACACAGGACAAGATCACTATGGTGACATCCTTCACCAATGGAGACCTGATGCATGGCCAGCTGGTCTAGCAGCATGATGACTCCGAGATCACAGAAGATGATATCCCATTTCCTGCTGCCATCAGGACCAGAGCAGTGGTGACGTGGCCTGGGAGGAGGTATGGGGTGTCTTCTGAGTGGCCATCCAGCCTGTGAATGACCACGCCCCTATGCAGACCATCAGCTGCGTCTTCCACGTGGCCTGGGGTAGGTGGCGGCTGCTGACTACAGACAACATGGCCTTCAGCAATGCTGATTCGGGCTTTGCTGAGGCCCAGCTGGTGCTGACCCACCAGGACCTCCTCTCTGGCAGTATCATGGCCACGGATGAGCCCATGCAGCCCATCTGCCGCTTCATCCAGGAGGGGCCTCAGGAAGAGGCGAGTCCTGTTCACACACTCAGGCTGACCACGGCTGGATCCCGCTGCAGGTGTCCGATGGGCAGCACCAGGCCATCACGGTGCTGGAGGTGCAGGCCTTGGAGCCTTACCTCTGTGTGGCCAATGGCTCCGGCCTCATGGTTCCTCAAGGAGGCCAGGGTACCATCAACATGGCCGAGCTCCACCTGGGCACCAACCTCAACATCTGCAGTAGGGATGAGGCCCACTACCACGTCACAGACAGCCCTCACTGGGGACAGTTGCTCCAAGCCACTCAGCCAGCCACAGCCTTCTCTCAGCAGGACCTGCTGGTTGGGGCTGTTTTCTATGGCCACAATGGCAGCCTCAGCTCCCGCAACACCCTGGCCTTCTCAATGGATGTGGGACCAGTGCACACAGATGCCACCCTACAAGTGACCATTGCCCTAGAGGGCCCAGTAGCCCCACTGAAGCTGGCCCAGCACAAGGAGATCTACATCTTCCAGGGAGAGGCAGCTGAGATCAGAAGGGACCAGCTGGAGGTGAGGAGCTGGAGGTGGTGAGCGGGGTGTGGACCAGGTAGAGGGCCTTCCTCCCAGCCTCCATGCCGGGAACACATGTGACTTGGGCTGTACCTGTGGTGGTCCCAGCTTGTGTGTGTGCACGTGCCTCAGATGTGCTCCCATATATGTTGTGTTCCCAAGAGTTTCTGGGGAGCTTGCTGTACACCCATCCTCCTGGGAGTGGTGTGTGCCTCTAGAGCTGGTGTCCACTCATGTCCATGGCATGGCTGAGCATGCAGATTCCTGGACGCCACCCAGCCCTACAGAATCTCTGAAGTGGAGCCCGAGAATCTGCATTGCAGTCAGTTCCCTGGGAGGGCATCACGGGTCCTGAACTTTTGGGATTGCTGGCCGTGGAGACAGGCCGCTGCCTCTCAGACCCCTGTGTACCCCGCTCTCTTCTCAGAGCCCAGACCAGGACCAGGAGGGTCTGTCAAGGGCTTCTGCTCACCCAGGAACCCCACAGAGCAGCCACGGGCCTTCCAGAGATCTGACATGCCCTGTGACCTCAGGCCAGTCCTTGCCCGCTCTCAGCCTTACTCTTCCACACTGCTTATTTCGGAGACCCTTCTGGTCTGCATCTGGAGCTTGGGGCCCATGGTGAGCCAGCAGATCTGGCATCAGGAAGGCCTCATGGGAGGAGGCAGTGTTTGGGCCGGGCTCTGAAGAGTACAGGCCATTAGGAGCAGAGAATGGGGAGTGGTATTCCACGCAAAAGGAACATTCCGGCCGAAGGCACAAAACAGGAATGTGAGTTTGGAGGCAGTTTAGCCTCTTGTGGATGGCCCATCAGGTGAGGGAGCCCATGTGGCCTTTGGGGTGTGAGCTCTGTAGGGCCTGTGCTGGGGGTGCCTGTGCCTCTAGGAGGGGTGGGGTGGGGTGGGGCAGGGCACCCTCTGATGGTCCTGGGTGGTAATAGCAGGGGTTGGGGAGGATGCTGCCAGCAAACCAGCCACAGGCCTGAACAGATCCTGAGCAGGGGGCCTGTGTGCGTGTGCACACACGCATGTGTACCTGTACCTGTGTGACTGCGTCAGCATCTGATGAACTCATATGTCTGTGTCACTGAGTCTGGGGACATGTGATTATGCACCTCCCTGAGGGAGTGCATCTCAAGCTGTTGACCGACACCCCGTAACCATGTGTGGGGTGGGTATTAACATGTGACCAGCTGGGGCAACCCAGTGAAACCCCATCTCTACACAAAACATTTAAAAATTAGCCAGGCATGGTGGCACATGACTGTGGTCCCCAGCTACTTGGGAGGCTGAGCCCTTGAGCCTAGGACGTTGAGGCTGCAGGGAGCTGTGATCACACCACAGCACTCCAGCCTGGGTGACAGAGTGAGACCCTGTCTCAAAAAAACAAAAAATGTGACCAGCTGCATGTCTGGCTGCTGTGTGTGTGAACCCACATGTGTGTGTGTCACTAAATGAGCAGTGGTATCTGGGGAAATAAGTGGAGCAAGATCAAGGCTGTTCTGGCTGCTTAGGGCCACAGTGGGCCCCTCTGAGACCCCTCTGCATTCCCTTGTGAGTCCTCATGACCTCTGTTAACCAGGTAGCCCAGGAGGCAGTGCCGCCAGCAGACATCGTTTTCTCAGTGAAGAGCCCACCGAGTGCCGGCTACCTGGTGATGGTGCTGCGTGGCATCTTGGCAGATGAGCCACCCAGCCTGGACCCCGTGCAGAGCTTCTCCCAAGAGGCAGTGGACACAGGCAGGATCCTCTACCTGCACTCCCGCCCTGAGGCATGCCTTCTCGCTGGATGTGGCCTCGGCCTGGGTGCTCCCCTTGAGGACGTCACGTGGAGCTGGAGGTGCTGCCTGCTGTCATCCCCACTGGGGGCACAAAACTTCAGCAGTAGAGGGGGCACAGTCGCAGCTGCACCCTGGCCCCTCCACTGCTCCGCGTTGCCAGGTCCTGCTTCCCCACTCTCCCGGGCCTTGGCCTGCAGGTGCTGGAGCCACCCCGGCATGGGGCCCTGCAGAAGGAGGATGGGCCTCAAGCCAGGACCCTCAGCACCTTCTGCTGGAGAGAGGTACGGCTGTGAGAGAGGCCCAGGGGCTGCAGCCCAGCTCTGGGGGCAGAGTGGAGGGAGCCCCGGGGACTCCCAGTCCAGGGGTTATACAGAGAGGAGACAGGGAGTCACATTTCAGAAAGACCTATGCTTTAGATGCTGTATCTCGGGCTGGGCGCTGTGGCTCATGCCTGTAATTCCAGGACTTTGGGAGGCCGAGGTGGGCAGATCAGGAGGTCAGGAGATCAAGACCATCCTGGCTAACACGGTGAAACCCTGTTTCTACTAAAAATACAAAAAATTAGCCGGGTGTGGTGGCCCGCACCTGTAGTCCCAGCTACTCAGGAGGCTGAGGCAGGAGAATCGCTTGAATCTGGGAGGCAGAGGTTGCAGTGAGCCGAGATCACACCACTGCACTCCAGCCTGGGCAACAGAGCGAGAGACTCTGTCTCAAAATAAAATAAAATATCCCCTTTCTTCCTCACAACTCCTCTGGGAACCAGAACTTATGGTCCCCATTTTCCACCAATGGAAGCTGAGGCCCTAAAAGGGTCAGTCTCTTCCTGCACCCAAAGGCAGAACATGAAGGGTACTGCTGGGGCCTGACTGCCAGCCCTGGGCCTGCCCCTAGGTGGAAGAGCATCTGATCCAGTACCTGCACGATGGGAGCAAGACACTGACGGTTTTGTCCTGATGGCTAATGCCTCTGAGATGGACCGCCAGAGCCATCCTGTGGCCTTCACTGTCACCATCCTGCCTGTCAATGGCCAACCCCCGACCTCATACAAACTCAGGCCTGCAGGTGAGCATATTCCTGGGACCACCCCCCATGTCTGCTTTGAGAAAGAGGCCAATGTCCCCTACTTCCCGGCACAGATCTCCCCCACTCTGAGCCTCAGTTTCCTCCTCTGCAAAATGAGGACACTACTGTGTGCCTCACGCAGTTGTTGGAAGGAGAGATGTGAGATTGTGCTGAAATAGAACACAGGTGGGAGGTTTTGTTATTGGACATTTGCAAGTACGGTAGGCAGACTTCTGAGCAGCCATGGGTGGCTCTGCTGTTCCTTCTCCTGTGGCTTAGGACCAGAACACCTGAAAGAATCACTTACAAGCCCTTAAGGGCTGGCGTCAGGGTGGGACCGTTAAGCTTCCCACCTTCACCCCAGCAAGTGGAGGCCTCAGCTTGGCTTCCCAAACTCCTGCCCCTTGTCCACAGCAGAGCAGGGCCCCCATTTGGCAAAGGTGGAAGTTGAGGCCCAGAGATGGGATGGAACTTCTCCATGATTGCAAAAGTAGTTCTGGTGGAACAGAAAGGGCATGGCTTTACTAAGCCCACGTGGCAGGGCTTTGAACCCCAGCTTCTGGGGCGCGTCCTCCCCAGTCAGCAGAAGCCACTGAAGGTTCCGCAAGAGGGCTGACTTGGGCTGTCTCTGACATGGGGCACCGGGGGGCTTTGGTGGTCTAGGATGTGCCTGTAGGGGGTGGCCTCATGGTGCGGACGCCACAGAAGAGTGGGACACAGCACCCTGGAACCACAGGCTGGGATGGCTGTGTGGCAGTGCGGCCACCAGGTGGTGCCATCTACCCGTGTTTGTTCCGGGAGCCCAGTGATGGGGCCCTGCCTCCCACAGTATGGCCCCTCTTGCCAAGGCTCGGCCTGAGGGCTCCCTGCGGCCAGGGGAGGAAGCCCAGGAATGCCAGAGGGCTGTTTTCTGGGCATGTGAGTCCCACTGCAGCACTGCCCACAAGTAATTGACCCAGCAAGAGTGGTACCAGGACCTCAGGAACGGGTGCCTGTTCTGCTTGCTAGTGGGAGGCCTGAAAAGGGGCCCCCTTTGCCCAACACGAGGAGGGCCCGTAACTGCTCTGGAAGCACCTGGGCCCATCCCAGCACTGCTTCTGTGCTGCAGGACAGTGCCAACCATCAGGCTTCAGCTCTCTGCGCCTCCCACCCCTCCCTTAGCTGGAAGGAGTGCTCGTTTCTAAAATCACTGTTCCCACCTGTGCCCAGCCCCTGCCAGGCACACATGGAGGGTCTGAAAGGAGACTGCTGCCCCACCAGTGAGCTAGATTAAGGAGCACTGTTGGTCAGCGCTGGGGGTTTCTGGGGGTGAGAACTTGGTGACGGTAAGAGCTAGGGCCTTCCTGGGTTGGGTACACAAGCTGGTCTTGAGGGACACACAGGACTAGGACAGATGAAGAGCAGGGATGCTGGGCCTGGAGGGTGGCCTTCCCTGGGGTGACAGGGAAGGTGAATGCAGGGAGGCCATTTGTGCAGGGGAGCCACAGCAGCGCCAGCCTTGATGCCACCTGAGGGCCTGAGCCTCAGTGGGGTTGGAGCCCTGGTGGCAGCCCAGGGCCGGGGAGGAAGGGGTGGGTAAGTGTGGCAGGGCAGAACCTTCACAGGCCTGTGTCCCCAGATGTGGGAGGGGGCCACCGTGCCCATCCCTACAGAGGCTCTGAGGAGCATGGATGGTTACTCTGGGCCCAAGGACCTGGTGTACACCATTAAGCAGCCCAGCAATGGGTGGGTAGTGCAGTGGGCGGTGCCGGGCACTGAGGTGCGCAGCTTCAAGCAGACCCAGCTGGATGGTGGGCTCGTGCTGTTCTCACACAGAGGTGGGTGCTGAGGGCCGAGCCCCAGGTTTCTGCTGCCCACGGGGGCACCCTGAGGTGGGGAGCCAGTTCAGGCCAGCTGGACCCAACACCCTTGTCCCCAGGGGCCCTGGACGGAGGCATCCACTTTGGCCTCTCTGACGGTGAACATACTTCCTCCAGACACTTAGCTTCTGAGTGACGGCCCAGAAGCAAGTGCTTCACTCGCTGGAGGGCAGCCGGACACTGACTGCCCAGGTGGGTGTGCTGATTGTGGGCGTTCCTGGGTGCGGGGGGCTGGGGCAGAGCTGAGGGTGGCATGCCAGGGTCACACTGCCTCTCTGCAGCCACAGGCCTCGGCCTGGATCACAAAGGCTGATGGCCCCTTTTGCCTCTGGCAGAGTCCGTCCAGCCACTCAGCAGCCAGAGCCTCAGAGCCAGCAGGCACCGACCCCCAGCTCCTGCTCTACCATGTGGTGCGGGGCCTCCAGCTAGGCCGGCTCTTCCACGCCCAGCATGACAGCACAGGGGAGGACCTGGTGAACTTCACTCAGGCAGAGGTAAGGGCCCCACTCTGCAGCCACCACTCAGATGCGCCCAGCCTCAGGTGGCCACTGTGCCATGGACATCATGTGGACATGGGCACCAGCTCCAGCATCACCGGCAGCAGACACTCCCAGGCCTGCCATGGTCCAGGACCTGGTGTCCTGCCCTCTAGGAGTCATCAGGCTGGCAGGGCAAGTTCATGTTCCCAGAAGGAGGGAGAAGAATGCAGGAAGTCGGGGATACAGGGCCCCAGAGCAGGGCTGGGGTCTTGGGGTGTGGCTTCCCGAAGGAAGCTAGAGCTGGACCCAAGGGTCTGGAGAGGGAGAACCATGTAGGGGCACTAGTGGCACCCCAGCAGCTGGTGAGGGGCAGTGCTTGGTGGGGGATGGAGTCGGAGGTGAAGCAGCTGCTGGGGCCTGTGGGCAGAGGTGTGAGCCTCGGGCTCAGATCAGGTGCCAGCCAGAGGAAGAGTGGATCCTAGGAGCAGATGAGCTGATGAAAGGCAGCTGAGTCGGCCAAAAGGGGGAAGCCACTGTTCATCTGTCCTGGTGGCTTCAGAGAAGAACTAGAGCTCTCAGCCATGGGTAGTGGCAGACTCTCTGTGGTAACTGTGCCACGGGGGCCAGCCCACTCATGGTTTAAATGAACACCTCTCCCCAAAGGCAGAATGGGAGTTGTTCCATAGCAGGGCAGGGCAGGGCAGGGCAGACTCTTGTGGGCCGCCCTGGGCAGGCAGCACACCTGATGCTCCCATCAGGAGGCTGCGTGAGCATCTGGACCCAGCACATGATCACAGTGAGTTCTCGGCAGGGAGCGGTCTTGTGGGGCGCAGAGCTGACTCTGTCACTCAGGAGCCACGGCACACAGCACTGCCCCAAGTACCTCCAGAGGGGATCCCTGTCAGCCCTTGAAAATGGCAGAGCCCACCCCAGCCCCCTTTTCAAGCTCCCTTGCTTCGGCAAGGACCTCCTGAGCCTGGCGCTCTCCCTCCTGAGAGGTGCAGATGGTACTCAGCAAGTGCAAAGCCGAGGTTTCTTGGGCCTCTCACATCAGCACCTCCCAGACCTCGGTTCTGTATTTCCCTGGAGCTCCACTCCTGCTATGGTGCCCTTCCCACAATGAGATATTCATCAGGCTGGTGTCTACAGCTGCTGCGTACCCTCAGTTGCTGGGAGCCTTTGTCAAGAATGCCCAGGAATGAGGAGGGCACAGGACCCAGACCATCAGCAACCCTCTTGCACTCTATAGTCCCATGTTACTCAGAGCTTCCCCATGCTCCAGCAAGATGAAGGACTAGATTGAATGGGCACCAGGCTGCAGTGCCACCCAGGAAAGCTGGGAAGAGGCTACATGGGCTACCTGGCCCACTCAGGGAGGAGGGCAGGACTGGGTATTGTCTTGACAGCAACCCTGTCCCACAACACTGAACTGGGCAGGGAAGGGGTCAGGTGTCCTCATTTTTCAGATAAGAAAACTGAAGCTCCCAGAGGGCAGGTAAATGTATTCAGAGCACATGGCGAGTAAGAGGCAAATCTTCTGCCAGCAAGTCCAGGATTTTTTTCACCAGAGGACATTGCTTGGTCCCCAGAGCTCAGGACCCTGTGTTTTGTCTCACTCCCACCCACAGAGCTCCTGTATCCAGGCATCAACTCCAACTCCCACTCCTGGAGGCCGAGGCAGGAGGATCACTTGAGCCCAGGAGTTCGAGACCAGCCTGGGCCACATAGTGAGACCTTGTCTCCACACAAAAATTTTAAAAATAGCTGGGCTTGGTGGTGGCATGTGCCTGTAGTCCTAGCTACTCGAGAGGCTGACGTTGGAGGATCACTTTGAGCCCAGGAGGTGGAGGCTGCAGTGAGCAGTCATCACTGTACTCCAGCCTGGTGACAGAGCGAGACCCTATCACCGCCCCCCGCCCCACCAAAAAAAAACTGAGTAGACAGGTGTCCTCTTGGCATGATAAGTCTTAAGTCCCCTCCCAGATCTGTGACATTTGACAGGTGTCTTTTCCTCTGGACCTCGGTGTCCCCATCTGAGTGAGAAAAGGCAGTGGGGAGGTGGATCTTCCAGTCGAAGCGGTATAGAAGCCCATGTGAAAAGCCATACTCCAAGGGGCTCCAAGTCCAGCGCACAGTCCCAGAAGGGCCCAGCAAGGCAGCCAGGGCGGCACAGGCACCAGGTCCCAACCTTCTTCCCTGTTTGCCCACTCTCAGACCCCGGAGTTCATCATCTCGGAGCCGCTGGCCAATATGTACTCATGTGGGAACCAGAACACACTGATGGAGGAGTTGGCAGAGCAGGCACAGCAGCATGACGAGATGCTGCACATGCACCACGCGCTGAAGGAGGCGCTCAGCATCATCGGTGACATCAACAGGACCACTGTCACCATGCCCATGCCCCCGCCCGTGGACGACACCTGGTTGTCAGAGCATCCCTGACGAACACAGGTACCAAAGACTGCCCCCCACGGCCCCAAAATCCCCCACCCGGGATGCCCAGAGGAGTGCCCTGGGGGCAAGTGGCACACCCCCTCACCGGGGTGGCTCCCACCTGGAGTGACGGGGGGAGCTTGACAAGGAGCACTGGCTGCCGGGGGGGGGGGGGGTGTGTGGAGCTGGGATGTTCTCGCTGCTGGGGGCGGGGCTTAAGCTCTGGCAACCGCCTTGGGGTGTGGCCGGCACTGCGCTGGGGCGGGGTCGCCCATCTCTCCCCTCCCTGTGCCTCCCAGGTCGCCCAAGTCCAGCGTCAGGATGCCCAGGCCCTGCCATGTCCCTAGCCCGGCCTGGGTGGCAGGGCCCAGCTCCTGGGCGGCAGGACCCAGCTCCTGGGCTTCCTCCTGCCGGGTCCGCCCTTGGGGAAGCGTGCCCCATACCCTCCAGGCCAGAGGCTTCCCCTGATCCCTTTGGGCCCTACCCCCCTGGTGCTCTCGTGCCCCAGCCGGGGTCCCCAGGTAAGTAGGGGCTGAATGCGGCTGAAGAGGCCGCTGGACAGGCGTGGCCAGGAAGGAAATGGGACTGGATTCCAGAGCACCACATCTGGCCGCCAGAACTGGCCGTCTCCATCCAAGGCACTGGGACCATGGGTGCCGGAGCCACGTGTGGCCGAGGGCTGGCAGAGCCTGCCCCCCAGGGATCACTGAGTCCTGGAGGTGGTCGTTTTTGAGGAGGGGGCTGTGGGGCTCGTCCCACCTGCCGCCTTCTGTCCAGCACTTGCATGACACTTCCCTCTATTTTCACTCTTGGCGGCTGCCCACACGTTGCATTTCTCTTCCTTTCTTCTCGCTGTCCTCCATCCTCCATTCCGTCCAACTCCTAGCCCAGTCCCGGGGGCGCCTACTTCAGGTCTGAGAGTCTGAACTCCGAGATGCTCTGGGTGTGTGGATTTCCTTCAGCTACCCTGATGTCCCCACTTCCAAGTCCTGACTCCTTTGAGCCATCCCAGGGGGTGTCCGGCCACTGGACCACAGGAGCAGAGGCGAGTCTGTGACTGTGTGACCAGCAAGGTGTGTGATGTGTGCGTGAGCGAGCACACGAGTGTAAAGAATGGCACCCAGACCTGAGCTAGGACAGAGGGAGCCTGGGGGCCACAGGCAAGCTCATTTCTTCTCCACACCCCTCCCCGCCCGACCCTGTCTAAACTAATGGGGTAGTGGTAGCCGCGAGGGCAGGGATGGGAGTGGCTGAAGCCTACTTCACTCCCAAAGATTTCTAAGGAAAATGGTTCTACTGCATCCTTTGGCTGGGCCTTGTTGACCCGTGACCCTCTTTCAAGAACATTCACTCTGATTTCCAGTGTGCCGTCTCCACTGGCCACGTTCTCTAAGGAAGAACAATAGCATCTGTTTTTGTTTCCAAATGGCTGGAGAGTGGGGCTGTGGGACCAGCGCCCATATATAAAAATGAAGCAGGGATTGGGGCTTGCCCTGTGATGTGCTGTTGACCAAGTTAGAGGGGTATAGGCAAGCAGCAAAGTATTGGGCAAGATCACTGGACTGGGAGTCCAGAGATGCTGCTTCACCCTGGGGCTTTAGGCAAGTCCCTTTCCCTCCCAGAGCCTCAGCATCCCTTTTAGCAAATTATGACATTCTGCCTTTCTCCTAGGATGGCTGTGGGGATCAAGGGAGACAGTGGCCATAGGGATGCTATGTTAACCGCAGATGCGGCTGTAGGAGCACTTTGCTAACTGCCAACGTGAGTTCAGACTCTTCAGGCTATTTGGCACCCAGGTCTATGGTGAGGTGTGACATATGGGATGTAAAGTTTGATGCCTGCTCTGACTCCAGTCTTGCTAACACACACACGAAACCTTTGGCAAATCATGACCCTGCCTTGGGGAAAAGGGCAGTCTGGGAGAGCTTCTTCAAGGCAGCCTGGCTTCAATGCAGTCCGGGGCATGACTGAGATAGGCATACGTTGTGAGGAACTGGAGGGTAACTGGGTAAAGAGCTGCAGTGTGGGCAGAGGTGTAGTGTGGGTCACATTGAGGATAGCCACTGGCCAAAGCAGGGAACAGAGACAGAATGAGGAAGAGCTCTGTGGGGAGGGTGGGGCACAGGGTGGAGAACCTTCAAAGTCCAAAGAGTATGACTTGTTGGGATTCAACGCTGTAGGCAGTAGGGAGCCATGGAAGGCTCTTAGGTGGAGAAATGACAGCCGGACATTAGTGAGCAAGCCCTGTCTCCCTGAGCAGGATGGGTGGTCCTCTGAGCACGCCAGGCACGAGTGTGCAGGGAGCTGGTGCAAATGCCTCTGTGTGCGGGTGAGCATCTGTGTTGTGACTCTGCCCACGCATGTGCTTCAGTGTGCCGAGTGGCTGCACGCCCCAGATCCATGCGGCACGTGCCGGCTGGTGAGGGTGTTGGGCACCGGGAGGTGGCGGAGAGGGCGACGTATGCGTGTTGTTTGTGGGCATGTGTTAGAGTGTGCATGCGGGCCGTGGGGCCTCACAGCATGTGTGTGCACAATCTGGCGTGTGCGTGTGTCCGCCACCCCCAGGCCTGCCCCACCCATGCATGGGACCTGCCATGTGATTTGATGCTGTCTTTCAGAATCACTATCAGTGGCCCCTGAGGAGCATCAGCCATGGTAGGTACATGCCTCACTGCCTGCTGCATGAATGGTCTGCCCGCCCCGCTGCCCCAGCTCCACACAGGGGGCATACCTGGAGCCTCAGAGCCAGGCTGCCTGCCCCTCCCTTCTAGAGCTGCAGCCTTGCTCTTTCCTCTTTCTGTCCTTGTGCTGCTGGCTGTCTCACTTCCCTCCCTGCCAGCCACAGGACTCAGTGCCACTGCTCAAGGTCTCCATGGCTGAGCCTGGGGGCTCTTACAACAGGCTCCATGCCGAAGGTGGCAGATGTGGAACCATCAGAGAGGGCACAGAGCTCATGGTTTATGGTGTAGGGGCTGGGAGCTTGGAGGGGGTTGTGTGGGGGGCTGGACTCAGGCGGCCAGAGGCCTGGGCACATCATCCTGGGCACGCCGTACCTGTCATGCAGTCTGAGTCATGCTGCCAGGGCAGGTATCCAGCTCCCAGCCTGGGAGTGCCGAGAGCCAAATCCACTGCAGATTAGGGGTGATAGTCACGGTCCCACGTCCTCTATCTGTCAGCAATCCAGTGGTGATCTAGGATAAAAGCCTGAGAGTCCTATACACGCGGTCATCCCACAACACACTTCATAGGCCATGCAAGGACACACAGCCCCCTTCCCTCCCTCCCAGGTACCATCACAGCTGCTAGCATGTGACTGAAGGCTGGGTCCCTGGCCAGCACTACTGAAGCACTACTGCCAGCCAGCAGGCTCACGGACCTTGGCCTGTTGCTCCTAGGGGTCACCTGTGCTATTCAGCCAAGGAGACCACAGTGCTTGCTGGCCCAGCTGAGCTCCGCCTAGCGAGCCCACCTGCCTTTCCTGCCGCGGAGTCTCCCTCTTCTGCTTTTCCCAGCAGGAAGGGCCCAGCCTCACCTATGCAACCTGCAGCCCCCCGCCAACCAGTTGAGGTTCCCCTCTTAGACTTATAAGTCTATGGGCAGTGGCATCTAGCTACCTGCCCTCCCTGCCTTCCCCAGGGTCCCTTCAGTGGACCCTGGGCTTTCTGACTGCCCAGAGAGGGGCCTCTGGCGCTCACTCCAGCCAGCCATCCCTTACAGCTTCACCATTTTGGTTCAAGCAGTGTTCCTTCTGTCAGGCTTGGTGGCTGTTGGGTGGGGCTCCCCAAGCAAGAGGTGGCCCTGGGCCAGTGGGTTGGAAGATGGGGTGACCACAGAAGAGGGAAGCCGGGGGAGTTGAGCATTGGTCTGAACTGTGGGTGGACTGCCTGGGTGCCATGAGAGAGGCCAGTGTGTGTGGGGTGGGGAGGACCGCCACAGCCCCCAGGCACTACCTATGAAGCTCTAGCTTCTCCCTCCATCTTCCTCCCCTTTCCCTTCCAGCCCCTCTTTTCCAGGAACCTTGCCACGCCCACACCTACGCCTTCCCCTTCCCGGCTCTCAGATGATGGTGGTGTTTATCTCCCTGTTCTTGGGAGCCCAAAAAGAATGGCATGCAGGGGTTGCTGCCCATGCCTGGGTGCTCCTGGGGAGTCCTGCATTACAGGAAGCAGCTGCTGGATCTGCTGTGCAGTGGGGTTGTCGTGGGGAGAACCCTCCCTGTCCTCTCCTGGTGCAGCCTCCACGCTATCAGTGAGGCTCACCTCACAAAGATCTTCAGAGAGAGGGAGGGGGGGTGGGAATCTGAGCACAGTGTGAGCCTCCCCTGCTCCTGCCTGCCCACCCCGCCTGAGGGCTCTACTCACCACCCTGCTCGTCAGCACACCCAAGCTCCTGGGCTATTGGGGCTCCTAGAGTGGGCTCATCAGCAGGGTTCTGGGCAATGGTCAGAATTTGCCATGCCCCTCCTTGTGGTCTCCCACAAGCTGCAACACCTGCCCCGCAGCTCCTGCAGGTTCACCTGGAGGAAGGGGTGTTAGCTGCCATGCCGGTGCCAGCACGCACGTTCACACCCACCCCCACCCTCCCCCACCGAGATGTTGCACACCCTACCTTCATCTCCTCCTGGTCCTGGGCCAGCCTGACGATGTCCTCCTCTCCCAGTGCTGCGTCTCTGACACTGCCCCCTGGCTGATGTACTTTCCTGCAGGAGGACATGGCTCAGATGCTGGGGCCCCTCAGACGGCCTGGCAGCTCCCCCCAGCGGTGCCCTAGCCTCTCACTCCCTATGGTGTCTGTCTGTCCTGAGAGGTGGATGAATTGAAGCTCTAGTTTCTCTACCCGCTCCTTCAGGTCCACCTTCTCCTTCCATAAAGTCGCTGTGGAGCCAAAATAATGGGGTCACATGTCAGGAGTCACCTGCCTTGTCCTGCCCCCCCGCCCCCCTTGTTGGCCCATGCCAGGACCTACTCACCTGCAGCTTCTCCATGGCCCCCTGCAGGGCCCGGTGGGTCTCCCCAAACACAGACTCACCCCCACTCTCTGGGGCTGGGGCCGCTACCTCTGGCTTTTTCTGGGACGAGGCCACTGGGTGAGCCAGGGGCTGGCAGCACACCCTTTGTTCCTCCTGGGCATTGGCTCCAGCGGAGTTGAAAAATGCCACCTGAAGACAAGAGGTGAGTATTCTTGTAGGGGTATACACATAACAACTGGGGCAGGCAGATGGAGCATAGCCCCTTCATTTCGGGCCTCACAGAGTGCACCTGTTGGTCACAGGTGAAATGGTGTCTGACCACTGGCTCCCAGAAGCAGAGAAAGTCCACAGAAGTCAGAAGGCGGGGAAACCAAGAACATAAGGGGGTTTCGGAGGGACCACAGAGGAAGGTGGCAAAGTAGGGGCAGGGAAAGTCAGGCTCACCATGGCCTCCCGGCTCTCCAGGTCCCCTGGGATGTTCGGCATGGGCCGAAGCGCCTCCTGCTCACTGTCCAGATGTCCTCCTCCATCTCCTGTGGGGGGTGGCCAGAGGGGTCCTCAGACAACCCAACAAGGGAGGTACAGTGGGCCCGCCTCTGCCCCCACACTCACTGTGTAACCTTGAGCCAGCCCCTCCCCAGAGGGGAATGAGCTGTTCTTTATTTTGAATTTTAAGAACCAAGATCTTGCTATATTGCCCAGGCACAGTCCCACTACCGATTGGTGCAGGAATTCTGACCTGCTCCCTTTCTGACCTGGGCCAGTTCTCCCATCCTTAGGCAAGCCGATGACCTGTTCCCAGGAGGTCACCATACTGATACTGAACTTAGTGCGGACACCTTGTCGGCATAATGACCGACACAAAATGCTTAAAAGGTAACCTGACTCTTTGTTCAGGGCTCAGTCCTTTAGATGTTAATCTGACTGGGCCGGTGCACCTAAATAATATATATCCTCCTCAGTCTCTCTGATTCCTAAATTATGCTGCTGTACGGGGAGAGAGGCAGCAGGGTAGTGGAGTCATACCAAGCAACAAGACAGGGTAGTGGCCAGGCATGGTGGCTCACACCTGTAATCCCAGCAATTTGGGAGGCCAAGGCGGGTGGATCACCTGAGGTCAGGAGTTCGAGACCAGCCTGGCCAACATGATGAAACCCCATCTCTACTAAAAACACAAAAATTAGCTGGGCATGGTGGCAGGTGCCTGTAATCCCAGCTACTCAGGAGGCTGAGGCAGGAGAATTGCTTGAACCCAGGAGATGGAAGTTGCAGTAAGCCAAGATTGTGCCATTGCACTCCAGCCAGGGGGACAAGAGGGAGACTTCACCTCGAAAGACAGACAGACAGGCTAGTACGTTTTCCACAAATTTCAATTTTACTCTCTTCCCCCACCACACACACACACACACACAAAGCATTTGAGGGATGGGAGGAAGAAACTGAGATCACAGGGAAAATTGTAAGAGACATTCAGAAGGACAGGTCTTAGAAATTTACTAGTTTGGGGGGGAGGTCAGAACAGGTGTATATAAAAGAATATTAAGACAGTTCCCAGGTTTAGGCATATGTGACTAGATAGAGTGCTAGGAGATGGATACGTGAAAATTTAAATATCATCATTTTGAACACCCATGTCACTCCAAGTGAGATTCCCTAAATATATGATATACAGACAGATATATGGGTTTGAAACTCTGGAGATGAATACAAATTTAGGAGTCCCTGGAACACAGGTCATGACTTAAGTAATGGGAGTCAAAGATTACTCAGAGAAAGCACAGAATGAGAAGAGAAGAAGTAGGACAAGGAAGAAGAGATCGGAGGAGACCAAGAAAGGGTGATAAGATCAAAACAGGAGAAAAGAATCCGACAGAAGTCTCATTTGATTATCATGTCCCTTCCCAGAGGACAGGGACATGTCTTTTTTGTCTTTTATACCCAATTATCACAGGTCCTGGTGCAGCAGACACACAGTTTTTTTTTTTTTAATTGTGTTGTACTACTCACAGTTTCCTGTATTCACCAGGGGAGAAAAAAGTAAGTATAAAGAAGCACAGACACAGATGTTTTTACACTGTGTACTAAAGGGGTCAGATTATACACAATATTTTATGCCTTACTTTTTTACTTAATATATCTTAGAAGTTTGCACGTGCTCTTATGGAAAGACTGGCTGCATTTTTTGGTCCACAACAGAACAACAGAATATTATAAAACGGTACACTATAATTTTTATTTAACCAACTCTTTATTGGTGGACATTAAGAATGGAGGAATGTTTCAACAAAGGAACAATCAACAGTATCAAAATACTGCAGAGGGGACAATTTGGGGACTAAGAGGGGAGCCACTGGATTTGACAACTAGGAGATAAATTTTAGTGCAACGATGAAGGCAGAATCCAGAGTATAATGAGCTCAGTGAAAAAAGGTGAAGACATGTAGCTTATTCTCTCAAGAAACTAGGCTATGATAAACTGGCAGAGGCTCTAAGAGTGGGAGGTGAGTTGTTTTCTCCTTCATGTAAATATATTTACCTTTTAAACACTAGGCCCAATTTTATATCCTATTTCATTTAACTTTATGAACATATTTATGTATGTATGCATGTATGTATGTATCTCATGTGGTGTTTTAGACACTGAAAAATAACTCATTTCTATTATAAAACTGATATCTTTAGATGTTCAGAAGCAACTTCCTAAAAGGAGGTAGCAGTAATGGAGCTATGTCTATCATTCTTTCCCATCAACCCCCTTGATGGAGATGTAAACATGTGTCCATCAAGCCTTTAATTTTTACCTCTTATCTTCATGGCTCTCCATATAAAACTTAACTCTTTTTTTTTTCTATTTGTATACGTATATTTATATGTATATCTATATCGAGAGAGAGAGAGAGAGAAAGAGTCTTGCTATGTTGCCCAGGCTGATCTCAAACTCCTGGGCTCAAGCAATCCTCCCACCTTGGCCTCGCAAAGTGCTGGGATTACAGGCGTGAACCACTGTGCCCAGCCTCAGCCTTAACTCTTAAAATATCTTCAAACCAATATTCTTCTGTTCTAATTTTTAAGAATAGATGTGTTTAAACCAACTAACTTATTTTGACAAAAATTGGAGTTAAGACTCAGACTTCCTCAAATAGTTCTCCTAAAACCATTTACAGAATAATCTATCTTTTCAGTATTAAGTTAAAATACCACCTTTTCCTTATACTAAATTCTCGTTTGCATGACTCTGGTTCTAAACTTCCATTGCCTTTATCTGTCTGGCCCAGGGATAGTCCACAATATTTTATTTACTATCTGGTTGAAAGAGTCTATACTTTATTAATTTTTATTACTTATTCTTCTAAACAAATTTTAGAGTCGTTTTGTCAAGTGTCAAAAATAAATCTGCCAGAATTTGTACTGAAATTTGTGTGTGTGTGTATATATATATAATACACACACACTATATATAAAATATAAAATGTATATATACAATTTATATATATAAATATTTATAAAATATGAAATATATATATATACACACACACTTTTCTAGTTTTTTTTTTTTTTTTTTTTTTTGAGACAGGGTCTCACTCTGTCACCTAGGCTGGAGTTCAGAGGCATGATCTCGGCTCACTGCAACCTCTGCCTCCCAGGCTCAAGTGCTCCTCCCACCTCAGCCTCAGAAGTAGTTGGAAATACAAGTGTGTGCCACAGACACCCAGCTAATTGTCATCTACCCGCCTCAGCTTCCCAAACTGTTTGGATTACAGGTATGAGCCACTGTGCCCAGCAGAAATTACATTTACAAATTAATATGAAGACATGGTGATAACTAACATATTTATAACATGAAATCTGCTCATCCAGGAACATAGAATGCAAATCTTTCATTCCACTCAGCAAAATTTTGTCCTGTCCTTGATAAAAGTCCTGCACATCTAAGTTTATTCCTAGGCATTTAATTTTTGCTGAAATACCTGAAAAAATACTTCATCACTATATCTTCTATGTGATTATAGCTAACATTGGGGAAGGCTATTGATTTTTATATAAAAGAACTTTTAACCAGTAATCTTAAAAATTGTTTTTTCTCAGTTGGTTCCTTTGGATATTTTTAGGTAAACAATCATGTCAACTGAAAATAATGATTATTTTTCTATAAAGACTATGACATCACAGGAAAATACAGTAAATACTTTTTAAAAGAATATAAAAGGGCCAGGCACAGTGGCTCACGCCTGTAATCCCAGCACTTTGGGAGGCCAAGGTGGGCAGACCATGAGGTCAGGAGATCGAGACCATCCTGGCTAACACGGTGGAACCCCATCTCTACTAAAAAATACAAAAAATTAGCCGGGAATGGTGGCGGGCGCCTGTAGTCCCAGCTACTGGGGAGGCTGAGGCAGGAGAATGGTGGGAACCCAGGAGGTGGAGCTTGCAGTGAGCCGAGACCACGGCACTGCACTCCAGCCTGGGTGACAGAGCAAGACTCTGTCTCAAAAAAAAAAAAAAAAAAAAAAAAAAAATATATATATATATATATATATAAAACTATAGAGAATATGACCTCAACTATTAAGCATATGTGTAAGGGTTATGTATTTTAATAGCAAAGAAAAAATATATACTGGTAGAAAATGACCATCATGTCAACAGTCAATAGTGGTTATATTAGATAGAGAAATTATGGGAGACTTTAATTTTTTTCTTTTATCTTTTCTGTACTTTACCAATTTTCTCAACAATGGTTGCTTATGAGTTTTAAAATTAAAAAAAGGTTTTAAAAATTTTTCCAACATGGAAAGTTATATTTCTTTATATACTAAAACAAAAACAAAACTTTCTATTTGAATACCTATGGCAAAACCCTATCTCTACAAAAAATACAAAAAATTAGCAAGGTGGGGTAGTACACACCTGTAGTCCCAGCTACTCTAGAGGCTGAGGTGGGAGGATCACCTGAGTCCCCAGAGAATGAGGCTCCAGTGAGCCGTGATCATAGCACTGCATTCCAGCCTGGGAGACAGAGAAAGACCCCATCTCAAAAAAAAAAAAAAAAGAAAGAAAGAAAGAAAAAAGAAATATCCACAATGATCTGAAATGCCTATCTGTATGAGACTGTCCTTTGTTCACATTTTTTCAAGCAAATATCACACAATAAATTGAATGCAGGTACAAATGACATATCAAACATCAAAGAAATTTGCAAAAGATGTAAGACTGTACTACCTTGGGTTTAGAAATTTTCTTATCATAAAAGCATTTATAACAATATTTTGTGAGCTTTTAAGGAATATTTTAAGTATTTCTGATTTAATTTCTAGTGATAAATACCAATAGATATAACCCACATACACAAAAGCTCCTTGGGCCCTCAATATACTTTTAAGAGTGTAAAGGAATCCTGACCCCAAAACTTTGAGAACTGCTGCCTTCCCCTCTACTTTATTCCTTCCCTAGAATTTCTTCCTTGGAAGAAACATTCCTTTGCCATTCTATGTTAACTTACACAGTTCCATTGAGGCCAGTTTTGCTACCTCTCTCCCATCTTTCCACATCCCTCTCTTGACACAAAACCTGACCAAAGGACTCTACCGGCCCGCCCCATTTCCAGTGATTAGCTGTCAGGTGGGCTAAGCCAAGAAAATCTGGGTTTTCCCTGAGACTAGACCTCTCTTTCTGGGAGATACGGAATCACAGGGACAAGGCTGGCCCTGTCAGAATTCATCTTGTCTAAATGGGAAGAGGTTAGGCAAGTTTCTAGAATGCCAGACTGCTTTCTAGAAAGTCAAAGATAATTATACTTTCTGCCACGACTGTGAAAATGCCCATTTCATTGCACGCTTTCTAACATTTATACCAATCTGATAAATAAAAGCTGGTACCTAGAAGAAAAAAAGGCTGGGTATGGTGGCTCATGCCTGTAATCCCAGTACTTTGGGAGACCAAGGTGAGTGGATCACCTGAGGTCAGGAGTTCGAGACAAGCCTGGCCAACATGATGAAACCCCATCTCTAGTAAAAACACAAACATTAGCCGGGCATGGTGGCAGGCCCCTGTAATCCCAACTACTCGGGAGGCTGAGGCAAGAGGATCACTTGAACCTGGGAGGTGGAGGTTTTAGTGAGCCAAGATCATGCCATTGCCCTCCAGCCTGGGTGACAAGCTGAGACTTTGTCTCAAAAAAAAAAAAAAAAAAAAAAGTTTCCATACAATATAATTTGTTCCATCTCTAAAAACCAATTCAGCAATAACTGAAAGCCACCACTTGGAAGGTTTCAAGGATTTAGCTCTACCTGTTGATGATGTCCAAAGCATTAGTTAAGGTAGAAAAAAAATACACACACACACACACACACACACACACACACACTCACCCCTATGTAGTCAGTACCAGGAAACACGAAAGACTAGATGGTACAGTCATCCAACACAAAGCACACAATAACTGAAGGCACTGTAGAGGAGTAACTTATGACACAGATCTACAATATTGAGTGAAAATGCAGATTACAAAAAAAAAATCTGATTTTTTAAGGGAGAGGGAACACATACAAGCAAAGGAGAAAAGAGATGAGCAGATGACTGAAAGATACAAAATTCTGATAGTGGTACATTCTGAGTGGTAGAATTATCAGTATTATTTTCTAGTTTTGCCTAAAAATTTTCTAAATTTCTTAAGAACTTTTTGTTATCCATATTATCAAATATCCATCACCCCAGGAAACTTAACCTTGAGCACAAACTCTACAACAAGTTCAATGTTTGTTCAGTTTAATATTTAAGAGACAACCTATTTTGAAAGACATCTAAAATGATGACCAATATTTAAACCTATGCATTAATATTTTTCAATCATATCCTTCACATTTTGTAATTTTGATAAGGTTAAGCTTTAGATCCATCTTGAAAAGATAAGCTTTCTGTTTGTCTTTAAAATATGACCCACAATATGCCTGTTTTTAAACAGTGAATGATGCTCTAAAATCACAATATAAATTCAGGCAGTGCTCCTTACATGGAAAGTTTAAGTACTTCTAACACTGCTCTTTTTCACTTGTTATGAAAACACAGAACAATTATCTAAGCATCTAATTATTCAGGTCCTTTGTTTCTCCTCCAATCTATTAGTTTTATAGTAATTTTAGGGCCTGTGAGGATGAAGCTGTCTGTGACAGCTACCACAAAGGTTACTATAGGTGGACAAATTTCAAACAAGTTTATCACCACTACCATCCCCACCATAAAACTGTCTCAATCAAGGGCAACACAATTCAATATTAGCCAAGACAACCTCTTTACCTGTCACTGCTTAAGAAAAGGATTTTTGGTCTTATTTAGAAATAACTTTCCGTACCTATTTTTCTCCATAAATCCACTGAGACCAATGTGTGGCTCTATCGCAAGCACCAGCAAGCAAAACTGCCTGCTAGAAGGTTCAGTTTTTGTATCTTTCCAAATGTAGAACACAGCTATCTTCAAGGATTTCATAATTTTTTGAAAATTGATGCACAAACTTCTTGAAAGTTCAGAGACACAGCAGCTGTAATTATTCTGAAGGCTGGTTACGGGACACATTACCTTCATACTTTGCTGTTTAAGAAATGTGGGGTGGAGAATCAAGTAAACTGATAGAATTTCCATATAAAATTCTAAGTGCTCTGAGAACAAAAGAAACTTAAAATACACACACACACACACACACACACACACACACACACACACACGGTTTTCCCTACTAATCATTTTACAACTAAACAACCAAGTTGCTAAACCAGAGCCCACAAAAGCAGAGTCAAAGTTCTAACACTTGGTAAAAGAAAAATGCACACATACCCCTGTGAGCTAAAAAAAAAATGCTTAAGTATTCAAAGACAGCAATTACAGCTACTGAGAACATCACTGTAAGCAAACTGAGGCAGAGAAAACAAACGTGCTGATGAGGATTTGAACCACCTAAGCTGCAGAAACCCACTGGATGGTTTCCTAGGTTCCGAGTTGGCATTATCTTTCAGAACAATCTTCTAGAAGAGATCACATAACACTGTTACAAAGGATCTGGAGAAAGGGACCCTGGCTTCATCACTGTGGCTCTCCAGTCATGCTTTACATTTGGCAGTGACTATCTCCATTCAACTCAATTCCCTAACCCTAAACTAGCTGACATTTATCAAATACTGCCCTTTACCAGGTCTAAGTAAGTTTAACTCCCCCCACCCCCACCAAAAAAAAATCAAGATACTAAGGGATATACTATTCACAAAAGGGAAACCTGTCTCCTCTTCATATACCTGTTCCTTTCAAGGAAGGGTATAAAAATGGGGATGAGGGAGGATAACCACTAGGAATTTGACCCTATATTATAAATTGGTCAGATAAATGAAAATAATTCCTCTGGACTCAAAGTGATATGGCTCTGAAAACGGGAGAAACATCGGGGTCCTTTGTCTCACGCCAGTTAAACGACATGGACACACAGGAGTGGTTTTAAGGAACAGAAAGTTTAATAGGCAAGAAAGAAGAAAGGCTCCCTGCGGTACAGAAAAAGGGGGGTCTGAACAGAGAAAAAGCCCCGTGTGTGGCAGAACAGTACTCGGTTATATTGGGAGGCTGGAGGAGGTGGTGTCTGATTTGCACAGGGCCCAGGGCATTGGTTTGACCAGGCAGGTCATTCATGTAGCCCGAGAAAAACGTGGCCCTCCCACCCTAGCCTTTTAATATGCAAATGTAGGTCACCATGTTGTCCTGCACACATGGGGTCATCTGGAGGTGTCACCTTGAGGTGGTGACTAGAAGAAGAGGGTGGGAATCTCCATGTTGAATGGACACAGTTTCTAAGCGCTGGCATTTGCATATCAAAGCTTGGCAGCCTGTAGTCCCAGCTACTCAGGAGGCTGAGGCAGGAGATTCACTTGAACCTGGGAGGCAGAGGCTGCAGTGAGCTGAGATCACACCACTGCACTCCAGCCTGGGTGACAGAGCGAGATTCCGTCTCCAAAAAAAAGATAAAAAGAAAAGAAAAAGAAATGTTTCTGGAGTTGTTTCTATTAAAAGGGAAAGCCTTACTGAGGCCTCCTTACCCTCTCTATCTGCCTAGTATAATTTCTGAATAACTCCTCTATTAAAAGTACCACTGAGGTGCTTAATATGACATTTCTGATATTTCCCAATGCTCCTCCACAAATTCAATTTGGAAAGGTAATCTGTTCCAGGAGGGCAAACCAAAGAAAAAGTCCTAGGCTCCTGAGTCAAGGCTTGTTTCTTTCCTTTGTACAAGCTGACTACTTTTTAATCATAGTAAAAATGAGAAAAATGCAAGATGAAGTTAACAGCATTGCTTTATTTCCCATGAAAAGCTGTTATAAAGCATTCTCAAAATAAACTGTTATTCAGCCACAAATGACACCATCACTTTTTTATTCATAGGGCACAGTATCGCTGCCAAAGAGCTTTCCTCTATATGCTCTCTTGCAGGGCAAAAAATATTATCTATGTTATACAGAAACACAGTAAAAAAAGTGATTTACTTAAGGTCCTAACTACTAAATAAAAGCTAAACTACTCACTTCCTCCTAGATTCAGAGAGAGCTCCAACATTTTCTAAAATTTGGTATCTTGTTGTTGAGGTAGGCACTTTTTGGCAATAATGAATAGACATTTAATTAGCCAATCAAAAAAACTTATTAGGTACAGTAAGTTCCTCTTCAAAGGTTTAACCTGTTCAACTTCCTCGTTCTTTGTTCCTAAGAACAATTTCCCTGTACCTTCTCACCCCTATTTACCTGCTTAGTTATCTGCTCAGTTACCTGCCTTGTAAACAACTCTTCCCGTCAGTCCCAACCTGTAACTCACATTCCCTCTCCCTTCCTTATTAGGGAGAATATTCGCGATAGCAAATCAAGTCTGCTTAGATTGTGTAGTCCGACTCCAGCCCATGTGGAAATGACAGAGAGGTAGGGACTGCGTTAGGGATATAAACTCCTGCTCTATCCTGCTCGGTGTGCTCTTGCATTCGTGACTAATGCAAACAGCAGTCTTTTGCAGAAGTAAGTTGTCTTGCTGAGAAAACTTTTTTTCCTGAGTGCTGGTTCTTCCTTGCAGCACTGATCATTTGTTTCTTTTTTCTTTCTTTTTTTTTTTTTTGAGACAGAGTTTCGCTCTGTTGCCCAGGGTGGAGCACAGTGGCTTGATCTCAGCTCACTGCAAGCTCCACCTCCCAGGTTCACGCCATTCTCCTGCCTCAGCCTCCTGAGTAGCTGGGACTACAGGCACCCACCATTGCGCCCAGCTAATTTTTTTGTGTTTTTTTTTTTTTTTTAGTAGAGACGGCATTTCACCATGTTAGCCAGGATGGTCTCGATCTCCTGACTTCATGATCCGCCCACCTCGGCCTCCCAAAGTGCTGGGATTACAGGGGCGAGCCACTGTGCCCAGCCTGATCATTTGTTTCTAACAATCTGGGGGCTCGTCTGGAATTCCCATTCTCCTCTGAGAAAAGGGTCTCCAGTCACCAATAGTGAGGAGAAGCATCCCACTGCCTCACTGAGGTGGCCTCATGGTGAGGGATCAGGACCCACCCAGTGTGATGAATAAACCCGGACTCTCAGCAGTCTGGAAAGGAACAGACCAACAACTTAAGAGAAAAGGATCCTCACATACCATGGTGACCAGGTAACTATGTGCACAGACCAACGTAAGAAACATCACAAGAGCGACAAACTATTTTCTTGGTGGTTGGGATATCTTGGAGATTGAAAGTGTGTGTTGAGACTCACAATTGAGTGCAAAGCAAGTGTTCAGTCCAGATCTGCAGTTCTGTGGTCACCTTATACAGCTTAAGGTAGCCCTTCTGTAAAGGAGTCTGGGTCAGGGGTTTCTACTGAAACAGCCATTGCTAAGAGGAAACCAACGTTCCCATGAGGGAAGCAGCCAGAGAAGGATGAAGCGAAAGGAGAAAAGTGCAAGAAACCTCCAGCAGGGGGGTTGAGCCTCGGAAAGGAAAGGGAAAGGAAAGGGAAAGGGAAAGGGAAAGGAAAGGAAAGGGAAAGGAAAGGAAAGGGAAAGGAAAGGAAAGGGAAAGGAAAGGAAAGGGAAAGGGAAGGGAAAGGGAAGGGAAAGAGAAGGGAAAGGGAAGGGAAGGGAAGGGAAGGGAAGGGAAGGGAAGGAAAGGAAAGGTGAGAAATCTCCAGTAGGAGAGGTTGAGCCTTATACAAACCTCTCGTAACTGGGAAGAAATTTCTAGTAGGGGAAATTGAGCCTCACCCCAATCCCTTTTCAAGATGGGAAATACCTCAAGTAATGCAGGGGAGAAAAAGGATAAAGCTAGCAACAATAACATTCCTCCTGATAGTCCCCTAGGGCTTATGCTAAAATATTGAAAAGAGAGTGAAAGGACTAAATACAAGAAAAAGCAGCAAATGATAAAATATTGTTGTTTCATTTGGACTCAGGAATCAATCCTGAAAAGCAAGTCAGAAATTAACTCCTCTGAGAAAGATAAGGTCCCTGTTCCTAGACAGCTCACCAACACATGGAACTTCCTCCACCACCTTCCCCCGTCCAATATCCCTAACCTCCTTCCCCCTCAAGCAGAGGCAGTTGTCCCAGACCCTTCTCCTACCCACATTGTTCCCCCTCTTTATAACCCTGCCTCTTGGGAATTGTCCCAACAGCCTGCTCACTATCACCCTAAGTACTCTTCCCTGAAAGGACTTCAGTGTGAGATAGAGCAATGTAAAAGGGATATTCAGAACTTCCCCTTCCCCTCTACCTCGGGAGAATTAGCTCCACCTCTCTTCCCCTGAAGAGAGGTGTCCCTACGAGGAGGAGGTATTCACTTTGTAAATGCTCCTTTAACCAGCTCGGAGGTCCAAAACCTAAAAACAGAGTTCAAGCCACACTATTAGACAACTCCAGTGGAATAGCAGATCGAATTAACCAATTTCTAGGACCACAGTTATATATACTTGGGCTGAGTTAATGTCCATCCTAGGCATCCTTTTCTCAGGGGAAGAAAGAAGCATCATCTGTAGAGCTGCTATGGTACCCTGGGAACATGAACACCCTCCTGGCCAAAACATTCATGCAGCGGATCAAAAATTCCCCAACCAAGACCCCTGCTGGGACAATAATAACGCAGCCCACTGAAGAGGATACGCAAGAACTTAGGGAAATGATAATAAAAGGGATTCGGGAGTCAGTACTCCGAACCCAAAATCTTACTCGAGCATTCGACATACAACAAAGGAAAGATGAAGGGCCTATCGAACTTTTAGACAGGTTGAAAGAACAAATGAGAAAATATGCTGGCCTAGATTTAGAAGATCCTCTTAGGCAGTGAATGTTAAAGCTTCATTTTGTTACTAACAGCCAGATATCACAAGGAAATTACAAAAGATAGGAAATTGGAAGGACCATCCCACGAACGAGCTTCTTAGAGAAGCTCAGAAAGTGTGTGTAAGGAGGGATGAGGAGAAGCAAAAAGAAAAAATGAAAATTATGTTATCCACCTTCCAACAGGGGGCCCCAAAGGATAAAACACACCAGTATTACTCTCTGTTACCCAGAGACCCACACACTCCCAAACAAAGCCTCCCGAGAGCCAAAACCTATAAAGATCCTAGGCCCCCACTTCCTAAGCCATATAAAGAACATAAGGAGACAAAGCCGAGAAACCCAAAAATAGAGAGAAGAGACAGAATCAATGCTTCAATTGTGAGAAAGTAGGCCACTTCAAGAGGTATTGTCCCAAATTAAAATCAGAAAGAGAAGTCGTCCCACTTACGACCTTTGAGGAGGAATAGGGGGGTTAGGGGCTCTGTCTCTTTTACCTTGAATCCCACCAAGAGCCCTTGATAAATTTAGAAGTGGAACCCAAATCCGAGCTTATGACCTTTTTAGTAGACTCAGGAGCAGCCTGCTCCTCTGTTTGTTACCTTCCCCCACAATATAACCTGGTCCTCAGAGGAGCTTGTAGTCTCAGGGGTAAAAGGAGAGGGAATCAAACTAAAAATTTTAAAAGAAACAGAAATTAGATGTAAAAACTGCTCAGCTAATGTTGAATTTTTGTTAATTTCAGAGGCAGGAACTAATCTATTAGGAAGAAACTTAATGTTAAAATTAGGTATAGGTTTACGTATTGGCTCAGAAGGATTCTACACTTCATTAAACCTGCTCACCACTGCAGAAGAAACATACATTCATCCTGATGTTTGGGCAAGGGAAGGAAATTGGGGAAAACTCCAAATTCCCCCTATACATATAAAGTTAAAAACCCCTGGAGAAATAGTAAGAAGAAAGCAATATTCTATTCCTTTAGAAGGCAGAATAGGCCTGAAACCTGTAATTGAAAGCCTCATCAAGGATGGGCTCCTTGAACCCTGTATGTCCCCTTATAACACCCCAATACTGCCTGTGAAGAAACCAGATAGGTCATGTCGACTAGCATAAGACCTCTGGGCCATCAACCAGACAGTCTAGACTACCCATCCTGTTGTCCCTAATCCTTAAACCATTCTCAGTAAAATTCCATATGAACATCAATGGTTTACAGTAATAGGTTTAAAAGATGCCTTTTGAGCATGCTCCTTGGATGAGGACAGCTGAGACATTTTTGCTTTCGAATGGGAAGATCCCCATTCTGGATGACAGCAACAGTATCGATAGACAGTTCTACCCCAGGGCTTCACAGATTCCCCTAATCTCTTTGGTCAAATTCTAGAACAAGTGTTAGAACAAGTTTATACCCCAAAATGTATATGTCTGCTCCAGTACGTAGATGACTTATTAATATCCGGTTAGGCTATAGAAAAGGTATCTGCTTTCTCCGTCCATATCCTTAACCATTTGTAAGGAGAGGGGCTATGGGTTTCAAAGAGAAAGCTTCGATTCATAGAGCCTGAAGTTAAATACCTAGGACACTTAATAAGTAACGGCAAACGAAGGATAGGGCCTGAGAGGGTTGAAAGGATTGTATCCATACCTTTGCTTAAGACTAAACAAGAACTCAGAAAATTCCTAGGGATAGCCGGATATTGCCGCTTATGGATTGACTCATATGCCCTTGTCATAAAGCCTCTCTACCTAAAAATCACCCAAGAAAAGCCTGACCCTCTCCTCTGGACTTCTGAAGAACTCCACCAGGTTGAGGAGCTAAAACATCTGCTTATAACTGCCTCTGTTTTAGCTTTGCCTTCCCTAGAAAAGCCATTTCACCTTTCTGTTAACATAAATAAGGGGGTAGCTTTAGGGGTCCTTACCCAAGAACACGGAGGTCACCAGCAACCCATGGATCTCCTATCAAAAGTTTTAGATCCAGTAACCTGTGGATGGCCTGAATGTTTCAATCCATTGCAGCTACCGCCTTGTTAACTAAAGAAAGCAGAAAACTAACCTTTGGGGGAAAGTTAGTTGTAAACATGCCCCATCAGGTTAGAGCCATCTTAAATTAAAAGGCAGGAAGGTGGCTTACTGACTTGAGAATTTTAAAGTATGAAGCTATCCTGTTAGAAAGAGATGATTTAACACTAACCACTGATAATTCACTTAACCCAGAGGTTTCCTGACTGGAGATCCAAATCTAAAGAGACCTGAGCATGAGTGTTTAGATTTAATGATCATACAAAAGTTAGGCCTGATTTAAGAGAGACCCCTTACAAAACGGGGCAGGGCTTCTTTATAGATGGCTCTTCCCAAGTAATTGAAGGAAAAAGGCGTAATAGGTACTCAGTAGTAGATGGGGAGGCACTTGAAGAAGTAGAGTCAGGAAGCCTGCCAAATAATTGGTCTGCCCAAACATGTGAATGAATTGTTTGCATTAAATCAAGCCTTAAAGCACTTGCAAAACCAAGAACGGACTATTTATACTGATTCCAAGTATGCCTTTGGGGTAGCTCACACCTTTGGAAAAATTTGGACTGAACGAGATCTTATTAATAGCAAAGGCCAAGACCTGGGCCACAAAGAATTAATCACCCAAGTATTAGATAACCTGCAGCTGCCAGAATAGCTATTGTCCATGTTCCAGGACATCAGAAAAGTCTTTCTTTTCAAAGCGGAAGGAATAACCTAGCAGATCAAATAGCCAAACACACTGCCGTTTCCTCTGAAAATGCCTGTTTTTCACTTAGTCCCTTGCCTTCCTCCCTCGACTGCAGTCCCCATCTTTTCTCCCGCTGAAAAGGAAAAATTAATAAAAATAGGAGCCAAAGAAAATTCAGAAGGGAAATGGGTGTCACCAGACCAAAGAGAAATGTTATCCAAACCCCTCATGAGGGAAATTCTCTCCCATCTGCATCAAGGGACTCATTAGGGACCTCAAGCTAAGTGTGATGCAGTCCTCGGGGTCTACAGATGTATAGGAATTTATATTTTGGCAAGACAAGTTACAGATAGTTGCCTAGTATGTAAGAAGACTAATAAGCAGATCCTCAGAAAACCACCTGTTGGAGGGAGAAATCCAGGATTAAGGCTGTTCCAAAGTGTCCAAATTGATTATGCTGAAATGCCCCCAATTGGTCACTTAAAATATTTATTAGTGATAGATCACCTTACTCATTGGGTAGAAGCTATTCCCTTTTCAAGTGCAACTGCTAGTAATGTACTCAAGGCATTAGTTGAAAATATTATACCCAGGTTTGGATTAATAGAAAATGCTGATTCAGACAATAGGACTCATTTCACTGCACATGTTCTTAAGAAACTAGCCCAAGTACTAGATATAACATGGGACTACCATAACCCCTGGCACCCACCTTCATCAGGAAGAGTAGAAAGAATGAATCAGACTCTGAAAAACCACCTAACCAAATTAGTCCTAGAGACTCGGTTGCCATGGACTAAATGCCTCCCCATGGTCTTGTGAAGATTCCAAACTGCCCCTAGGAAAGATGTCGGCTCACCTCCTTATGAAATGCTGTATGAGTTGCCTTATCTACACTCCACTGCTGACATTCCTCGTTCGAAACAAAAGATCTGTTTCTCAAGAACTATATACTTGGTCTATCCTCCACTTTCTCTTTCCTTAGGACTAAAGGCCTCTTGGCACATACACCACCCCTTGAATTTCCAGTTCACCACCACCAGCCCGGACAGTGACCACATTCTCATCAAAGGTCAGAAAGAAAGGAAGCTCAAGCCCACCTGGGAGGGACATTATCTAGTGTTTCTAATGACTGAGACAGCCGTCCACACCACTGAAAAAGAATGGACTCACCATACCTGAGTCAAAAGAGCACCACCCACTCCAGAATCATGGACAGCTATTTCAGGGCCAATTCCAACCAAGTTAAAGCTAAAACGGGTTTGATCCTCTTATGCTATATTTCTTTTCCCCTTCTATTGCTAGTCCTCTCGTTATTAATGTAACTAGGTCGAGCTCACCCCAAACTATTACCTTTGATGCTTGCCTTGTTATATCCTGTGGAGATCTCCAAAGTCAAAAGCAACTCTCAGCCTCAGAGAAGTATCTCCGTCCCTTTCAGACAAAAGCCTCCCCCATTACGACTCTTGTTCCTTAAGAAATGTAGGGAAACAGGCCTGCCACAGCTGGAATGATATTATGTGGACAACTGAACATCAGGGCTTTGTCAACAGGCAGTTGTAAGTCTCTAAAACCATGTTTGCTTTGTTAAAGGAAACATTCCCCACCCCCTGACTGCCAGTATAACCAATGTAATCCAGTGCAAATTTCTATTCTTATCCCCACTTCTGCCAACCCTAAACCTACTTTAAGTCGCTTATACGGCATAGGAGCCAAAATAGCAGGGACACATCTTATAGAATCCTTTGAAATGCATTTCATTACTTTCTCACCTCCTCCACCTCCTTCTACACTCTCTCTCAACGAAACCGCTGTTCTTCCTTCAACCAAGGATAAAATCAAGGTAAGCCATTGTAGAAGTTAAAAATTTGAAACAAACCATAGCAACTGAGACAGGGTACCAAGATGCAAATGCTTGGTTAGAATGGATTAAATATTCTGTCCGCACTCTAAACAAAAGCAACTGTTACACTTGTGCGCACAGTAGGCCAGAGGCCCAGGTTGTCCCCTTTCCACTCGGATGGTCTTCCAGCCAACTGGGCATGAGCTGTATGGTAGCTCTTCTCCAAGACCCCACAGCCTGGGGTAATGAATCTTGCCAAGCTCTCTCTCTGCTATTCCCTAAAGTCCAACACCCTGCAGGTCAGTCCCTGAGGGCCATCCAGCCTCCATCTATTGACACCAATTTTTACCTCGGGTCTCTCACAACAAGGGGAAAACTTGGCATTTCATGAAGACCTAAAGGGATGCGGTGAACTTAAACTCTCCCAAGAGCTTACCAGTCAGTCTGCCCTTGTTCATCCTCGAGCATACGTATGGTGGTATTGTGGTGGACCCTTACTGGACACTCTGCCAAGTAACTGGAGTGGTACTTGTGCTCTAGTCCAACTGGCCATCCCTTTCACCCTAGCATTCCATTAACATAATAGAAGAGAAAATCAGAAGAGAAGAAGTGACCTTCATGGGTCCTTTGACTCCCACGTTTATAAAGATGCTACTGGAGTTCCACGAGGGGTACCAGATAAATTTAAGGCCCGAAATCAAACAGCTTCAGGATTTGAATCTGTGCTGTTTTGGTGGTCAACTGTAAATAAAAATGTAGATTGGATAAACTACATTTATTACAACCAACAAAGGTTTGTTAACTACACAAGACATGCCATTAAGGGAACAGCCTCCCAATTAGGTCCCATTAACTAAATAGTCTGGGAAAACAGGATAGCCCTAGATACGATGCTAGCAGAAAAAGGTGGTGTCTGTGTCTTGATTGGAGTCCAATGATGTACTTTTATTCCTAATAACACAGCCCCTGACGGAACAGTAACAAAAGCTTTGCAGGACCTAACCTCCTTATCCAATGAGTTAGCAAGCAATTCTGGAATAAATGATCCCTTTACAAGTTTAATGGAGAAATGGTCTGGAAAATGGAAAGGCTTAATGTCCTCAATATTTACTTCTCTTGCAATCGTTATAGGTGTGCTTATTCTTGTTGGATGCTGTATCATACCATACATTTGTGGACTACTGCAAAGACTCATAGACACAGAATTTACCAAAACTTCTCTTAGCTCTCCTCCACCCTATTCAGATAAGCTTTTCCTTCTAGAAAACCAAGCAGAACAGCAAAGCAAAGACATGCTAAAAAAGTTTGAAGAGGAAGAATTACAAAAATTAAGAGGGGGGAATTGTTAGGTACAGTAAGTTCCTCTTCAAAGGTTTAACTTGTTCAACTTCCTTGTTCTTTGTTCCTAAGAACAATTTCCCTGTACCTTCTCGACCCTACTTACCAGCTTAGTTACCTGCTTAGTAACCTGCCTTGTAAACAACTCTTCCTACCAGTCCCAACCTGTAACTCACATTCCCCCTCCCTTTCTTATTAGAGAAAATATTCACAATATCCAGCTGAGTCAGCTAAGATTGTGCAGTCCTACCCCAGCCCATGTTGGAATGACACAGAGGTAGGGAGTGCATTAGGGATAAGAACCCCTGCTCCACCCCGTTTGGTGTGCTCTTGCAATCATGACTAATGCAAGCAGCATACTTGCAGAAGCAAATTGTCTTGCTGAGAAAACTTTTTTGCCTGAGTGCTGCTTCTTCCTCACAGCACCGATCATTTGTTTCTAACAATCTCGCTAAAAGCAGCCTAGAAAGCAGCCACTTATGCAGAAAGAGTAATAATTTATGCTCTACAAGTCATATAAAAAATGAAGTTTCATTTGTTTACCGGCTAATTTACTTCCTGGGAGACATTTTTCATTCTAAAACAGTGATTCCCTACCAAGAGTTCATAGATGCCAAGAAGTCCATAAAAGGAGTAATGGAATTGCCAAATTATGTTAAATACTTCAAAAGGACTCAAAGCCATATACTAGTTCCCAATAGGCCTGCACAAGTTATTAGAACAAGCTGCTTTGCATTCTTGTGTGATCAGAACCAGTAACTAGATGGCAATCAGGTCTGTTACTGAAGATGGAAAAACTATACTTAAGTTTGTATAACAATCTTTCATAACATGGCTTCACAGAAAAGAAGTATAAAAAGGATTCCTTGGTTGAAAAAGAGTGCTCTTTTCCCTTCATTATTTAAGATTAGGGCAAATTTATAAAACAGGAAAAAAATAGCACAAATCCCTTGGCAAACAGAGTAAAACATCTACTCTGTTTTGCTTTTTTTCACTTCTTACACTCTCTTTCATAGGAAGTCAATTTACAGACTTCCATCAAGCCCTTAGAGACCTTTTTGTACTATCCATGACAAGCTCTTGATGTTATCTCTGCACTTTTGACAAATTCTTAGCAGTTAACTTACAAGGCAGTTAAGATTTTTGTTCAAGCACAATATAGCTAGAATAGGCTCATACATTCAATAAAACAAATATTTACCAAGCATTTATTGAGTGGAAGATAAAAAGCACAAAGCATAATTATGAAATATTTTCCCCTGCCACCATAAAAAAATTAAACAGGCTTACAGAATACAGTGTAAGAAAACATGACCAAAGCAAAAATAGTAAGGACTAAAGAAGGGAGGAAGGGGAAATATCAACATGGACTGAATATGACCCAAAAGAGCCTTGATGGATGGTCAGACATGTAAAGGCAAATTGGTTAGGGTTAAGGGGTGGAGGTCAGGGCACGTTCTATAGGGAAACGGCAGCTGATACAGAAGCCTGAAAGGAAAAGCGGGCAGGGCACCTGGACAGGACTCTTCAGGAACGAGCACGCACGTGCGTGAAAAACAACTTAGTGAGGTACCGTCCACCCAAACATTAGAGAAACCGCGTAAAAATGCTTCTTGGTAAGCATGAAGAAGGCAGGGCTCGGCCTGTAGAAGAACTCAATAAACATTTGAACTGTCTAAAGAGTAAAAGTTAATGAATAGGCCAAACTCACTCCTTTCTTTGTTTTAAGAGCTACAACTTTAGAGAATAACAAATCACAAACCCAGTAGACAGGTCCTGGCATTTGAAATCCAACCCCATTTTTCCCTTAATCTTTCCCCTCTGAGCAAATGGTATCGACATGAACAAGCCATGTTGATTTGATCAAGACACTCATCCATGGTTAAAAGAGTCTTTACTTTCAAGAGATACAAACAGAAATATTTACATGGGCTAATTTACTGGGCAACAAGAGAGAAACTCCGTCTCAAAAAAAAAAAAGGAAATAAAAGCATACAAAGTGAAAACAAAGAAATTAAACTGCCCTTATTTGCCAGTGACATTACTGTCTATGCACAAAATTCCAAAAATCTACAAAAAAGCTTCTAGTACTAAAAATGAGTTTAGCAAGGTTGTAGAATCCAAGGTCAGCATATAACATAAAATCACCTTCCTATATACTAGCAATCACCAACTGGAAATTGAGAAGTATCATTCACAACAGTACCACAAACATGAAATAAATGTGTAAGATTACAAAATACAAGCAAGATCCAACTGCTAAAAACTACAAAACACTGACGAAAAATCTAAGAAGGTCTAAATAAATAGATATACCATGTTCATGGCTCATTATTAAAATGTCAGTTGCCTCCTAACTGATTTCCAGTTTCAATGCAATGTCAATCAAAAACCCCAGCAGGCTCTCACGCCTGTAAGCCCTACACTTTGGGAGACCATGGTGGGAGGATTGCTTCATCCCGGGAGTTTGAGACCAGGCTGGGCAACATAGAGAGACCCTGTCTCTACAAAAATAAAAAAATTAGCCAGGCATGGCAGTGCATGCATGTGATCCCAGCTACTTGGGAGGCTGAGGTGGGATAATCGCTTGGTTCAAGGCTGCAGTGAGCAGTGATCCTGCCACTGCGTTTCAGCCTGGGCAACTGAGTGGGACACTTTTTTTTTTTTTTTTTTTTTTTGAGACAAGGTCTCGCTCTGTCGACCAGGCTGGAGTGAAGTGGTGCAATCTCGGCTCACTGCAACCTCCATCTCCTGGGTTCAAGTGATTCTCCTGCCTCAGCCTCCCAAGTAGCTGGGATTACAGGTGCCCGCCACCATGCCCAGCTAATTTTTCTGTTTTTAGTAGAAACGGGGTTTCACCATGTTGGCCAGGCTGGTCTTGAACTCCTGAACTCAAGTGATCCACCCGCCTCGGCCTCCCAAAGTGCTGGGATTACAGGCATGAGCCACCGCACCAGGCCATGAAACACTTTCTTCCACCCACGGCTTTCTCTTCTCTCCCCATTTACAGCAATAAGACAGCCTAACCTGGGAAAGAGAGAGAGAGGGAAGCTACTTCCAAATGGATGCCTGTCCCCATCAGTAATAACCAAGTCTATTCAAGTGCTAGATGTTAACTTTAAAAGAAGGAAACATCAAAAGTCCAAGTTTCAGCCGGGTGCAGTGGCTCATGCCTGTAATCCCAGCACTTTAGGAGGCTGAGGTGGGTGGATCACGAGGTCAGGAGTTCAAGACCAGCCTGGTCAATATGGTGAAACCCCGTCTCTACTAAAAATAAAAAATTAGTCAGGCATGGTGGCGTGTGCCTGTAGTCCCAGCTACTCGGGAGAGGCAGAAGATTCGCTTCAACCGGGGAAGCAGAGGTTGCAGTGAGCCAAGATCGTGCTACTGCACTCCAGCCTGGGTGACAGAGCGAGACTCCGTCTCAAAAAAAAAAAAAAGTCCAAGTGTCTTCGCCTAGCTTTGTCAGGAATGTTTTTACCCTCAGTCTGTAAGTGTGACCAAATATATTTTTTAAAGGTTTACCCTCAATCTGTTAAGTTCAAAGGTTTACTATAATCTCTTCATAAGAAAACTATTGGAAAGATGGAATAAAATACACAGAAATGTCCTTAACAGGTAAATATTTATTTTTCTTTCTTATTATTATACTTTAAGTTCTGGGGTATATGTGCAGAACGTGCAGGTTTGTTGCATAGGTACACACGTGCCATGGTGGTTTGCTGCACCCATCAACTCGTCATCTACACTAGGTATTTCTCCTAATGCTATCCCTCCCCTAGCCCCCCAACCCCCAACAGGCCCCAGTGTGTGATGTTCCCCCCTCCCTGTGTCCGTGTGTTCTCACTGTTCAACTCCCACTACAGGTAAATATTTCTAGAATGTATCTACTCCATCAGCTAGTGTAAGTATTCTAAACTGTGCTAGTATAGCTGCTTTAAATCACTGCTTTCTTCTGCAAATGGTGGCACCTTTAAAGTGTTATCTTGAAGGGGAAGTGAGTGATTTGCTCATGTCTCTACTGAACTAACACTGTTAACACCCAGTCCAGTTCTACCTTAAACAAGTCGGAGAAATACAGACATAATCCATACTTGTTATTTGTCAAGACTAAGGTAAAATAAGGAAAGTTGGAACTCACTCATATCCTCTTATGACTGATGTACTGAAAACAATCCATCTCTCACCATTTCCTAAATAGCATAGTCACAAAGAGCTCTACCCTACCAAGTACTCTGCAAGTCCCACTCTCAAAGGAAGACTCACAGGTGACTGAGAAGATAAATTTGCTATTGTTTCCATTATCCTTCAGTTCATCTGACACCTTTGAAGAAATGCATTTGGATAAGACTCACAAGTCTCAGGGCCCCTTCTTTATGAAAGAAATAGCTAAGCCTCCATACTCAGAAGCATCAGACTTTTCAGAATGCTTAAGTCATGTAAAAACGTATCAAAATTATTATCATTACAGCTACCAGGAAATAGCTACCTACTCCATGTTAGATACTGCAGTTAAGTATCTCACACAGTTTCACTGATTCCTAACAACACTGCAAAGCATGTTACTAACCCTTAAGGAGTAGGAAGCTGAAGCTCTGAGAGGCTATGCAACTACTCAATGGAAATGTGGGGATCTGAACTCTACCTAGCTCCAAAGGGCGTACTTTTTTCTAAAATTTCTAATTTTTTTCCAATTTCACAATGGAGGCAGAGTTTTCACTACAATTTTAATAATTTCACCAGCTGGGTGGGGTGGCTCACGCCTGTAATTCCAGTACTGTGGGAGGCTGAGGTGGGAAGACGGCTTGGGTCCCGGGGAGACAACTGGGCAACAGTGAAGATTCTGACTCTAAAAAAAATAAGAATTTCACCAAAAGGGGGGACAGATTTCTAAATCGGAATCTCTTGTTAAAATCCTTAGAGCACTAGTTAAGCCCCACTTCTTTTCAAAAAATAACCGACAGATTAAAAAAAAGGTTAGAAATCCTTTTAAAGTAAATTTCATCAGAGATCTGCAAGTGAATTGTCATTTTGGACAAGTCCCCAGAGTTGGTGGCCCTCTCCTGTGTACACCAGCTACCACTAGGCAGTAAAAGTAATTTACCCAATTCAAACACATACCGGGCCTGCACTATGTTAAAACCACTGGCAAAGAGGGTACAAAGTTAAATAAGGTCTATCACAGCCCTCAAGGAGTTAAAGGACTAGAGGAGGAGTCCATTTATAGTATAGTATGTGTGCAGTTACCATTTAGTCAAGGCAAACGAACTGTGAGAAATCCTACAACAATAGTACCTACAGTATAACATGCCATCACCGCCCACAGAAGGAAAGCAACTGGTGCCCTCGTCACGTTATGTTGTTAGTACTTGCTTACATGATGTCCCTCCCTGACAATCCCTTCCAACCTCTGTCAGCCTCCTTCCCCACAATCACACACACACACAAAACCACACTGCCAGGAAGGGAAGCCATTGAGTGAGTATTGTGAATCCTACAAGTGGCTCTGTAGTTTAAAAGGGCAATGCCTGTGCCTGAAGAAAATTTGTCTTTAGCTTCATCAGGTGAAGAAAATTGGTTTTATAACACAAGGCCCACCAAACCAGAAAAGCCCAGGAACGCTTCTCCACAGGACTCACTTAGCACGAGAAATCACTCAGAGCAAACTGACGCACACAGTATTTGTCAAATTTTTCTTTTTCATTTAGCAGAAGGTAAGGTAAAGGACTACAACTGAAGTTAATAAATGACACTCTAGCCATTTTGATCATTTGTCACTATAAATGATAGACATTTAAGCTAGTTCCATCTGGGGAAGTGAAACAGAATCATGTTCATATAATAAGCCAGACGAACCAAATTCAGTGGAATACGTGCACCCAAAACTGGACCAGACTTGTACTTAATGCAGCCTGCAAATCCCCAAGAGTCCACGACAGAATACAAGAACAGTAACACTGGTTTATCTCAACTCATCTTAGCTCCCTCACAAACTTGCCAATAATGACCTTTCAAGAACTGCACCGTTGGTCCTCATCTGGGCAATCCCGTGGCTTAGAAAAACTGAATAAAGTGCTTCTTCGAAAAATAAAACAATGCGGGGAGGGGGGAGTAGTAACAAAAAAAAAGGCACACTGGTTTTTACTGTACTGAAGCAATAAATTCTCCAACGAACTTCATTAATGAGTATCAGCAAAGAATGAACACCAAAATACCGCTCAATCCAACTTTCATCGTGAATTCTTGAATTCACAGTAGGATCATTAAATGTGACGGTATCACTCTGCTATAAAAACTATTTCTAAAACAAAACAAACCTATCTACCCCCTTTCTTGATTTAAAAAAAAAAAAAAAAAAAAGAAGGAAAATTTGAGGGTTTTTGATTTTTTCAACTTCACATACCGGTTTGCCTTTGCAAAAAAAAAAAAAAAAATGTTTAGTCTCAAAGTATAGCTGCAAGGTGGACCGGCTGCACGGGTCCCAGAGGGCCGCTCGCCTCCGACGGTCGCAGTTTCAGCCGGGCCGCGCCCGCGAGAAACAGCGGAGAGGCCCCAGCAGGCGGGCGCCGCCGGACAGGTTTACCGTCCGCGTCGGCCCCGGGGAACCGCTCCCTCGCGCCCGCAGCACTTGTTCGCGGCGCGGACTCCACACCGCGGCCGCCCGCCCCAGGGGAGGAGTGAGTCCGCCCCAGCGGCGCCAACCCGGGGACCCGGGGCAAGGGTTCGGGGCCATCCGCCGCCGGGCGCGCCCCCCATCCGGAAAGCGGCGACGGCCCCCAAGTTGGGCTGCGGAGTGGGAGGCGCGCCGAGCCCCAAGCAGACAATGCGGGAGAAGGGTGATGCGCAGGGAGGAGGGGTCCGCAAAGCTGAGGTCCCCGCGCCGCCCGGCTACCCATCCGTGCCGCCCGCCCCTGAAGCCCCGCGCAGCCCCCGACCCTCCTCTGGGGCCCGCCCCACCGAGCGGCCGCAGGGGACGGGCCGCGCTCCGCATCCCGACCCCTCCTCAAATCACAAAACTTCCCCCAACTCCGCCAACTAAGTTGCGCTCTCACCGTGCGGCTCCCGGGGCTCCCCCGCGGGCCGAGCCGAGACAGCTCCTCACCTTCGCCGCGGAGAAAGACAATAGGCTGCCTCTCCCCCGGCGGCGGCAGCAGCGGCTGCGGCTAAAGCGGCGGCAACCGAGGCGAGCAATGGGCACGGCGGTCTCGGCCGAGCCGAGGGGCTTCACCGCTGCTGTTCCGGCTCCGCGACAGCTCTGCACGTAGCCCCAGCCACCCCGCGCACCGGCTACAAGCCGCCCGGGGGTGGCCGGGGCACGCAAGAAGGCAGTAACGTCTGCGAGTCCTCCCGTGAGTACACGCGGAGCAAGGGCTGCGAGCTGGGATTGCACGGCAGAGCTGCCCATCCCGCTCCACGAGACCAATAGTAAGGCACCTGGGCGGGGCGCTCAGGTTGCTAAGGGAGGCTGAGGTTGACCGCCGGGGCTGCTCTGTGGCAAAGTGATCACAGCAGGGTGGCTGGCAGAGACTGCTCTGGGAAATGCCCACTCACGGTCTCCTCTCCGCCCTGTTTCTAGAAACTGCCCTTTCTCTGTGTGCTCGTGGTTACCTGAGCTGTAGCATTTAACCACACATCGTGAAATGATTTACTCCTCTATTTCCCCCACTTCAACTCAGGAAGTGGGGTTTAGTCTTGTGTGTCCACAGCCTAGGACACTCTAAGGTATTAGGTATTAAATATAGGTATTAAACAAGTGTTGGATGGATGCACGGCGCTATGGCGGAATCACAATTGTGACAGTGCATTCCGTGAACTTTTGGCTACTCGATCACCACAGTCGTTCCGTCTTCAAGCTGCAAAGGACCTCAGAAATCATCGGATTGCTTTGAGAAACAAAATGTGGTCCGTGTACCAACGGCGGCCGAGGAGAATATATTAGCTGGTACACGGAGAAACTTCTTTTTTCAAATAGTTAAGTGTTTTAGTGCTCATTAGGAGGGAAATGCCTATCACGTCAAATCATTGTTTCATTAATGTTACTTCTTAGGTCAAATAAAAAGTGGCAAAAAACAAGTGTATTTCAAGAAAAGTGTTAAGTGAAACTTGAGACACTTTATATGCAGTTCAAGAATGTAAAATACTAGTTGACAGTGCTTGAAGTAAGAACAGTTGGTTAGGTAGGAGGAGAAGATTATTGGCTGGGAAGGAGGAGGAGGGAACCCTCTGTGGTGCTGATTCTGTATTTTGACCTGGGTGATGGATAACAAAAGTATGTACATCAATAAAAAATACATCCAGTGCACTTTAGATTAGTGCACTTTACACATTTTATACATGTATTTTTAATGTCAATTTTTAAAAAATCTGGTATGGTATATACCCCCACAACCCCCCCCCCAAAAAAAATGCAAAGATGCAAATGACTGCCATTTGGGAAACACTGATCCAGGCAGGCTCACTAGCAGTGACCAAACACCTGAGAAAGGGTATTGTGAATACCTGATGTATGTGCCAGGAACTTCCATGGTTGAATAGCTCCAAATCTCAGAAATGCTCCTAACCTAGTGTTGAGCTCTGGTGCATAGATATATTTTCTTTTCTTTCTTTCTTTTTTTTTTTTTTTTTTGAGGCAGAGTTTCACTCTTGTTGCCCAGGCTGGAGTGCAATGGCACGATATCAGCTCACTGCAACCTCCGCCTCCCAGGTTCAAGCGATTCTCCTGCCTCAGCTGCCCGAGTAGCTGGAATTACAGGCACATGCCACCAATTCCAGCTAATTTTTTGTATTTTTAGTAGAGACAGGGTTTCACCATGTTGGCCAGGCTGGTCTCAAACTCCTGACTTCAGGTGATCCACCCACCTCGGCCTCCCAAAGTGCTGGGATTACAGGCTTACAGGTGTGAGCCTCAGCATCCAACCCAGAATAGCTTAAAAAAAAAAAAAAGCCAGGCATGCCCAGTTCTTCATGTGAAATTATTTCTGTATCACCTCATCATGCTGCTCACCCTCTTCCACTGTTCTCTAATTTGTCCTTGTTGATATTTAAAAGCTGGCACAAGGCCGGGCGCAGTGGCTCACACCTGTAATCCCAGCACTTTGGGAGGCTGAGGAGGGTAGATCACTAGAGCCCAGGATTCGAGACCAGCCTGGGCTACAGGTGAAACCCCATCTGTACTAAAAGATACAAAAATTAGCCAAACGTGGTAGCCCAAATCCCAGCTACTTGGGAGACCGATGTAGAAGGATCGCTTGAGCCCAGGAGGAGAGGTTGCATGAGCCAAATCAGCAGGGCAGCTGCAGAGTGGGGTGCAAGGTCCTCAACCCAGAGGTTCCCTAGGCCCCACTTGCCCCAGCTCATGAGAGCCTGGTTCTGAGCTCTGCCAGGACCGGGGCTCAGCACTGCCCATGAAAACAGGCGTGGCAGGGAAGAAAATCATAACCAAATATTTGTAGTCATTCCAGAACCTCCCTTCTGGAAAGGGAGGTTCCCAGGTTTGTGGGCTCTTTGCCTCCTGGACATTATTGTGTAGTGAAGGGAGAAAGGTTGAGATGCAGAGTTGGAGAAACTAAGAGAGGCCGAACTGGTCCATTTGAGGAAAGATGACTGATCCCAGAAGGGGAGGAGGGGACACCCTGGGGAAGCAGGGGGCTTCCCAGATGGTCCAAGAAGGGGAGGGCGGGATATAGAAAGTCAGAGCATGGTTTTGAGTTTTGGAGACAACAAGAGAAAAGAGGGAGGGATTTGGACAACTATGGAGAGGACTGGGCTGTGGAGAGAAATGTTTAGAGATTTGGAAGATGGTGTGTCATGCGATGTATTGTGAAAACCCCTTCTTCATATCCCTAAAAGACCACCGCTGATGGTGATTCATGGTACAATTGATGATTGTATCATGATATAATTCAGTGCTTTTGCAGAGGGATTGGTGCCTTTTTAAAATAATAATGATGCTTTGGCTTGGCTCCATCTGAATTAGTAGAGACAGACATCTTGAGCAGGTTTTATCAGAGTTCCATTAGCTAAATATTGGGTTTCCTATTTTGTGGCTTGCTTTAAACCACTTTGTAGGCCCTTCCGCACTGAAAGCCACTACAGAAATCACCTCTTTGGTCTGCAGCTCCACGTCCCCAAGCTCTGGGCTTTCCTGAATGAGTGGCCTCATTCAGAAGATAATACAGCATCCCTCATCCGAAAATCCAAAATCTGAAATGCTTCAAAATCCAAAACTGTTTGAGTGCCGACATGATGTTCGAAGGCCAGATTCAAAGGAAATGCTCATTGGAGCATTTTGGATTTCAGATTTTCGAATTCCAAAATCTGAAAAAAATCCAAAATCTGAAATACTTCTGTAATTTAACCTGTAATAGACATTTGGTCCTGACCTTCCAGCTGAGGCAGCAAGCAGTCAACAGAGGCTCACCATGCATCCCTCCTGCTCCTCACCCTCCCACGGGCTTGTGCCTCACCCCCCAGCCTCCCTTGCACCTGCTGGGGAGGGGACAGGATGCTCCTGCTCTGCCTTCTTGGATCTCGGGCTACTGTGATAATTGCAGGATTCCAGCCAGGGAAAATGCTACAGGTAGAAGTACTTGGTACTCTCCATAGAGAAGTTTCCAGCAATGGCACATCTGCCCCAGGAAGTGTGCTGCCACACCCAGCTAATTTTAAAAACTTTCTGTAGAGGTGTGAATTCACTATGCTGCCAAGGCTGGTCTTGAATTCCTGACTTCAAGTAATCCTCCCACCTTTGCTTGCCAAAGTGCTGGGATTACGGCATGAACTAGAGCTCCCAGCCGAGAGTTTAGTTTTGTTTGCTAGTGGTGTTCTTGGTATCTTTTCATATTTGAGGCTTTGGTGCTAGTGCTGAAGTATTACACTCACCATCCGAGGTTTGCAGGACTTTTGTTTCAGTATTGAACAGATGGAACTGTTTAGTTCTTCATCTTTGCAGGTATACCAAATGTGCCTACCAGGAGTCTGCTTTATAGCCATTGAAAAGCAAGAAGTAATATAGTAAAATTTTGCCTGGCTAGAGGCTTTGGAAGACAAGTATTTTGGCTTAATTCTATTAACGTGGAAGGATGAAGGTGAAAAAAATTCAAAACTTTAATATCCTGTTTATTGCAATTTGAAAATATAGCCAATGATTCCACTTTTCTTCTCCAGTAAGTTTGGACATTCTGATCTACTTGGTGTTTTATTACAGAACTGCTAGTGTGCCTGAGTCTTACATTGTGAAGATCCTTCTCTAAAACTTCACATGTAAGAGAATATAAATGATATTGGATAAGATCAGGCTGGATGAGAACTGATACCTGTAAATATGCGATTTAGACAAAATCTCTGATTGTTTTCTTATTTAACTCATAAAAATAAAACACATTGGCTGGAAGGTGGGAGCAGGAAGGAGATTTATGTCTTTTAATTGCACGTCATTGTTTCATATAGAGAAAACATATAGTATCCCTGGTTTTGGACCTACAGAAGGAAACACATTTTTCTACCTGCTGTATGCCAGAGGTTCTTGAACACCTGGAGGGATTACTGCAGCACAGATTGCTGAGCCCTACTCCAGAGTTTCTGATTCATCAGGTCCAGGGTGGGGCCGGAGGATGTGTATTTATAAGAAGTTCCCAGGTGCTGCTGGAGCTGCTAGTCCAGAGACTACATTTTTGAGAACTGCTCTCATATACTAACTGTAAGTTGCAGAGCTCTAGAAAAAAAGCTTAGTTTGGTGTGGGATAAGAAGCACACAGGTTATGGAGAAAATCATGAAAGATTCAACCCTTGATCCCAGCCTAGTGTGGATTTCAGGTAACAAGCAATACACAGTGACATAACAAATTCTTGGTTTTCATGACTGCAAGTGAGAGCCAAGTATCAAGTGAGAAATTCAGCTTCATTTGCAAGGCTTAGAGAGGCCAGGTGATTCTAGAAAAATGGGCCTTGTAATTCTCTTAAACCAGTAAAGAGCTTTAAGTGGTTATTAAATTGAAAGCTTTGTGTTCTTACTTATTTTGTATTTTATTTTATTTCTTTTGAGATGGAGTCTTGCTCTGTCGCCCAGGCTGGAGTGCAGTGGCGTGAGCTTGGCTCACTGCAACCTCCATCTCCTGGGTTCAAGTGATTCTCCTGCCTCAGCCTCCCAAATAGCTGGGATTACAGGCACCCGCAACCACGCCTGGCTAGTTTTTGTATTTTTAGTAGAGACAGGGTTTCATCATGTTGGCCAGGCTGGTCTCGAACTCCTGACCTCAGGCAATCCACCCACCTCGGCCTCCCAAAGTGATGGCATTACAGGCGTGAGCCACCGCACCCGGCCCAAAAGCTTTGTGTTTTTAAAGATATTAGACATGTTTCTTGTTTTTAAAAGAAATCTTAACAATAATGTAGGAGAATAAGACAAACATTTTTCCAAAAAAGAGAAATTGTTGTGATTATTTTGTCTTATTGGAATGTCGGATACTATAGTCGGCTTCATTAATCATCAAGCATGCTATGGATTTTCCATTTTTATAGGATCTATATCTCAGTTAAGGTAATACTGGTAATTCTTGTACTCCATTTGAAGATGAAAAATATAGGCCAAAATCACAGACTTTGCACAGAAGCTGCATAATGAAGACAGCTCTGGAGGAACACATAGATACACACACACAGACACACATATATATAAAGTATATACACATATATTTTTTAAAGTTTATTTTTTACAGTTTTAAAAGTTTTAAAGCAAAACCCAGCCCTTCCCCTCTCCCAGAGTGGGCGGCCCCTCCCCTTTCTCTGAGTGGGCGGGGACAGCGGTTGCATGGGCAGCTTTCCTTATGATGCCACAGGTCCCTCTGGACATGCTGCTGCCTGGCCACGCCTCCTTTCCCTTTCATCTTTCTCACTGACCAATGGGCTTGGAGCATTAAGGCCACGCCCCTATTCTGCGTTCCATTGGTGCCCTGGTTACGCCACCTGTGGCTCAGTTGCACAGCTGCCTGGTAGGTGACTGGAGGCATTGAGCAGTGCTCACTGGTATTTCGCTGATGTGGCCCCAACCCCGCCTCCCTCCCCACCCCGCGATGTCAGAAAAAACACAACAGGGGAAATTGGCCGCAGCCAAGAAAAAGGTAAAACACACCAGGTCATGGCCCCCAACCCAGCCACAGATCCCCTCCGATGACAAGACCTGTGCCAGAGTCCATACCACTCCTGAGGCATACCAGATGGGGCCCCCCAACCCCAGCCCCTCTGGGCTCCCCCAACCAAAGCCTAGTCAGTCAGCCCCACCCCTTCAGCAAGCAGCCCAGTCCCTGCCCTTGCCAATCACCCCAGGGTGACTTTGGGCAGGTGACTCCTGGGGCTCCCTGCTCCATAATCAGCTCTCACCTCCTGCCACCCCAAGCCCAACCTCCCTGGGCTCTTTGGGCTTGCGTCTCCCAGGACCTGGGTCCCCCAGCCCCAGGCCCTGCCCTCACCAGTCATCCCTGGGTGGCTTTGGGCTGGTGACTCCCGGGGCTCCCTACTGCAGACTCTGCCCTCCCCTCCTGCTGCCCCAAGCTCGACCTCCCTAGGCTTCTTGGGCTGGCGTCTCTGAGGACCTGGGTCGAAACCGTGTGTTTCCCTCCCCCATCGTGGAGCAGCGACTCGGGCATCGCGCTGATGTGGTCCCCTCCCCTGGGAGGAGTGGAATGCAATGATGTCACAGTGCCCCTAGGAACTGTCATTACTGCTGCAAGACCAGCCTTTGATCTTACAACCCAGTCCCCTAAGTTTTCTCACCCCATTTCTGGTTCCTCTGGTTGCAGCACAAATTTCCAGCTGGAAGGGGAGTGGAGACTATGGGACCTAGGAGCAAGAGGTTTCAGGCTGCCTTACTCCCTTAACATAGACATTGACAGTGGGAAAAGCCTACACTTCCCCTGTGAGCTCAAAATGTTCACAGTATCTCTGGGTGGCAATGGGAGAATGGGTTTGGTTTGGTTTTTTCCCAGGCTTCTACTTTCCAGAGAGACTTTAACATTTTTTTCTGAGTTCTCCACGGTTCTGGGACCAGACTGCCCTTCAGTCAGTGGCCTCTGAAGTGAGATTTGCTCATCTTCTGTGGAATAGATCTTGGGAAACTGAACTTGACAGCTTGAATCTTCCTCATATCGTCTCAACCTGGGGTACTTTGAGTGCCACAGGATAAATGCGGGACATCTTTCTGAAGCATCATTTTCCCTTGATTCTCTTGAGAAAATGCATTAATGTACTTGGGGGTGACAGACACATAGGTTTCCAAGCGTATACCAGACTTTGCTCTGAAATGAGGCTTGGGTTGTCCTCTTTCTGATAAATTCCCAGATTTAATAGAAAAGCTGCCTTCTGCCATGAGGACACATTGATATGAAAGTGTGAGAGGTACTGGTACGCTTCTTCACGCTAGCAGACCTGTGAGGATGTATGACTCTAAACCACACGGCCTACAGTTCCTGCCTGCTTAATGTGTGCTTTTCTACCTCTGCCCCTGGTTTTGGTCCCTGGAAGCTGCTGATTCATGGCAAAACCCCAGAGCGTGGAGTCAGAGGACTGAGTTTAAGTTCCAGTATTGCCTTTTTTGATCTTTCTTTTTTTTTTTTTTCTATCCATGATATGAATCCCTCTCAGTCACTGATTGTGACAACACCTTGTACGGTTGTTGGTGGCATTACATCAGATGGTATATAAGGGTATTTTGTCAAAACTGTAAAGGAGGATGTGGCTGTAGGGGCTGATCATTCTCATGAGTGTTACTGCTCTTCTTTCCCACAGTTAAAAGCATATTGGCAGAGGAAGAGCCCTGGCATTCCAGCAGGAGCTAACAGGAAAAAGAAAGTCAATGGCAGTAGCCCTGACACAGCCACTTCTGGTGGTTACCACTCACCTGGGGATGTGAGTCTCGGCGGGCCAGGCTCCTGGGGACAGGGGGCCCAAGGGGCAGTAGAGGGTAATTGTTAAGATTGTAGATGGACTGTTGGGTACTGGTTAAGAATTCTGGATTTGAATCCTGCCTCTCCGTCTGCTAAGAATTGATTAGGGATTGATTAGCATATGATTTAGGGCAAGTTGCTTGAGGTCTTTGGGCCTCTCTTTTCACATCTGTATAATAGAGGTGGTATTTTTTGACTTCCATTTGTGAAGTTTAAATGAGATTCGTTATTGTTGCTTTTATGTGAATCCTTAGTACATGGCCTGCTGCAAACACCCAGGACACTGAGGAAATGGTCGTTGCTGTTTGATTTTCCTCATCCCCAGTCTCAAGGGGAAGCCAGGCCAATGAGAAGAGCCACTTGCCATCAGGCTGTCCCTTTAGGAGTCACTGAAAGGGCCCCAGGGTGGGATGGTGGGGAGATAAGAACCACGAGAGAAGTTGGCACAAAGGAGTTATGGGGAAAAGGGTCCAAGATAGGCAGAAAAGAAGCTTTTGCCAGTTGATGGGGGAAGAAAGGAAGTCAGAGGGCTTAGACAGTGAGGGGGGACAGAACATCTCCATGTGCACTCTCATCTCTTGCAGTCAGCAACAGGTATCTACGGGGAGGGCCGTGCATCCTCTACTACCCTGCAGGATCTGGAGGTAAGAGGCCCTGGGCCGAGGTGCAGTGACCCTGCAGGCCAGCCCTCCAACCTCCTCCCACAGCAGGGGCTTGTTGCCCCTCTGCCAGCTGAGGCAGCCCACACACCCCCACCAGCCCTAATGATTATTCTCTCTACCCCTCGCCACAATCTTCCTCCAACTCCTTCTCTCTGCATGCACCTCAGAGCCAGTACCAAGAACTAGCAGTGGCCCTGGATTCAAGCTCCGCAATAATCAGTCAACTCACTGAAAACATCAATTCACTGGTAAGAGTCCAGTGGGGTCCCCTGATTACAGCTGGTCAATCCTGGACTCCAGTTTCCTCTTGGGGCCCTGAAGAAAGGAGCTAGGGGCCCCTGATGCCAAGGGCAAATGGGGAGCTGGGCACCCAGGTCTCACCTGGAGGGACCCCAGAGCACAGAACATGCAGCATGGGTCTTCTGCACTGCCCTCTTTGCTGACTCTCTCTTCTCCAGACACCCCTGCTCTAGTCCTTGCCACACATGCCCTGGGGTTGTCACCTCTCTGGGAAGCACTAGCCTGACTGGTTGTCAGGGGTCCATATTTCTGCCCTGCCTCAGTCCCTAATTTGCTTTTTGAGTCTGGACAAGCCATCTCTCCTCTTTATGCTCGTGTTTCTGGAGGAGGTAGAGAGTATCAAAGGTCTTGGTTAGCTCTGAAAGTCAGAGATTTAAAGGCCCCTAGAATGGAAACCTCAGGGCCAAGGGCTCCTGTCTGTCCTTTGCTGTTTTATATCTCTGCTATGAAGAACTGTACCTGGCCTGTACATGCTCAGTAAATGTTTGTTGAATGAATGCACGTTTCTAAATCACAAACTGGCAGAAGGGGGGTGGGCCTTTCTCAAACTCTGTCTCTGGACGTTCACCAGCCCCTCCCTCCAGGGCCCTTTTCCCCCTTTGCTTTGGGCAGGTTCGCACATCTAAGGAGGAGAAGAAGCATGAGATACATCTGGTACAGAAGCTTGGGAGGAGCTTGTTCAAACTCAAAAACCAGACGGGTAAGATGGGGCTGGCATGACCTGGCAGCTGGACTGGCATTAGAGGGCTGTGGGGGTGACTTAGAATGCCCCAGGGAGGTGGGTGGATGGAAGGGCTTTGAGGCAGAGGGAAAGAGGTCTGTGCCAGGGGAGGACAAGTCTTGTCATCTCCATGAGCCTCAGTGTCCCCATCAGTAAAGAGGGAGGAGTGCCCATTGTCAGCCACCCACAGTGCTCTCTATCTGAAAGTGACTTGGAAGATTGTCTACCATCCGGGTGTGAGGAGTCATTAGCAGTGAGGCCAAGTTTGGGAAGCCTGAGAGGAGGAGCTGTGCACCAAAGGGAGGATTTTTTTTTTTTTTTTTTGAGAATCCAGAGGCCCTTATTCTCTGCTTGCTTTCTCAGCTGAACCCCTGGCCCCAGAGCCCCCAGCAGGGCCATCTAAGGTGGAGCAGCTACAAGATGAGACCAACCACCTAAGGAAGGAGCTAGAGAGTGTGGGAAGACAGCTCCAGGCTGAGGTGGAAAACAATCAGATGTTGAGTCTCCTGAACAGGAGACAGGAGGAGAGGCTACGTGAACAGGAGGAGAGGCTACATGAACAGGAGGAGAGGCTACATGAACAGGAGGAGAGGCTGTGTGAACAGGAGGAGAGGCTACGTGAACAGGAGGAGAGGCTGTGTGAACAGGAGGAGAGGCTACGTGAACAGGAGGAGAGGCTACGTGAACAGGAGGAGAGGCTACGTGAACAGGAGGAGAGGCTACATGAACAGGAGGAGAGGCTACATGAACAGGAGGAGAGGCTGTGTGAACAGGAGGAGAGGCTACGTGAACAGGAGGAGAGGCTGTGTGAACAGGAGGAGAGGCTACGTGAACAGGAGGAGAGGCTGTGTGAACAGGAGGAGAGGCTACGTGAACAGGAGGAGAGGCTGTGTGAACAGGAGGAGAGGCTATGTGAACAGGAGGAGAGGCTGTGTGAACAGGAGAAGCTGCCAGGGCAGGAGAGGCTGCTGGAAGAGGTGGAGAAGCTGTTAGAACAGGAGAGGCGGCAGGAGGAGCAGGAGAGGCTGCTGGAGAGGGAGAGGCTGCTGGACGAGGTGGAGGAGCTCCTGGAGCAGGAGAGGCTTCGGCAACAGGATGAGAGGCTGTGGCAGCAGGAGACTCTGCGGGAGCTGGAGAGGCTGCGGGAGCTGGAGAGGCTGCGGGAGCTGGAGAGGATGCTGGAGCTGGGGTGGGAAGCCCTGTACGAGCAGCGGGCCGAGCCACGCAGCGGCTTCGAGGAGCTGGTACGTTGCCCCACCTGGGGAGGCTGCCCTCTTCCCTAGCCCTCAAGGCCTTTGTTTCCCCACCTGTAAAATGGGGCATTGTAGCCTTCACATGAAATGGTACTTCTAAAGGCATCTGTGAGCCAGAGCCCCGCTCTGATGGCTGTGGGAGAGAGGGGATATTTTTCTAACCTGCCTCCACCCTTCCCGGTGCCATGGGAGGCAGACACTAAGTTCTGGGGTCTCCAGTTTTAGTGGGTGGCCACTGATTGCTTCTCTCTGTCCAGAACAACGAGAACAAGAGCACACTGCAGTTGGAGCAGCAAGTAAAGGAGCTGGAGAAGTCGGGTGAGCTGAAAGAGACTGTAACCTCTGACCCATCCAAGAAGATGTGGGAGGCGGGCACCAGCCTCTGGGGAGGGGAGGTGCCAGGCCACAGGCAGCTGCAGCCTGGGGACAGGTGACCCCAGCACCCTCCGGGGCAGTCCTATGACTGTTTCTTGCTTCCTGCCCTCTGACTTTTAGAGGTGGGTAGCCCTGGGGCCCTCCCAGGTCTGGACATCATCATCATCCCAGCTAGAGGCATGGAGCCCCCCAATCACAGAGGAAGAGACAGTGGTATAAGAGGCTCCTTATGTCGGGTGTGGTGGCTCACGCCTGCAATCCCAGCACTTTGGGAGGCTGAGGCAGGACAATCACTTGAGGTCAGGAGTTTGAGACCAACATGGCCAACATGGTGAAAGCTCATCTCTACTAAAATTAAAAATAATAATAATAATTAGCCGGGCCTGGTGGTGCATGCCTGTAATCCCAGCTACTCAGGAGGCTGAGACACGAGAATCACTTGAGCCCGGGAGATGAAGGTTGCAGTGAGCTGAGATTGCACCACTGCACTGCAGCCTGGGACACAGAGTGACACTCTCTCAAAACAAAACAAAACAGAAAAACAAAAAAGACTCCTTAGATTCAAACTGGATTCCGGCCTCGGTTCCACTGGTCATAATTCAACTACTTTGCATCTCTAAGTCTCTGTTTCTTTAACTTCAAAAGGAAGTTAGCCTTTTCCTTGCAGAGGTGCTGAGGATTAAATGAGATAATACGTGGAAACATTAGGCATGTAGCACACTTAGCAGATGGTGGTTGGCTCCGCCTGCTTTTCCACCAGTCTGTGGCCTACAGTTTACATGCTGGGAAAAAGGACGTGAGATTTGATGCTAGGGAAGGAGGCATGGGGTTCTAGGCAAGGGAGACAGTCTCTTAGGCCTGGAGCAAGGGGCCAGGGGCCTGGGCAGGCCACAGAGCCCCACAGTGCCCTCGCTACCCTATTAATGGGCCAGGAATCTGGAAGCCAGCCACCACATGTCCTCATGCCCAGGGTCTTCCGGCAGGTGGAGCTGAAGAGCCAAGAGGCTCCGAGTCTGCAGCAGCAGCCAGACCAGTACCTGGAGCCCCAGTCCCACAAGGAGCTTGGATGTGCGGACAAGCAGGGTGGTGAGTAGAGCCCTCAGGCGGGGTGGGCAGGCAGGAGCAGGGGAGGCTCGCACTGTGCCCAGATTCCCACCCCCTCCCTCTCTCTGAAGATCTTAGTGAGCTGAGCCTCACTGATAGCATGGAGGCTGCACCGGGAGAGGACAGGGAGGGTTCTCCCCCATGACAACCCCACTGCACAGCAGATCCAGCAGCTGCTTCCTCTAATGCAGGACTCCCCAGGAGCACCCAGGCTTGAGTGGAGAAGCTGTTGGTACAGGAGAGGCGGCAGGAGGAGCAGAAGAGGCTGCATGCCATTCTTTTCGGGCTGCGGAGAACAGGGAGCTAAACATCACCATCATCTAAGAGCGGGTCAAGAAATTGAAAAAAAAAAAAAACAAAACATTTAAGGGGTTAATATCCTACACAATTCATTTACTTCATTTGAATGTTAGAGCCACTTATGTTTATTTGTGTTTCTAATTTATAGTTTAAATTTGTGTTTCTAATTTATAATTTAAATTTATTTGTGTTTCTAATTTATAGTTTAAATTTATTTGTGTTTCTAATTTATAATTTAAATTTATTTGTAAAAAGTTAAATGAGAGTGGGTCTTTCTCTCATGTTCACTCTGGCATCTTTTAGCATTTTTTTAATTTGATAATTATAGGACGTTAGCATGCATATCGAGTTTGCCCTTATGTGGTGGGAGTTCAAACACACAAAGACCCACTGTATGCACACAACTGTTCTTGCTGGTTTGGGATAGGCTGCCATGCTTTTTTAATGTTAGTACAGCCTGTATATTCATTACGGAATTCAGATAAAATTTCCTTATGTTCTGCTGTTATGTTTGATCGAATCCTAATCACAGTGAGCTCTTCATTAGCTCAATATGTGGTTTGCCCTCAAGTGCGCGGTCTATTACTTTGTAATATGCCACTGTGAGTACTGACATTTACAGTTGTTTAAAGGTGGAGCACTGGAAACAGCCTTTCCCCCTTTTTCTGTGTATTGGGGATGGGAGTAATAACATTTTGGGGAGGTTTTTAAATCTCCCAGAAGAGGAAAGTGGCCTGCTTTGGCAGGTGTGTGCAGGATAGAATATGTTTCATTTGTTCCGGTGCCAAGAATGAGCGCTGTACTACGGTAGTTCCCTTAGGATTTGTATGTGCTCTGGGCTCATGAAGATACTGCCTCATGAGCTGTGGCAGTTGTACTCTTTTTTGATGACCTGAAAAGGGATTATTTCTGAGGAATGAAAGGCTCCCATCATGACTGTGGATGTGGAAAACCTTTTCTAGCTGAGAGCATTTATATCTACAATACATTTTAAAGTCAGAGTTCATGTTCCCTGTTTTAATCACATGACTACATGTCCCAGTACACAAAAGGGCACTGGTTGGCGTTCTCCTTAATGTATTTAGTAAAGATCAGAAGAAATCCTTTAAGAGTTTAAATGCCCCTGGAACAGGCATATACAGGCTCTAGTCAAGAATGAATTCGAGTGAAGGAAAGCTGTGTGACACCTGGCATTCCTCTGTGTTCATGGAGCTTATTTGAGGCTAGAAGATGGATTTTACCATCTAGACCTCTCTGGCTAATAGCTAGTCTTCAACCATCTGACATAGGAATTTACTTCTTTTCCTTGAATGGAGAACACTTTAAAAATAATAACAAACATTATTATAAACTAATATATGTGAGAGTACTTAGTTGAAACAAAAAGGAGTTTTAGTAGACAGTATTATACTACATTTGAAAATCAAGGAGCAGTTTATGCAACGTAAAATGTTTACAAACTGCAGCGCAATCTACTGTTTGTGACTGTCAAAGTGTCATGAGGAAAGTGTCTATACAATCACAGAGTTATATTTCCTCACAAAGTTCTTTACGAAGAGTGAAATATGTTTTTATACCTCTCAGTTTCAGTTAGAGGCATATTTTGTGTAATATTTATGGCTTAAAATGGACTAAAGGTCCTGTTCTTGCCTTGTCTGAACTTGCCGCTTTTGCATTCTTTGAGTTCAGTTTAAAGACACTTACTTTAACTCCATTTTAAACCCTCGGGCTAGAAATCGTACCACTGTTAATTAGCCAAGTTATTTGGTCTAACAGTTTTTGTTTATCATTCTGAAACTGAGCTTATCTAATACATTGATAAATTATTTCAAAGGTATTTTTATAGTTCAAATCGCTTCACTTTTACCCTGACACGTATAAATGACTAGGAATGACCTTCAGATAGCGTTTAGCAACTGTAACCAATCTGACAATAATGTGTTCATCAGGTACCTGTGGATTAAATCACATACTGGCATATTTAAGATGAATGTCAGTCTGAAAAATAAATATACTATATTAATTCAAATACGACTCTTTGTGTAGGTATTTTGTCATATGTTTAAGAAAAAGCTAAAGAGAATGGAAATCCTATGACAATAACTCAAGTCTTTCTTCAAAGTGCATGCAGTCTTTTGCAGTACCTCATTCAGCCAAGTATTTGTTCTCTACCTCATTCAGTATAAGGCAGCCTTTAATTTGCTTAGAAGGCAACATTAGAAGGTTAGAGTTCAGCAGGAACATAGAATTTTAAAATGTGACTTCAACTGAATAAATTTGAATTTCTGTAGGGAGTAAAGAATCAAAACACCTATTTAAAGACTGCAAAATATGATAATTATTTTTAAAGTAATTGATTAAACCTGGTAGGTTTTCCCAAAATGAAAAACAATCAGTTCTAAAACCAAAGCTGATTTTTAGAAAATGTGAAAATGTAAATCAACCCTATCCATAATAGATTCTCTAAAACTTTATCTTACAGTCACTTTCAAATAACTATTCAAAAATGTAACTGCTATATTAACGTCTTAAAATAATTTAAAACATTTTAAAATATGAATACTGTAGTTTAAAACAAAGAATCTAGGGGAAGGAAAAGTAGACAAAGAAATGCCAATTCCAGTCCAAAGCTGTATTTGCCAAGTTTTCTTAGAATGACTTTTACCGATTTATGAATTCTTATACACAGAATGCATAATGGAAATACTGATTTTTGTCTAAAGTGGCATTATTGACTGCTGCTGTGATGCTACTGTAATGTAATACATTATTAAATTGTTTCAAGGTGCTGTTTTGCCTAAAAATTTTGTGTGTCTTGAAAACTATAGTATTGGGTATTGAGACTCTGCAAATTCTCGGCATGCTTGGCATGAGGTAATCGGTTTTTATTCTTACAAAATTGTAACTATGTAAGTGTGTTTATTAAAAGAACACAAACTAAAAAAGTTAACAGGAATTAAAGTTGTGGGATGAAAAAGTTACAGGATAAAAAAATACTGTGGAAAAGTGGCAAAAAAAAGTTGTGGAAAAAAAGTAAAAAAAAAGTTTTATGAAAAGTTATTTTAAAAAGTTATGAAAAATTAGTTACAGGATTTAAAAAAAGTCATGGGATAAAAATAAAAATAAATAAAAGCAGGCCCCTGTCAGCATAAGCCTGGAGAAGTGGGTCTGGAGTCTTCACCCCCACCATGTCCCTACAACCCCTCCCCAGTCAGCCCTTTACCATTAGGGTAGCAAGACAAGACCCCTGTCTAATGGAGGGAGACAAACAGACCCTTTACCACCTTGACCAAGGCTGAGTCCTTACATTTCTGGATGATGATGTTTGTTATTTAAGAGCCAGAGGTTGGTGGAGTTGGTTTGTTTGGAGGAGGTCTGACGGCCTTCTTACTCTCACCAAAGCAACTTTTCCCTCAGGGGGGCTCCCATCTTCTTACTCAGAGAGGCAGCTGAGGCGGGACAGTGGAGTTAACTGTAGACCAGGCCAGGGCACAGGCTGCTGGGGGTGGCCCCCCTTCCCCCGTGTACATACTGTAGCTGTGTAACATTCTGTATTGTACCTAGCGGAGGTTGCAGCTGGCATATGAGGAAGAGGTTCTTATAATTATTCGCGGCTGGGAAACTTATTCATTGTTAGCATAGGAGCGATGATGGGGGTGGGGATGGCGTCATGGCTCCCTGGTGATGGGACCCCTTTTTTGTTTTGTTTTGTTTTTTTGTTTTTGTTTTGGTTCGCTTTTGATTTTGGAATAAATGGATTTAGCCATACTGCTCGGCCTGGCATGTTCCTGTTTCCCTCACTGGGTCCTGCAGTTTTTCCCACTCAATGAGGAGCCCCAGAGTGTCTCAGCATGTCCAGCTGGGCTGTGGGGAATCTTCCAGGCCTGTTACCTGTATGCTGCCTGGTGATACCTGGTGGATTTCACGAGGACTGCCATGGCGCCTCTGGAGTATAGTCCGGCCCTGAGAGCCAACAGGTTGAGAAGCCTGATCTAGCTGTGGTCAGGAAGACAGATACCAGTGCCCAAGGGCACTGACTTCCATCCACCCCACGTGTCTTCCATTCCGTCCCCCTGCCTCCCTCTCCTGTCTGCACCGGGTGGCCTGTCTGTCCCTCCAGAGTGCCGGCTGCCCCACAGGCTCCTTCCAGGCTGAGTTCAGGGCCCTGTGCCCTACTGGCCAGAGCCGGCTTCACAGAATAAGAGCCAGCTAAGCTCCAGGGACTTTCCAGGAAAAGTGTCCCTTGAAAAGGGTGTGACCTTTTCACTGCTGCCAACAGCACCCTAAAAATGGCTTGGCCTCTTCCCTCCCCTGAGCTCTATAGAGAACACAGCCAGCAGAGGACACATTCTCTGTCATTCAGAAATGGGTTTCTCAGCCGAGGGACAGCAGGACTGGTAGAGACTGTCAGGCCACACAGCTGCCTGCACAGCACCGCCATGCTTGGCCAGAAGGGCGGGAGGGATGGCGGGGGCTGGCTGTCCATAGGCCGCGCATGTCCCGGAAGCTCACTGGAGGTGGTGCACTTTGGAGGGGCGATGTCAGGAGACAGCTTCCTCTTGCTGGGCTACAAGACTCCACAAGCACAGCACGGGGACTGATTCCCAGTGCTAGAGGCGAGGCAGTCGACCACATGTATATGTGTATATATATATATGTGTGTGTGTGTGTGAGTTTGTGTATGTGTATATATATGATAATTTATAGCTATTTATAGAACAGGGCAGGGGCATACCACAGAGGGGGCACAAGTTTTCAGCAACGGTCACACCTGGATGTGTCAGCTCACCACTACAACAGACTAAGTCACAGAAGAAGGGGGCTGGCTTTGGGGCTGGGGGAGCCACTGTCAAGTCACAGGACACCCACCCAGGCAGGCTTGGAAAGGGAGGTCTCTGAGAAGAGGAGGAATCTGTTTAGAGGTCGAAGTGGGGCCTGGGGCTCCCCGGATGGGATGGACTTGCCTGACCCAATCAGCTGGCAGTTGGAGAGAAAGCAGAGAGAAAACGGGTTAGAGAAAAGCCAGAGCTGGTGAGGCAAGTGCAGAGTATGGGTGCGCTGCAGCAGCTGTGGAGGGCCGGGGAGGGGAGGGCGTAGGTGTGGGCATGGCAAGGTTCCTGGAAAAGAGGGGCTGGAAGGGAAAGGGGAGGGAGATGGAGGGAGAAGCCAGAGCTTCATAGGTAGTGCCTGGGGACTGCGGCGGCCCTCCCCACCCCACACACGCTGGCCTCTTTCATGGCACCCAGGCAGTCCACCCATAGTTCAGACGAATGCTCAGCCCCCTCGGGCTTCTCTCTTCTCTGGTCACCCTGTCTTCCAACTCACGGCCCAGGGCCACCTCTTGCTTGGGGAGCCCCACCCAACAGCCACCAGGCCTGATAGAAAGGGAACACTGCTTAAACCAAAAATGGTGAAGCTATAAGGGATGGATGACTGGAGTGAGTGCCAGAGGCCCCTCTGGGTGGTCCAAAATCCCAGGGTCCTCTGAAGGGACCCTGGGGAAGGCAGGGAGGGCAGGTAGCTGGATGCCACTGGCCATAGACTTATAAGTCTAAGAGGGGAGCCTCAACTGGTTGGCGGGCGTGGGGCTGCAGGTTGCATAGGTGAGGCTGGGCCCTTCCTGCTGGGAAAAGCAGAAGAGGGAGAGTCCATGGCAGGAGAGGCAGGTGGGCTCGCTAGGCGGAGCTCAGCTGGGCCAGCAGGCACTGTGGTCCCCTTGGCTGAATAGCACAGGCGACCCCTAGGAGCAACAGGCCAAGGTGTGTGAGCCTGCTGGTCGGCGATAGTGATTCAGCGGGGGCCAGGGACCCTGCCTTCGGTCACACACTAGCAGCTATGGTGGTACCTGGGAGGGAGGGAAGGGGGCTGTGTGTCCCCGCCTGGCCTGTGGAGTGTGGAGTGTGTTGTGGGATGACCGTGTGTATGGGACTCTCACCTAGATACCACTGGATTGCCGACAGATAGATGAGGTGGGGCCCTGACTATCAGCCCTGCTTTGCAGTGGATTTGGCTCTCAGCACTCCCAGGCTGGGAGCTGGATACCTGCCCTGGCAGCATGACTGAGACTGCACGACAGGTATGGCATGCCCAGGATGATGTTCCTAGGGACTGGTTCAGTGTGTGGGTCAGGAGCAAGTCGACAGGCCCTGCTCCTTACCCCTTGGAAGGGACTGCCACCAGGGGCAGTTCTGACTAAGGCCTGGGAACCCATGACTCAGAGCGTGGGTCCCCAGGTCTTGCTGGGCCAGCCTGGCTGCTGCAGACAGACAGGAAGCACGTCTGACGCTCCTCCACCCTCGGTCAGCACAGCGGGGCTGGGACTCACGCTAGCCTTCCCAGGAACTTGCTTTCCTGCGTGAACTCTGGCAGGCTGCCCTCTCTGTGCAAAGCCATAGCTGGGGCCTGCTTGGGGCCCTCTCCCTCTTTCACCTGCTCAGAGTGGCCTGGAACTTGGAGGTGGGCAGTCGGCGCCTAGGATGGGCCTGTGTCACTAGGGCATGTGTCCTTGGGCCAGTTACTTCCTCTTAGGGCCTTGGGCTCCTCCTCTGAGAATGGGGCGTGTTGGTGTGAAATGAGGTGAGCATGTTGATTTGAGGAGCAGCAGGACAGACACCTGCAGGCAGCCCCCCTGGCCACATTCCCCTCCCTCCCTTCCAAGTCCTGGGACAGACGCTCTTCACCAAGGGGTTCAGCCTCTGATGCTCTTTCTTGGTCTCAGTCCCTAAGGAGTAATTTTTTTTCTTTTCTTTTCTTTTCTTTGAGACACAGTCTCCTCCCTCTGTCGCCTAGGCTGGAGTGCAAAGGCGTGATCTCAGTTCACTGCAACCTCTGCCTCCCAGGTTCAAGCGATTCTTCTTCCTCAGCCTCCCAAGTAGCTGGGATTACAGGTGCCCACCACTGCACCCGGCTAATTTTTGTATTTTTAGTAGAGATGGGGTTTCACCACATTGGCCAGGCTGGTTTCAAACTCCTGACCTTAGGTGATCCGCCCACCTCAGCCTCCCAAAGTGCTGGGATTACAGGTGTGAGCCACCGCGCCCAGCCAGGAGTGATTTTCAGTGGTGTCCTCTCCATCCCCAGCATACACCCAGCCCTGAGTGGCTGCGGCTGCCACATGCAGGCTCCAGGGCTACATTTGCCTTTCGTCCAGGGTTGTCATACGCTGGAGAGTAGAATGTGAGAGGTGACCCCTGTAGGCTGCAGGGTGGCCTCTCTGAACCTTAGTGTCCCCCACCTGTAGAAGGGGCGTAACACCTTCCAGGGGGAGGGCTGAGGAGGAAATTGTCAACGGCTGAGTCTAAGGCTCACAGCCAGAGGCCAGGGTCGGATCCAGGGCTGGGCCTGGGCCTGGGAGGACAGTGTCCGCCCCTTCTCCAGCCTCCCGCCCCTGGTCAGGCCAGGACCCTCTTCAAAGCACCTTCATGCCCATCTGTTCCCTGCTGTGGGCACTACTGTCTGGCTCCATGGGACTAGATTTTATGGGAGGGGAAGGGGCTGTGGGTAGGCAGGTGCCAGGTGCTGGACCATAGATCAGCATGGTAGGAACCTGTTGCTTGGGCTGGTGGTGGGAAAGGGGCCAACCCAAGGCAGTGGCAATTAGCCCAGCCCTATCTCTGGGCACAGAGATGAAGGGACACGTGGGGACACAGTAGGGCAAAATTGGCCAGCCTGCTCTTCCCCTCTCTGCCCGCTTTTTGCAGAAGAGTCAACAGATAGAACAGACAGAGCCAGGGAGGTGCCCATGGGGGCCCCAGTCCCCACCACTCCAGGGGGCAGTCCCTGCAAGTGACAAGGTGGGCTCAATCCCTGTGGAACAGGTCTCTGAGGACCACAGAGTGGGGCCCCAGGGAAGGCTGGGAGCCTGAGCTGAAGGCAGGCAGCAAGTAAGGGCCAAGCTGTGCCCCTGCCCAGAAGACCTTCCTGCCCCCAGAACCCCACCCTCTGCAGACAGGCCTCCCTGGGCAGCAGCCCCCTGGCTTCCGAGGCCTTCCGTGCCTCACCAGATGCCATGCTCTCAGGGACTCGTTTGCTACGCTGCCCCCTGCAGATCTGCCCCAGAGGAGCAGGTGAAAAGCCGCGCCTGCCGAGGTGCTGCAGCGGTGGAGTTTTGGGCAGAGGGGTCGGGGGAAGAGTTTCTCACTTTTAAGATTCCCCAAATCCAAGATGAAGTCACACTGTGCTTTAGAATGGTAGATGCTCATTTATGTAAAATCATAATAAATGTTACACAAACTGTTAGAATAAAAAAATACCTTTTTCGAGGGGGAGGAGCTCCCCAGCCTGCCGCTGGGTAGTGAGAGGGGGTTAGCACCATTAGGGCGTAGGGGGCGGGAGCTCCGCCACAGCCCGTGGTGGGCACTGAGGTCTGTCGGTCGGTCTGTGCATCCTGGCACCGTCAGTGGCGGGTGACCCGCTGATGGCCTCGGGAGGGGGAGCCGTGGCTGGGCGGAGAGCACGAGCGGCAGCACTGGGTGCGGACGGTGGGCAGCTGGCAGCGGCCCAGTAGGCGCAGTGTCTCACAGAACCCGAAGGACAGGCGGTCCCGCTCACAGCCTGGAGTGGGGGGTCAGAGAGGCATCAGAACCAGTGGTTTGGGGTATCCAGAACCTGGCTCCCCACCCCAACCACCTCAAGGAGGCTCCAGCAGCTCCCCACCAAGCAGAGAGCCCCAGTTTCTGGAGCGGCTCCCAAACTGGACTTGCAGGTCTCCAACTGTTGGTGTCTCTGTCCCACCTACTCACGGCCGACCCCAGGACTCGAGAACGGGCGCTGCTGGGCTGAGGTTTCTGGAGGAAAGGTCCTGAGACCGCACCCTGACCCCCTCACATGCCTGTTAAAGAGCCTGCCCAGGGCGACGCCCTGCCATCCCATCTCCATCCTTGCTCACCCCTGGTGTTCCCCGACAGATCCTGGCACAGAACTGCGGTCCCGGGGCCTCCTGCCAACCTGCAGCGGCCTCTGCCCCCGACTCCCGCCACCGCCCCCTGCCCCAGTGCATCTGTCCTGCCAGACCTCCGTGACCACCTCCAGCCACAGGGGCTGTACTCAGCCTCGGGTTCTGAGTCACAGGTCGCATCTCCCAGGCCAGCCTCCCACTTCTCAGGTGGGCCACGAAGCCTAGAGTGAGTGGGCCCTACAGGCTGTCAGCGGAAACCAGGGACTAAGCCCAGGCCCAGTGGGGAGGGAGGCCGGCTGCAGGCTGTGGTTGTCAGGGCTGAGGCTTGGCTGGGCCCTCCTGCCCCGTGGTTATCAGAGCTATTTTGGGAAGTGGCTTGTCTCCAGCCTCCTGGCCTTGCTCCTGATGCCACTGCCACTGCTGACAGCCCCCACCTGCCGCCTGGGCCCTGCTTACTCCAGCAGACCTCCCTGGGGAGGAAGAGCAGGAGGACAGCAGCCAGCCCTGTGCCAGGGACATCCCTCAGGCCCGGCAGAGGGCACGAGGCAGCAGGCAGGCTCCTCCACCCCAGCTCCAGGCAGAGCTCCAAAGTGCACATCTGCAGGCCTGCATCCTGGTCGCCCGGGGTGACCTCAGACAAGCTGCTTCACCTCTTGGGCCTTGGTTCCCTCCTCTGTCAACCCCACCTCCACAGCAAATGGATGTGGCCATGCTGTGTCACTGCAGCGACCGCACACTCTGGAGTTTCCTGGCTTTCCCCCGTCCCGCCAACTGTCCCACAGACCAGCAAAACATCCTGGGAATTCCAGGTCTCAAAGTCCAAGACACCTTCCCAGCTGCCCCTCCACTGTTCACTGGTGGCAGAAAACTCCTCACTTAGGACAGCTTCTAGTTCAGCCACCTAACCAGCCCCCATAGCCCACTCCCTGCAGCCCACTCATACCCGCCCCTGGGAGACCTTACAAGCCCAGAGCCTCCTGGGCCATCTGTCCTTGGTTCTAGGCCCCCAGGGGCCTCAGTTCCTGTTCTCTGCTCCATCTGGTCCTCATCCCCTGGGATCATAACCACCCCACTCCCTGTGGCCAGCTCTAGCCATGAAGGCGAGAGATGTGATGCCAGCACCCAGCTCAGGCAGCACACAGGAGTGCTCTGAGATGCTGGCTGGGTGCGTGCTGAGGGCAGGCAGGACAGGGTGGGGGCACTGCCACTTGGCCTTGAGGTAATGGGGTTTGTGGCAGGAAGGCCACCCCTGCCAGAGGCAGGGTAGCAAGGCATGGCAGCGAGGCATGGCAGGGGCCACTCTGAGCCCAAATGAGGGCTGCCCAGGAGCCAGCGCAGGTAGAGAAGGCGCATTGGATAAGGGGAGAAGGCAGACTGGGGAGACTGCAGGGGGCCCCGAATGCCAGTTTGAGGGCCGTGGCTGAGGACTCTGTCCTAGGGTCAGGGGGCAGACAGCCAATAGCACAGGGGCCGCAGCTCTTCAGGCCACAGCTCCTGGATTCCTTAGACTGGCAGGGTCAGCCCCAGGCCCTCTCCCTGACCTTGCAATGGGGGATGACAGTGGCTTTGCGGGAGGGGAAAAAGCCGCCTTCCCTGAGCACCACCTGGATCCCCACGCAGTGCTGTGCCCTTCATGCCCAGACCTCACTTATGCAAGGATGGGGCTTGGCAGCCCCTTTATTCAGCACATGAAGGCCCTGAGAGGGAAATGGAGCCCAAGGCCACACAGCTGGTGAGGGGAGCCCAGGTGACACTCCAGGGCCACCCCATTTCCTGCCCTCAGCACTGCTGAGAGCAGCTGGGGCTGCAGGAAGTGTGTGAGTGTGTGTGTGTGTGTGTTGGAGGTGGGGGGTTGGGATATCCAGAACCACCTCTAGCTCAGGCCCTTCCACCAGGACCCAGCTGGCCAGGAAACCCCCCACCACTGGGATTAGCAGGACCCTGGAAGGGAGGCCCTTCCTGTGGTTCCATTGCTCACTCTAGGCAGTCCTCTGGCCAGGGAATGGACAGGCTAGGGCTGGGGAGGGGACAGGGACTCACCCAGGCCCAGTTTTCACACAGCTTCAGGGACATCCCTGGTCTCACTATGGGAATACTGAGACCCAGAGGGGAAAGAGCTTACCCAGGTTCACACAGCAAATCAGGGGCCAAGGCCACTCCCTCTACTCACCGGAGGTCAGAAAGCTGCCTGCGGGATGTTGTGTAGCTGGGACTTCTCTTGACTGACTCCCAGCACAGCCAAGCCTCCAGCATGGGATCCTGTGGCATCAGGATTTTCAGTGGCTCCTGAGCCCAGACTACAGATGGAGCCAGCCGGTGCCGTGGGTGCAATGGTTTGAAGACCCAATTTCCCCATCACCCTTCCCGCCCCACCTCACTTCAGCAGAGAGCTTGGGGTCGGGGGACTCACGGGGAGGCTCGACGGGCTCACAATCCTCGGTGCCACACAGCCGGGAGCTCACAAGGCCAGGCCTCGTGGCCACACTGGTCACTGTCTTCCTCGGGTAGCCCCGTCTGGGTGTTGACACACTTGACCAGTGTGTGACCACTGGATGCCACCACCACAGGGGCCTGAGCACTGGGGGGAGCAGGGGAGGAATGAGTGTCTCCAGGGCCAGCCCTAGCAGTGGGGGCAGGGACACCTCCTCTGGGAAGCCGTCCCTGCGCCCTGTGCCTGACTGGCCTGCCCTTGCTCCCAGCCGCCCTCTCAGTGCCTCCTGGAGGACCTGTTCCCATTCCTAGAGCCCACTTGGTGCTGGAACCCCACTCTCACTTGTGGGATCGGCTGCTGCAGAGGGAAGGGGCATGAGAACCATGGGACAGCCCTTGGGGCGGCAGGGCAGTGAGCCCCTCACACGGGACATGACTGAGAGGCCTGGGCAGGGGCCCCGGGATGGAGCCCTGATGCAGCAGTGAGCAGAGACGTGGGCGAGACACCGCTGTGCCCGAGGGACAGGGCAGAGGACCTGCCGCAGCCCATGGGCAGGAGGGGTGGAGACAATTTCACAGCCGGGGCCCAGCCCGCCAGGCTTTGTTGTTAACAGGTGCAGGTCTGAAAGCCCTAAACATGTGCTGAGTCTGTGCCAGTGTCGTGCTGTGCCCGGCCCTGTGCTTTGTTGCGTTCCTCCATTTAATCCTCCTGACCCTCCTCTCCCAAAGCGTCCCAATTTTACAGATGAGAAAACTGACCCAGCAAAGCAAAGCAACCTGCCCAGAGTCACTCAGCAGCCAGTCGGACAGACTCAAACGCTGGCCCAGCTGACTCCCGGACCCAGCTCAGGGCCCAAATCTGAGATTTCTGAACCCCTCAGTTCCAAACAGGCCCAGCAGAAGGTGTCCTGCCCATACGAGGCCCCTCTTCTGCCCCCTTCTGCCGCTGGCCTTTGCTGGGCTCCCTGATCTCCCCAAGCTCATCATTCCTGCCTCAGACTTCACACCTGCTGTCCCCTCGATCCCTGTCCTTGGCATCACTGACTCCTCCCTCGGGTCTCAACCCCAGACCCCTCCTCGGAAGGCCTTCCCTGACATCACAGCACACATGCCCTTTCCTTGTCTGTTTCTCCCTGTCAGGTGTGAGCACCAGCATGGCAGGGCTTTGTCCAGTGACTGCTGCATGTGCAGGGGCCACAGACAGCCTGGCTCACAGCACACACTCCACAGCTCCTTCACCCAACCCAGGACTGACCAGGCGCTACCAAGCACTTGCTCCCTGCTCCCCCCCGCAGCCTGGCTCACCTGGCCCCAGGGCCCCACCACCCACTGTGTGCAGGGGTGGGTGTTGCAGGGCCGGGTGGTGTTGGGTCTCAGTGCCTCCTCGCAGAGGTCTGGCTCTGGGCAGGTCACCAGACGCTGCTGCTCACCACCGCCACAGGCCTCGGAGCACTGGGTGGGCAGGGAAGGAGTCAGGGCACAGCCAGGGTCTGAGGGTGTCCCCTCCCCCCAACTCAACGCCCAGGCCTCACCTCCCTCCAGGAAGACATGTACCAGCTGAGGCAGGGCTGGGCCCCGCAGGGCCAGTGCACAGGCAGCTTGGCAGGTCCAGGCTGACAATGGAAGGGCCACAGTGGCCAGAGGGCCCATGTGTCCACATGCTGCATGTCCCACACTGAGGAACCTCTGCCACAGCTGTGGGAGCACTGGGGACCGAGAGACTTGTGTGGACACATCCCCACGTGCAGGCCCACAGGCGTGACCCCGTGAGGCGTGTGGCAGGAAAGGCATCAGACCCACGCCCCAGCCGGGGGCAAATCCCTGAAGAGCCCCAGCGAGAGGCCAAGGCTGGCAGGCCCCAGGCAAAAGGTGGCATGGCCAGGGGCTGCCATGGGCTGGGACAGACAGAGAAAGGGAGGAACAAGTCCAGATGGGGTCAAAGATACAGAGGAAAGGAGACAGGCCAAGCCAGACAAAGATGAGATGACTCCCAAGAGATTCGGAATCCGGTGCGATCAGGCACATAGACATGCAGCCTGGAGCCCTCCCCTTCCCTGCCGCTCTCGGAACACAGGCCGTGGGGAACCAGGGCTCCACCCCATGCCCTGGGGATGCCTGTCCTGGCTCCATCCTCATGCACCTTACTCCAGTTGCCTGAGTGCCAGGTGGCACAGGGCCACAGGTGGCAGCGGCGGGCAGGCTGGGGCCGGCCAGCGGGGTCGCAGTCCTCATCCCGGCTGGAGCTACAGCACACCGGCCTCCAGAGGGCACCCAGGCCACAGGTGGTGGAGCACTGCGGGGCACAGACCCGTGAAAGCCAGGCAGAGCCCATCCTCGCCAGGCCTCCACAGCCAGGAAACTACCCACCTAGGCTAGCAAGACCTCAGCAAGACAGGGGCCCTCTTCTGGGCCTCAGTTTCCTTATTTGCAAAATAGGCTCCTCCACCCACCTCCCAGGAAGACCATGAGAATGAAAAGTCAAATCCCCCCAGCAACCAGCCGTCCCTGCTCACATGGGACAAAGGGCCTGTGTGCCAGTGTCATTGGTGCAGAGGTTCGGGGGAGGAGACCCTGTGGGCACCCCTGACCAGCTATCCTGACCAGCCTCGTCGCTTCCCAGAGGCACCAGGGAAGGAAGGCTGGGTCCTGGTACCAGCAGCCAAATCGCTGCCTATCCCCGCGCAAAACAAGCCCTGTGGGCCTCAGCCTGCCCCTTCCCACCCCAAAATTAGGAATCTGAACAGAAGCTTGCTTCTCCTGCAGTGACCATCTGGGGACCCAGGGAGGGGGCACTAGCCAGCTTCTTTCATGCAGCTCAGACGTCTGCAGGTCACTGCCAAAGGAGGGTGGAGCCACTGAGGGCAGAGCCAGGTAGCAGTGGGCTGAGTCCAGCCTGGAGGAGCCAGACAGAGCCTCAGGGAAGCTGCTGCCTGCTGGGCAGGACTGGGCCTGGTGGCCACACAGGGACCCTCCCCACTGCACAGCTGTCTGAGCCAGCTCCATCCTGGGGCATGCTGTGCTGCCAGAGTGTGCCTGCCCCTGCCTTCCCTGAGGCCCCCTGTGCTGCCCAGGAATGGGCCCCAGGTCCCCTCATTCCCCTAATCCTGGGAACCCCCGCCCCAAGGAAGGCGAGACAGACGGCGCCTGCGTCCCACTCTGCTCATTTTCAGATGAGGAAATAGTCACCAAGGTCCTGCGCAAACTCCCTGCCCGCCCAGCCCACACCACTTGCCTCGCTCCAGTTTCCCACTTGTCAGCCGGCGTTCCTGACAACCAACGGGTCCGTGGGGGGCCCCGCTTCAGCCAGGCTGGGAGGCAGTGGCTGGGTCTCAGGGGCTCTGTGGCTGTTGGCGGGGCTGTCCCAAGCTGGCATGGACAGCAGCCTAGAGCTCAGGGGCACCTCAGGGCTGAGGGACTCAGGCTGACCCTTGGGTCCTGGGTTCAGGGCAGGCTCAGGCGTGTGCCCGAGGCCAGTCAGGGTTGTGGGGAGGAAGGTCCCCCACACTGCCACAGTCTGCAGGTCCCATGAGCCTGGTCCTGGGGTTGGGAAGGTGGAAGTCCCCGGCTGCAGGGGACTGTCCTTGCCCTTCATCTCTGGCAAAGGGGCTATGGGAGGAGGAGGGAGAGAAGCCACCCTAACAGTGGGCCACAGTTCACTGTCCACAGGCCCCAGGCCACCCTCCAGAGCTGACTCCCAGGCTACTGTCCCTCCTGTCCACAGCTCCGCCACGTCAGGACTAGGAGAGGAGTGGGTGCTGCTGACCGGGTACAAAGTGGGCAGCGTGGGGCTGGGTCTCGGGGGCAGGTGGGGTGCTCCGCAGCCCTTGGGTCCCTCATCATTTGAAAACCTCGTTGGTCCTGTCCTGCCATGGAGAGGGCAGCTGGCTCTGGCTGTCCTTGCCAACTGGGAAATCATTTTGGCTCTCAGGGGCGGCAGGCGTCTGCAGGCCATCAGTGGAAACCCTGGGCCAGGGCAGGCTGGGGAGCCCAAGATCTGGGGCCCCTATGGGGGTGTCTTCCTCAGGCAGGAAATTGATCAAAGGGTTCCCAGGGGTCTGCTCTGAGGGTGGGGGTGGGGAGCGGCCGGCCTGGCTAGGCCAAGGGCTCGGGGACCAAGGTCCCGTTGCCCCTTCCTCCTTGGCTGCAGGAGGCTCTGTGGCAGGCACAGGGCTACCCGTGGAGGGCGCAGCAGGACGGCTGTGTGGTGGGGGCGTCCGATCCCCTGTCCCCGCCAGGTCTAGATCAGGCTCCTCAGAAGGCCCGTAAGGACAGATCCTCGTGGAAGCTGATGAAATTGTAGTCGTAGTAGAAGTCGTCCACAAACACGGGCCCCGGCAGGTCCAGCTTTGGAGCCTCCTCCTCAATGGCGTTGCCCATGGTGCCTGGCTTGGGTGATGAGGCGGGTGAAGGGCGTGGGGCCAGGTGGCGCGGGATGAAGTCAGCCTCGTTGAAGAGCTCGTGGCTGGAGGAGCCGCTGCCTGAGCCTTCAGGGCCCAGTGTGTCCAGGGGCCACCAACAGGGTGGCAGAGAGCAGGTGACTTCGCTGGCTGGCTGCTGGGCCTCGTCACAGGGGACACCGGTGTCACTGATGCAGAGGACATTTCGGTGCTGAGTCCCTTCCTCATATGTCACTGAGCACTGCAGGGGAAGCCAGGGTGAGGGGCTTAGCCTGGGAGGCAGGCTGCCAGGGGACGCTGGGGCAAGGCTGGGTAACCTGTCCACTGCCTGATGTCAGAGTGGCAGAGACCCCAGCCAGCCCTCTCTGGCCCTTCCCAGCTCAAGGCCATGACTGTGGCCATGCTTGCCAGGGGCTTCCTGATCCCTGAGGCTTTAGAGTCAGGGGCTGGACCCTGGAATGCCCAGGTTCCCTCCCACCCACAAGGTCTCCAGGAAGGCTGTCTGCCTCCCTGTAGCTGAAGACCAAGGGTGGGGCTGGAGGCGGGCACCTTCCCATCCCACACTCACCTGAGACCAGTTCCCCACAGCCTACGTGGCCGGACAGGGCACATGGTGGTTGCAAGGGGTTTCAGTAGGGGGCCGGGGAAGGTGTTCACAGGCGGGTGGCTTCAGGGCGCTCTGCTCATCCAGCCCCACGCTGCGGATGCAGAGCACAGCCTGGCAGGAGAGGCCCCCAGGCCCGCAGGAGCTGGAGCACAGCTGCCACTCACCTGCCCACCACCTGCTGAGGGCACACAGGTGTCATCAGTATGGCATCAGACAGGTGGCATTGACAGGCTCACCAGCAGGGAGGGCCAGGCTGGGTTTCCAGGCCCTCGGGGTTTGGGCAGTGCCAGAAGCCAGTGGATGATTCTCCAGAGCTCCAAGCTCAGGTAAGTGTCCTGCCCTCAAAGTCTGGTGACAAGGCACAGCCCCTCCACTCCTGCCACCTTCCCCTCAGGGAAACTGAGCATGACCTGAGGCCTATTTCCACATCCAGGGACCCAAAGAGGAGGACCATAGGTGTCCAGGCTGGCCCAGGCTGGGGTGAGAGGTGACCGGGGGTTGGGGCTTCAGCCTTGGGAAGAGAATGAAAGCCCGGCTCCCTCTGCTCCTCCCTGGGGCCTCTGGGGACCCAGATGTAGGGGCCTGTGGCAGACCCAGGATGCCTGGGGGTGGGGAGTTGGTAGGGGATGGGGGCGGGCTCACCTGGCAGGGCAGGGCTGCTGGCTGCACTTCCTCTGGCAGTCATCGGGCCGGCCCAGGGGGTCACAGTGCTCCTCGTCCACGGGCCCTGCCTGCCGCTCCGAGCAGTACACACTCTGCCTCTGCACACCTAGGGGCCATGGCGTTCAGCCTGGGACTGGCACCCAGGTGCCCACCGCCCAAGACCCAAAGACACCCTCTCTGCCAGAACCCTCCCAGAACAGCGCCTTACTGCCCATGTCAGGATGCCTTACTGCCCATGTCAGGATGAAGGCAGACCTCCACCGTCGCCTCCTTGCTGTCCTCCTGGTTCTCACCCACCCCCTCTCCTATGTAGCTTCCCCTCTGACTGCCCCTGGAGGGGTGGCAGAGTGTGGAGGTTTAGTGGGTTGGGTGCCCAGACCCTCTGCATCCTAGCTGAGATGCCTGGGCAGCTCATTTGGCCTCTCTGAACCTCAGCGTCCTCCTCTGTGAAGTGGGAGCAACAATCCTGCCTCCTCCATGTCCTGGAGGGAGGACTGCATGTGTTCTTGCATGTGCAGGCTCAGCCCGTGCCCGGCACATCCTAAGAGCTCGATCCATGCCAGCTGCTGCTAGCATGCAAACCCAGCCGTGGCTCCTGCCACCTTCCCCTCAGGGAAACTGAATGTGACCTGAGGCCTATTTCCACATCCAGGGACCCAAAGAGGAGGACCATAAGTGTCCAGGGTGGCCCAGGCTGGAGTGAGGGGTGACCGGGGTCTGGGGCTTCAGCCTTGGGAAGAGAATGAAAGACCAGCTCCCTCTGCTCCTTCCTGGGATTGGCTTGGGTGATGAGGCGGGTGAAGGGCATGGGGCCAGGTGGCGCAGGATGAAGTCAGCCTCACTGAAGAGCTCATGGCTAGAGGAGCCGCTGCCTGAGCCTTCAGGGCCCAGTGTGTCCAGGGACCACTGACACACGGTCCCACCATCCACACCCTTCCCAATGGATCAGAGAATGTCTGGACAAGAAATGGGGCATCAATGGACAGCCCCTGCTCTCCATCCCCACACCAGCCTTGGCACTGCTCCAGTCCTTTACATTCTCTGCCACTGTCCAACCTGGGGACTTTGCACAGCCACGTTCCTCACCTTGGACACTCACTTCCATACTGCCTGTTGAGGCCCAGCTGCAGGACCCCGTCTGCTGGTGGCTCTGCCTTCTCTGCTCCACCCCCTGCCCCGTGGTCCCGAGAGTAAGTTGTCCCTCCCCTGAGCTGCCAGTCCCACATCCATCCCCCTCTTTCCTCACCAACAGAGTCTGATTTTGTTCAAGGCAGCAGTGGGACCTGCTGAAAACACACCCCACTGCCGCTCCCTTGCAACTAGGGGGGTCTGGGACACAGTCCTGGCTCAGGAGAAAAAGGCACAAGTCCCTCGCTGGGAGTCAGCCCTTTCCTCTCTCCTTCTTGCCTAGAACACTGCAAGAGCCCTGGAAGGGAGGACACCATCTGTGGCAAGCAGGAGTGGAGGGGAGGCTGCTATGGCAAGGATGGTGTGGCTGAGGGCCAGTCAGCTCCAGGTCCCGCCAGCTTGGACTGTGCACCTGGGACTTCCTGCCTGAGACAAAGAACCCCTGTCTCTTCCAGCCACCACAGGGCACTTGCCTCTGCAGACGCTCCTAAGTGGTCCACCTGCGAAGCAGCCAATTTGCTGAAAGGCAATTCCCCAAATGTCTAGTGCTGCAAATGTATTTGTTGGTTTTCACGTTTGTCCAATTAAAGACACCTGTATTAGGCCAGGCACAGTGGCTCACGCCTGTAATCCCAGCACTATGGGAGGCCAAGGCGGGCGAATCACCTGAGGTCAGCAGTTCAAGACCAGCCTGGCCAACATGGTGAAACCCCATCTCTACCACTAATAAAAAATTAGCCAGGCATGGTGGTGCGTGCCTGTAAATCCCAGCTACTCGGGAGGCTGAGGAAGGAGAATTGCTGGAACCTGGGAGGCGGAGGCTGCAGTGAGCCAAGATCGCGCCACTGCACTCCAGCCTGGGCGACAGAGTGAGACTCCATCTCAAATAAAATAAAATAAAACAAAATAAAATAAAATAAAGACAGCTGTATTAGATAAAATGGGTTTCCTAGCTTTGGAAGGTAACTGCCCAGTTCTCCATTTTCACTTTGTCATCATAATAGCATTTGAAGGAATGCTCAAACGTCTGTATATCAGATTCCCGATTCTGAGACCCTGAGGATACTGAGTGTCAACGATGGGAAGACTGAGGGGGAAAGGGGAGGACTAAGAGACAAAGGGGGAGACTGAGGTGTGGGGAGATCGAGGAACAGCAGGGCAGACCGAGCAGGGGGAGGAAGACCAAGGGGCGTCGGGGGGGACTGGGGGGCTGGGGGGAGACCAAGGAATGGCGGGGGAGACCGAGCCGGGGGAGGAAGACTGAGGGGCGTGGCGGGGGTACTGGAGGGCCGGAGGGAAACTGAGGGATATTGGGGGGAGACCGAGGGGTATGGGGGCAGACCGAGGGGTATGGGGGGAGACCGAGGGGTATGGGGGGAGACTGAGAGGCATGGGGGGAGACTGAGGAGTATGGGAGGAGACGGAGGGGCAGAGGGGAGACTGAGGAGCAGTGGGGAGGAGACAAAGAGACAGAGAGGGGAGACTGAGGAGCATGGGGGGAGACTGAGGGAAATATGGGGAGGAAGAGTCGGAGTTAATGAAATTGCCCTACTTTTCATAAATAGTTCAGGGAAATAAGTCAGTGTGGTGAGGGGCCTGGGCTGGTCTCCGGGACGCAGCAGAAATGCAGGCACAAAACCTGCCGGAGCTGAGCAAGGACAAAATCAAGGGGGAGCTGTGTCCACTGGAGGGAGAACGCCAAGAGCTGCAGCACACTGAGCACACGCCGCGAGCCAGCACCCACCTGCCTCATCCATTTACCCTCCCAGTGGGCCTGGGACATGGGGCGGTTGCTAGCCTCATCTCACAGATGGGGAACTGAGGCTCAGAGAAGCAAACTTCTAAACCCATGGTGGCCCAGCAGTGAGCTGGGAGCTGAAGCCGGTGTCCCTGTCCAGAGATGAAGCCCCTGCTGGCGGGGCTGTGCCTGCCCCACTTCTCACCTCTGCCACAGGTGACTGTACACTTGGTCCAGGGCCCACAGTGCCAGGAGAACTCGGGCGGCGGGACCTCGCCGTGGCCACCTGCCTCCCTGTGGATGGTGTACTCGTAGTGCACCCCAGGGTTGCTCTCCTGGAACAGCAGCTGGGTGGGCAGGCGGGGGCCCGTGAGCACGAGGTGTCTTCTCCATCCACCCAGTCTTAAAGGAGCTGACCCCAGCCACCTCTGTGAACTGCAGCTACACAGTTGGGCCATCTTAAAGATGGGGAAACCGAGGTAGAGGCCTCAGCAGGAGGGTCTGGCTCAGAGCCAGGCTCTGTGACTAACCCAGGGCTCACTCCTCCAGGACGAGACCTACCATGGGAGGTGCTGGGCCTGGGGACTCCGCCTCTGCTCCCCACGCCTGGGCCTCGGGAGGCAGGCACCTGGATCCAGACAGGCTCCTTGGTGGGACCCGGGGACGTGAGGTTCTCCCAGTTGCCCCTGCGTGCGTATGTGACGGTGGTCCCTGCCACCTGGTAGTCCCCGTTCTACTGGATGGTCCAGCCACCATTGAGGAAGTACTTCTCCGGGTCCTCGCTCTGCAGTGCCAGGAAGTTGGCAGCCTCAGCCACCTCCTGGATGCGGACCTCACGTGTGCTGGCTGGGATCAGCCCCACGTCCACATACCCTGTCAGGCAAGGGTTGTGCCTGGGGTGAGAAGCTTGCTTATCCCCACCTGCTCCCCTCACATCTCTCCCCACTTGCCTCCGCCTGCTGATGCCAAAGATTTCGCCATTAGCTTTAAAGTCTGAGCTCCCCAAATTGCTCGGATCTGTCATGGGTCACCAAAACCTTGCGGAGGTGCCACAAATCCTGACCCCGTGGCCATGCCCCGTCACTCCTCTCTTGGGGACCTAAACTGGTCTCATCATAAGGCTGGATCCATCCCCTACTCTAAGGGCCGGCTGGCATTCTCTTTCTAAAAAAAACCAAAGTGCCCAGGCCTTTCTCCTGGGACACCCTCCTCATCCCCACGCAGCCTGCTTTTATTCATTCACTTCCATCACACCCATCACGTGCCGGGCACTACTCTCAGCACTTCACATGTGTAAGCTCATGGGTAATGGCCCTATAGCATGGTACTATTGTTAACCCCATTTTACAGATGAGCAAAGTGAGGCAGACAGGGAGAGTAACGTGCATGAGCGTCCTGCTGCAATATAAGCAGCCTCCAGGGCCAGTGCTTTATCCACCACACTGCACTGCATCTCTGGGATGAAATCTAAGCTTCTCAGCCTGGCACTCAAGGCCCCATAGCTGGCCCTGCCTTCCCTTCTTGCCTCCAGGGCTCTGGCGCAAGCTCTTTCCTCCATTTGGAATGCCCATTCCATCTCTTCTGAGTTTTATGATTCAGCTCAACTTCCGCCTCCTGCAGGAAACCTTCCCTGACTTCCCCAGGCCAGGACCTTCTTCTTCAGTGCTCCCACAGCCCTCTGGGCCTCCCTCCACTGCACTGATCACACCAGAAGGTTCTGTCCCCCTTCAGGACTGAGCGCTTCACCTGCATGTCCTCATCACCTAGCACACAGTCAGTACTTCAGCAACATGTGCAAAACAGACCAGAGGTGAGGGCATGGAGCTGGGGGTCTCAGAAGATTCAGGAGGAGACGACCATTCTTTGAAAGGCCCAGGGGCCACACACAAGTCGGGGTGGCCCTGCCTGGGGTCTCTGGGACAGGAAGACTCCCCATGGGGACAGGTCTCTGCGTGTGGGCCAGGGGTCCCCTGACTCCTGCAAGAATCCACCCCAGCAAGCCCTCCCTGCTTAGCCATCTCTAGGCTGGGTGGGGGCCACGAGGCCAAGGACAGGGGCCCGGGGGAGATGGGGAAGGGGCCACCAGGTGAAGAGCACACCCCTCCCCACAGTGGTCCCACCCCATACCCAGGCCCTCGGCCTCCTCGAAGGTCCCACTCACGGTGTGGCAGGTGGAGCCGTTGCCGTGGCACACGCCACAGCGGTCCTCCATAGTGCCAGAGTCAATCTCAAAGTCACAGCCCCACGTTCTGCAACACACGAGGAGGGGAGGCCCCTGGTGCTGGCGGCCAGCCCTCTGTGGCCCCAGCCCCGGGGGCCAGCCAGGGTCAGGAGAAGAAAGCTGGGAGTGGGGGTCGGGAGGCCTCTCTCTGGCCCTGCCCCACCCCAGCTGTGCCTCTGACCCAGGTGAACTTCTCTACCTCCCTGAGCCTCAGTTTCCTCAGATGTGAGACAGGGAGACCCACCCCTCCCTTAAAGGCATGTCATGAGCATCACAAGAGACAAGAGAAGGGAAGAGTTCTGCAAAGCCTGCGGGCAGGCAGGGGATCTGACACGCCACGGGCTCCTGAGCAGCGCGTGCAGGGAATTTCAACGTCAAAGGCACTGGGGGTTGGCACCTCCCTCCTGGTCCTCCTCGGAGCCCAGGCCTTGATACCCCAGTGGTTTAGAGGGCAAGAAGCAAGGACAAGTAGGTGGCTGGAGACATGGGTAAAGAGGAGAGGCCATCGTTGTTATTAAAAATAAGAATATAAATTGTTACCAAACACTGAGGCCTACTCTTCGGGGCTCAGAGCCCTTCATGTCACCTGTGCCACCTCATTTAACCCCTCTATCAGGGAGCAAACCACTGCCTGGGGTCAGCCAGCCAGCAAGAGGTCAAGCCACTGCCTGGGGTCAGCCAGCCAGCAAGAGGTCAAGCCACTGCCTGGGCTCCGGTTTCCTGGCTGGGGCGGTGCTGGTGCAGGCATCCAAGGAGACGCAGTGGGGCGAGGCCTGACTGGGGGGGGTCCCCAGTGCCAGGAGGCGTGGTAGGGGCTTTGCCTTAGAGGTCATAGAGGGTAGGGGCTGGGAAGCCCAATGGTAGAGCATGGGGAGGGTGGCCCGAGGAGGACCAGGAGAGAACCTGGGGCCCGCCAGTGGGGCTGGGGGCAGGCAGTGCTGGGAGAGCCTCTTCCTAACCAGGCACACCTTACAGATGCCATTGATGCAGAGGTCCCGGCTGGCTCGGACCTGGTAGCAGGGGGTGCCATCAACCACGGCGTCCCGCAGCTTCTTGGCAAAGTACTCATTCGCGGGCCGGCAGTGCAGCTCACAGGGGTTCACTGGGGGCCCAAGTAGAAGAGTCATCAGCAACAGCTGGAGCGGGAGTATGGAGGCCACCAGGAAGACCCCTCCGTGACACACATCCATGGCAGGCTGGAGGCTCCCAAGCAGCACAAACATGCTGGAGGCTCCGGCTGGGCTGGTAGCTATCTGCAAGGCTGCAGATTGGGGAGCTAGGGGCGAGCAGCAGCCCCAGGGGACAGTGGGAGTGGCCCAGGCTTGGGGTGGAGACTGGGTCTCCTGCTTGCATCACAGGGTAACCTTGGACCCACACCCCGCTCGCCGCCCTCTGAGTCTCAATGTTTCCATGGGAGGCAGCACTCACCGTCATTGACCATGGGCACCCATGTGTGCAGCTGGCCCTCGTAGAGCATAGCGTCAAAGTGGCTGCACTGGACGTGGCGGAAGGAGGGGCGGCCAGCGGGGCAGGCCTGCAGGTTGCAGAGGCGGAAGCGCTTCCGCTTACCCACACAGTATCTGCCTTTGTATCTGGGCCTGTGGGGAGAACCGGGGTGGACCCCAGTGAGGGCCCAGTGAGTGCTACTGCATGGCCACAGCCCAGAGCAAGCAGCTTCCTCCTGCACCCACACCCCAAGATCCCTGCTGCCCAGCTTTGTGCACGCTGCTTCCCTCCCTTGGGTTGCCCACCCTGTGGCCCAGACACACCCTCCCTGTCTGTAGGGACCTGTGGGGAGGTGGCAGCAGGAAGCCTGAGCTCTGCCCCCAACCTGCTGTGTGATCGTGGACAAGTCTTCGGCCACCCTCTGGGCCTCAGTTTCCTCATGTATAAAGTGGGGTTGGGGCTGCCCCTGCAGAGGGCTGTTGAGAAGCTGGGACAAGCTGCAGGCATGACTGGCACTGGCTGGAGGGACTAATCCGAGTCTCCAGCCCATGACACCAGCATCCTAACGAGCCCTTGAGTCCTCAGCCTTCCTCCTGGTGGCAGTACCCCCAGCCTGGGTCTAAAGGAAGCGCCCAGGGCCCCAGCCAGCTGAAAGGTATGATGGAGCACAGCTCCTGAAATCCTCCACATTTAGGCCAGGGTCGCTGGCCTCCACTCAGCTCAGACCTGGAGGCCAGGAGGCAGGGAGGGGCACAGGCCAGTCTTGGGTAAGCGCAGGGCCCTGGGTGGGGCCGACTGTGAACCCCATGCCTGCCCCGGGTGGCCTCCTGAAGTGAAGATCAGCCGGGTAGTGCCTCGGTCTACAGTACCACTGGCCTCTGCTTCTCACCAGATCTTCACACCCCCTGCGCCCCCCCATTTAGATGGGGAAACAGAGATCCAGAGAGGTGAAGTCACTCACCTCAGGCCACCCCTTCAGTGCTGTCCCATCCTCCCAGCTGCTCCATCTCATCTCAGGCCCTTGTTGTGCCTCTGAGGCCACCAAGCCCCTCCTGCTGAGTGCCCACTACAGATGAGCTGCAGGGCTGAGGGGCTGGCCTGCATAAACTGCATTTGCCCCTGACTACAACTTTACTGGATGGGCACTGCTATTATACAGGTGGGGAAACGGAGGCCCAGAGAAGGGGTGAAGAGGGGATTCGAACCCTGAGCCATCTAAGGTCCAGGGCCCATGCTCTTCCCCACTGCCCTCTCCTGCCTCCTTCCAGCCAGCAGCTGCTTTGCCACGTGGCCTCTGCTGAGTCTCTCCAGTCTCTGGGCCTCAGTGTCCCCCTTTCTGCAAAGGGGTCAGCAGTGGGGACCCTGTCAGCCCTCAGAACACTCCTTGAAAGTGACTCAAGGTGGCCTGGACACTCAGACTGACCATTATGAGGACACTTCTAAGAGCCAGGGGCTGGCACAGAGCCAAGCTCCTGCAATCGGCTGACTGCCTGGGTCCCTCTGTCCCATTGCCCAGGGCACCCTGGGCCCCACACTCACATAGGCTGCATGCACTGCTGCTTGGCTCTCTGTATGCCCACGCCACAGCTCCGTGAGCAGATGGACCAGGCGCTCCAGCCAGACCAGCCACCATCCATGGCCTCGGGCTGGAAGCCCACAGGTATGCACTCCCCATTGAGACACCACTACCGAGACAGACGGAGGTAGAGCCACCCCACCCCCAAGCCTATCAGTCATCCTCACCCTAGTGAGAACAAGGTGTGTGAGAATGCTGCAAAAGGCACAGAGGGGAAGGATGGAAGGTGAGAGAGGCCCCCTCGCAATCATCACAATCATCTGTGACCCAGGCCACATGGAGGCGCTGAGCAGGGAGTAAAACAGCCCACGTGCTGACTCAGCTGAAGACACCCTGGAGAATCATGGAATCAAGCCCTGGCCCCAATGCCTCCACTTTGCAGACGGGGGCTTGGGCTGCAGAGGGCATGGGGCTCTCTGTGAGCCGGGGCTGACTCCAGGGCCCGGTCACAGCAGGAGGTCTGGCCTCTCACACATCCACTGCCGGGACTGGGAACATCGCCTACCTTATTCTCCCCACACCGGATGCCGTCCACGGCTGCATCCAGCTTGGAGTGACAGGTGGTCCCCACAGAGCACCAGAGTGTGTGGCAGACATTCTGCGAGGAGGAGGGCATGGGCCATAGCCTCACCCCCTCCCCAGTGCCGCCACCCACCCTGCCCCCCTCCCTGTCCCCAAGGGTCCCTGGGCACCCCTCCACATGGCAGGGGCCCACAGACCCCCAGAGGTCCCTTCTTGTGTGTCTGCTCCCACCTTCCTCCCCAGACCACGTGGTGGTGTGGGGCGCCCGGGGCTGCACTGCTCAGAGTGGTCCTCAGCTGTCCACACCTCTCCCGGCCCAGCGCCTCCTCTGGAAACACTCCTGTTAGAAGATCACTTCAGGCGATCTTCGCCAGGATAAATAGACCCTCCCCACAGGGGTTCCTTTTCCCTCTTATGAGCCAGCTCCAGAGAGGCGAAGGGACTTGCCCGAGGGGTCACAGTCGGTCCATGGTTGACCCAGAATTCAGAGCTGGGTCTGTGGCCGCCCATCCCTGGCCTCTCCCACAGGCCACTTGACGTCTCACAGTGTCACTCAGGGGCGTAGCCCAGCCCAGGCGAGGTTGCTCCCAAGCTGGCATCCACAGGCTGGTGAAAGCTGTCCCCTAAGCCCTCCTGTCGGGTCCCCACACCCCCACACCCACACCGGCCCCACTCACATCCATGTCCTCGCAGAAGGCAGAGTAGGCCCCATACTGGAGGTGGCACTGGTGGCTCACATCATAGAGGACCCCAGGCAGCACTGATGGGAAGTCAATGATGTCCTTGGCAGGCGGGTCATCCAGGCACAGGCTCCACCCATGGCTAGAGATGGGACGGGAGGATGGAGGGGGGCGCAGCCTGTGAGACCCATCGGAGAAGCCTCGGTGGGGCCAGGAGAGGAGGAGAGGTGGGAGGGGGCACAGAGCCCTACAACTGTAGGAAACTCCAGCCTCCCCGCTCGGCTCAGCCGATCCTCCACCTGCAGCCAGTAGCACAGGCCCTCCCAGCCAATCTCATCTCACCTCCTGGGCACTCCAGCTGGCTAAACAACCCCAACCCCAATCCCAGGCCTCTGCACACGCTGCCAGGGCCCTTCCCTCAGAAGGCCTCCTGGACCGCCAAACCCTCATGTGGCCCTGCTCTCCGACCCTGCAGCCTCCGTGTCTGAGCCCAGACCCTGGAGCCAGGCCCGACAAGGATCCGGAGAATATCACATCACAGTTGACACAACAGAGCCTCCGACGGCCCCACCCAGGCAGAGACCTCGGGTCATCTGTGGAAGGGCAAGGTCTGGAAAGCAGCCCCTCCCCTGGGAGAGAGCCTAGGGCATCCGTGCCTGTCCCCTGTTTCCCCCACTCCCCAACAGGGCTGGCCTCCAGCCTCTGTCATACCCTATCTACTCCTGCCTTCCTCCAGCTGGCATTCCCTGGCAGCGGTGGCGGGGAAACTGGCAGACACGAGCAGGTGCCATCTGTGTCCACCACACGCTCCTGCTGCTGCGGTGTGGCGAAGACAAGGCTGCCCAGACCACCACGAGGCAGCGAGCGTGGAGTCCGGGGCCCTGGGGAGGGCGGCCCAGGCCCAGCTGGCACCTGCTTCTGCCCCTGCCTCACTCTGTACAGCCCTCAGGCATGCTACTGCTTCTGGGACCAGTGACCAGCCTGCTGTACCTGCTGGACCTTAGGCGGCCACTACAACGGCTTAGCAGCAGGAGTGCCCTGGCATGCTGACCAGCCCACCCACAGCTCATTGCTGTCCTGGAGGAAGGTTTGGGGCCCTCTGTGGGGCAGCAGTGGCTGGGGAGAATTGAGCCATGCAGACATGCGGGGCTGGGGATGACCCAGGCAGCCACGACTTGGGCAGAAGCATGGAAGGAGGCAGGACCCATGGGACCTGGGGCCTCTAGCCAGGCAGGGGAGATGGGGAGGCAAAATCCCTCCAGTTCTCCAGTCTGGGTGGACTCAGGGTAGGTGGTGCCAGGCCAGATGGCTGGGATGAGCATACAGTCCTGATTGGGACAGGCAGGGGGTCGCACAGGGAAGAAGGGCAAAGGTGATGGATCCTGGAGTCCAGCAGGGAGAGAAAGAGACACTCCGAGATGTGGAGAGGCTGGGAGAACACGAAAGGGTCAGGAAACAGGGCCAAGAGTGCTGAAGACAGGTGTGGAGAGAGGCTAGGAGGGTGGATCAGACCATGGAATCCCGAAGCCCAGATTTCAGAGGAGGGGGCCTGGCAGCTGGGAGACCCAGGGTGGGGTGGGTGGTCTGTGTGGTCTCCTAAGTCCCCTGGCCAGTGACAGGCCCCTGACTCTGCCCAGAGCTGCGGAGAAGAAAGCCAAGGTGACCAGACTTCTACTGAGAACCCTGGAATCCTCCTGGAATCACTCAGACTGCCCATCATGGCTGGAAACAGATCCTCTAACATGGGCGTTGGCAGATGAGCAGCTGCTGGATGCAGTCCTAGTGCCCAAGATGACCACGTGCCAGACTGGTCCAGGGTGCTGGGGGCATACCCTCTCATTTGCTCCTCACAACATCCTGGGCAGACTCTACCATCATCTTCCCTCATGCACTCAGGGCCCATACGTCACTTGTCCCGGGTCGCGCAAGAGGGACGTGATGGCCAGGACCTGGAGCCAGGCCCAGGCTGCCTGCACCAGGCTGTGTCTACTCACTGGGCTACCCCCAGTGCAGGGCTCCTCCCATTCAACTGCGAGCCTGGCCTCAAATACTTCACCCCACATACAAGTTCAAAACCATGGCAGCGAGGCCTGGCAGGGAGAAAGGAGTGTCCCAAGTTCTCCTGCGGCTTGGGGCTCCCTGAGCCTCCCTGGGCCTGCACCCGGGGCAGAGTGTCAGCCGGGGGTGGTGGGGTCAGCTGGCCCTGGGCTCCCTCCTTCCCGCCATCATTCCGTGGCTCGAGGAGGTAGACTGGGGGCTCACCCATCCCAGCCAGGGGGTCCTCTGACCCAGGGGCTGAGGGGTCCAATGCGCCTCATCCCGGCACCAACAGTCCCTGGGCTGCAGCCGAGCCCTTTTGTTTCCTGGCTGCCCCAGTGCTGACTCGCTGCACATGTGGCTCCTGCAGGCCTGCTGCTGGGCAGCTGAAGCCGCAACAACCTCTCAGCCCACCCTGGATGTTGGGAGAAGTTGGGAGCATAAGGTGACCCTCACAGAATCCACTGCCAGAATCAGGCCCAGGTGCTGTCTTGGGAGTCAGAAACTCAAGGTGGCCGTCAGCCAGCCCTTCCTTCCTCTGGCAGGCTGACTGCCAGGTTCTCTGCACTGCCGACACACCCGGATCCCCCAAACCATCAGCCCTTCCCCTCCACGCCCCTCCTGAAGCTAACTATAGCAGGGCTGGGCAGTCCCACAAGAGGTCAAAGCAGACAGTAGGTGACTCCAGTCAGAAGCTTCACTCTCACCTCAAGACTGCAAAGAGCTGCCCACCACTGACAGGAGAGACATGTGGGCCCGCTCCCCTGGCCACCCCTGGGATCTGGTCATGGAGTCACTGCATGGGGTGTCCATGGGGTGAAGTGAAGGACCCCACATGTTACCTAGCCTGCCTCTCTCCCTGTAGAAATGCTGGCTTTGAGGAAACCAGGGACCAGGGCCTCCCCTCCTCCCCACCCAGGTCCAAGTTGACACTGGCGAAATGCTGTGACCTCTCCCCAAGGTCCCATAAAGCACCTGTCAGCCCAGAAAGGTTCTTAGAGTTCTTCAGGTCAACCCTCTTGGACAGGCCAGTCTAGGTTCTTAACCACCAAACAAAACTCTTCTCTGCTTCCAATCCCACCCCCCACCCCAGTAATCCCTCTTCCACTGGAGGCCAGTATCCTTGCTCTTACATCCCTAATGGACCTGGTCACATCCCTGCTTAAGCCCCACAGTGAGTGGACTTCTAGAAAAACATGGCACATTGAGCAGACAGATTTATCGCTGCTTCCTTCCAAGACTCCACTATAATGACAGTAGAGGAAATAAACAAGGCATAAATCCATAAGGGGTGATGATGAGTAATGAAGGATGTCAACAAGATTCTGGAAGCTGGGAAGCAGATGGCCAGGCAGTAGCTGACTTGCTAGAGTGATGAAAGCTGAGAGTCAGATTCCTGCAGGGGGGAACCACCCAGAAGCAGAAGCCCGAAAAGGCTCAGGAACTGAGTTTGCAGGGACTCCTCAGGGCCTTACGGCCAGGAGGGCTGAAGACAGTAGGGCTGAAAGTCTGTAAGAACCGATCAGACCCTAGAGCCCCTCCCCAACCCTGAGTAGCCAAGTGACGGCCACCTGCCACCCAGCAGAGGGCCAGGGATCACTTCCTGGAGAGGGTGAACCAGGAGGCTCTGGCCCAGGAACGGTGGACACACATGAAGGCCCAAGGCAGAAGGACCTACAGAGAAAAGGGGACAAGCAAAAGTCTACACATTGAAGGGTAAGAAACACGCCAAGCCCCTTTCCCACTTGGATGCTGGAATGCTGCAGCCAGACATACACTCTCCCAGGAAAAGTCGAGAGGATTCCTCTCAGGAAACTGAATCACTCAGAAAAATGACCTCAGATAGTGACATTAGAGGATCTCCCCAAAATAGCCCCATCTGAACCAGTCCTTCAGCAGTGACTTGGAAAAGTCCTGCCCAAGTCCACAAACTGCCCAATTAGTGTCTCTGCATCTCCTTGCTATATATGAAATACAGCCAATGCATTTTAAGAAAACTTTTCTTTGAGACAGAGTCTCTCTCTTTTGCCCAGGCTGGAGTACAGTGGCAGAATCTTGGTTCACTGCAGCCTTTCCCTCCCGGGTTCAAGCGATTCTCCTGCCTCAGCCTCCTGAGTAGCTGCAATTACAGGCATGAGCCACCATGCCCAGCTAATTTTTTGTATTTTTTTTAGTAGAGACAGGATTTCACCATGTTGGTCAGGCTGGTCTCGAACTCCTGACCTCAAGAGATCTGCCTGCCTCGGCCTCCCAAAGTGCTGGGATTACAGGCGTGAGCCACCATGCCTGGCCAAGAAAACTGTTAACATGAAACAAATATATTTTTTTAAATAACCCAAAGGAAATAAAAACATTTCAGGGAACAGAAGAAAAAAGTCAAATCCGTGTAAGTAATAACCTCACAGAGATAAGAGAACACACTGTACCCACAAAACAGGAATAGGATCAAAAGGTGCACAGGTTGAGTATCTCCAATCCCAAAATCCAAATGCTCCAAAATCCAAAACTTTTGGGCACTAACATGATGCTCAGAGGAAATTCTCTTTGGAGCACTTCAGATTTTGGACTTTCAGACTGGGGATTCTGAACTGGTAAGTATAATGGAAATACTCCAAAATAATAAAAAAAAAAAATCCAAAATCTAAAACACTTCTGGTCCCAAGTATTTCAGATATGAGACACGCAATGTGTATTTAGTGAGTGAGAAAGTTCAAGAAATTAAAAGTACAATGAAAAAAATCAAAAATTTAATAGAGGGATTGTAAAGTAGAGTCAGATACCTCCTAGAAAATAGAGATGGCTAGGCACGGTGGCTAACGCTTGTAATCCCAGAACTATGGGAGACTGAGAGAGGATTCCAGGAGTTCAAGTCCAGCCTAAGCAGCATGGCAAAACCCCATCTCTACAGAAAAATTAAAAAATTAGCTGAGTGTGGTGGCATACACCTGTAGTCCCAGCTACTTGGGATGCTGAGGCAGGAGGATCATTTGTGCCTGGGAGCTCGAGGCTGCAGTGAGCCATGATTGTGGCACTGCACTCCAGCCTGGGCAACAAAGCGAGACTCAAAAGGAAGGAAGGAAGGAAGGAAGGAGGGAAGGAAGGACGGAAGGAAGGAAGGAAGGGAGGGAGGGAGGGAGGGAGGGAGGAGGGAAGGAGGGAGGGAGGGAGGGAGAGAGGAAGGGAGTGAAAGAGAGAGAAGGGAGAGAGGGAGGATAGAAAAGAAAAGAGAAAGAGATGAAGAAGTGTAAAATGTTTAAAAATAAGAAAGTGAGAGAATAGCTGAATATTAAGGGTTCCAGAAAGAGAAAATGTAAGAAAGTTATCAAATCAATAATACACCAACAGTTCAATCACTGAAGGGCACAAGTTTCTAGATTAAAACAGTCCAATGAGTGCTCCCTCAAATTAAAATAGACCAAGGCATATATTTAAAATTTAAAATCACCAAAAAGAGAGAGAGAAAGAGAAAGAGTCCTAAAAGCTTCCAGATTTTTTAAAAGGTCACATTCAAATCCAAATGGTATGGGACCTCTTCAGAGCAATGTTGGAAACTAGAAGACAACAGAAAAATGCCTTCAACATTCTGAGGAAGAGTCACTTCCAACCCAGAAGTTGATATCAAATCAAAATATCAATCAGATGTGAGGGAAGAATAAAGACACTTTGAGACAGGCAAACCATTTACCTCCATGCGCTCTTTCTCAGAAAGCTACTTGAGGATGTGCTCCACCAAAACAAATTAAAAAAAAAAAAGGTACCTGCCCATAAAAAAAAGTAGCATGGGATCCGAGAAACAGGACCCTCCATGAATATTTTGGGGCAGGCATAGAAAGCATCCAGTCTAAACTGGAGGACAGAGGGAAGTTGGGAGGAGGGTCCAGGAAAGAAGGGAACGGCTGGATTATCTGGTAGAGATTACCTTTGGGAAAACTGGATTAAGAGACATCTTATAAAACTGTTAAAGGATCTGGAAGGCCTGGAGAAGCAATGAAAACCAAGCAAATAAAAGCTTGTTCTTACAAAGAAATGCCGTCTAGATGGGGCACAGTGGCTCACGCCTGTAATCCTAGCACTTTGGGAGGCTAAGGTGGCGAATCACTTGAGGTCAGGAGTTTGAGACCAACCTGGCCAACACAGAAATCCCGCCTCTACTAAAAATACAAACATATGCTGGGCGTGGTGGCAGGTGCCTGTAATCCCAGCTACTTGGGAGGCTGAGGCATGAGAATAGCTTGAACCTGGGAGGTGGAGGCTGCAGTATGAGCCGAGATTGCACCACTGTACTCCAGCCAGGGCAACAGAATGAGACACTCTCAAAATAAAAAATAAATTAAAAAAAAGAAATGCCATCTTATTACAACACTTAGTTCAGCCATCAAGATTTACAGCCATAATAATGAAAATGCAGAATATGGACTTAATCCAAGTATGTTAACACTAAATTGGGATGAAAGGTGAGGGGACAAATGTACGTATAGGAAGTGATGCAAGGGTGCTAAATCCCAACCTTCTAGATAATATCTAAACTGGAAAATCAATAAATGAGAGTCTAGCAGTGCTTTTCGGAAATAGGAAAGTAAACACAAGAAAGAGCTAAAAGTGTTAAGTTTGAAGGTGTTTGCCTAGCAAAAAGCAATGGAGGGTGGGGAGAAGTGGGGCAGGTATGCAATGCTCTGCTGTTGCCATCTTCTATTCTTTTTTTTTTTTTTTGAGACAGAGTTTTTTTGCTCTTGTTGCCCAGGCTGGAGTGCAGCAGCTCAATCTTGGCTCACTGCAGCCTCCACCTCCCGGGTTCAAGCAATTCTCCTGCCTCAGGCTCCTGAGTAGCTGGGATTACAGGCATCCGCCACCACACCCAGCTAATTTTTTATATTTTTAGTAGAGAGGGGGTTTCACCATGTTGGCCAGGCTGGTCTAAAACTCCTGACCTCAGGTGATCCACCCACCTCGGCCTCACAAAGTGCTGGGATTACAGGCGTGAGCCACTGCGCCTGGCCAGTAAGCAAGGTCTGATGGGACAAAGAAGCCTGTGTTTGAACAGAGGAGACACAGGCAGTGTCTGTGTCCACCATTCCTTGCTGCCCCACTTGCATCTAACATTTACTTTGGTCCATGTCAGAATCTATAATGTGTAGGAGTTCGGTGAGACTCAAAGCAATTAGAAGATAAACATGTTATGTCAACAACTGAGTAAGGGACAGGGGGCACTGACAGGCCCAGAGGCTGCATTTTCCATTTGAACCATTACTTCAAATGCAGAAAGAAGACAATGACCAAGAAGCCCCATCATCCTTTCTCTCCCATGTTAACACCCCTGTATTAGCCAACTGCTATGCAGAAAATGAAGACATGGGAGGAAAGAGAACCCCATAGTTCCTTCTCCTTTCAGTCTTTCCATCTTCATCGGTAAGAAAAGGTAGAGAGCCTGGGTAGAATGTGCACATATCAAGGAGTGAGATCAAACCAATTGAGATAGTTTTATTCTATCTCATCATCTAGTAAATATCAGCTACAAAAGACGAATTGTGTAATTTTGGTTACCCTGCATACAAGTTAATACAGCTGACTTTTGAACAACGGGGTCCACTTATGTGTGGATTTTTTTCCACCTCTGCCACCCCAAGACAAGAAGATCACCCCCTGCCTTTCTCCTCCCTCCTCAGCGTACTCAACATGAAGAGGATGAGGATGGAGATCTTTATGATGATCCACTTCCACTTAATTAACAGTGAACGTATTTCCTCTTCCTTATGATTTCAATAACATTTGCTTTTCTCTAGCTTACTTTATTGTAAGAATATAGTATATATTATATATAACATACAAAATATGTATTAACTGTTTATGTTATCAGTAAGGCTTCCAGTCAACAGTAGGCTATTAGTAGTTTTGGGCGAGTCAAAGTTATACATGGATTTTCAGTTGCACAGAGGTCAGCACCCCTGACCCCCAAGTTGTTCTGGGTCAACTGTACTCTTACATTTGCATTTAAAACTGGCACTGCACAAAATAAAGATGAATGGTAAAATTTATGCTAATAATTTAAATGTAAAACTTTTTCTTACTTAGAACAACATTAAATAGCAAATTAAAAAGCAAAACAAAGCAAAACAAAACCAGCAGAACAGGCTGGGCATGGTGGCTCACGCCTGTAATTCCAGCACTCTGGGAGGCCGAGGTGGGCAGATCACCTGAGGTCAGGAGTTCAAGACCAGTCTGGCCAACATGACAAAACCCCGTCTCTACTAAAAATATAAAAATTAACCAGGCATTGTGGCACATGCCTGTAGTTCCAGCTACTCAGGAGTCTGAGGCAGGAGAATCGCTTGAACCTGGGAGGCAGAGGTTGCAGTGAGCCGAGATTGCACCATGGCACTCCAGCCTGGGCAATAGAGTGAGACTCTGTCTCAAAAAACAAACAAACAACAACAACAAGAACATCAGAACAAGTGAAGAGAACATGAAAAAAAGGAGAAAGCTTTGTATTTCAGTTCCCTTAGTGGCCCCTTCTTCCTGCCTCTCACTGGACACTGTGGCTGGCCCTCGCCTCCTCCAGCCTTATTTCCTACGCAGCCTTGGCTCCCATAGCCTCGCTCAGGGTTCTGCCGTTCCCTGAAAGCTCTCCCACTCCTTTACGGTTCTGCCGTTCCCTGAAAGCTCTCCCACTCCTTTACCGCTGCAGGCCTTTCTCAGGCTTCCTCTACCAGGAACGCCATTCTTCTCCCTTCTGCACATGTGTGAATTCTCACTCCTTCTCCAAGTTCAAGCTCAAGTGTCCCTTCCAGGAGGACATTTGGGATGCCAGCACATTTTTGCCAGATGCCCCTCTGCTTCCTTCTACCCTGGCCCTGCAGTATGACTGTCTGCATCTCCCCCATTAGACCTTGACCTCACAGATCAAGACCTTGCCCTTCTGCTTCCCTCTACCACGGCCCTGCAGTATGACTGTCTGCATCTTTCCTAGTAGACCTTGACCTCATGGATCGAGACCTTGCCCCTCTGCTTCCCTCTACCCCGACCCTGCAGTGTGACTGTCTGCATCTCCCCCATTAGACCTTGATCTCATGGATCAAGGCGTAGGGGCTCAGGGCTGGGGGAGGGACTTACTCAAGGAACCTGGTGATGTACTGGCAGCTGCAGCAGGACCAGGTGAGGGGAGCGGCGTCGTACGGGAGCTGTGGAAACATGATGAAAGGCTGTTTCCAATGGGTTCACAGTCATTGCTGCTTCCATCATGCTGAATGCCAAAACTGTGTGAGAGCACAGGCCCCAAGGGCGGGTAAGCCGGCGGGAGGCTTCTAGCCTGCCCTACCCTGGAGAACCACAAGGTGCATAGTCCTAGTTCCCAGGGCTGGTTGTGCCACTCAATGGCCACAGCCTTGAGAAAGTCACATTCTCTCGCTGAGCCTCAGTTTCTTTAATGTAAAATGAGGGTATGACAGCTAGTATCCCAAGGGCTCCTACTCCGGCCTGAGCCTGAAATGAGGGCCAGGGACCCAGAGCAGCCCTGCTCCAGCCCGGGGACTGGCCAGCAATGGCAAATCAGGTGGCACAGATGTGGGCCCGTGATGGCCCCTGCAAGCTCACTGGCCTCAAGAACAGTCTGACAGCGGTTCCCACTCACAGGTCCTTGTCCCAAGGCTGTGCACTTGAGTTAAGGCATCTGAGCTGCTGTATCACAGAAAGGTCTCCAGAGACCATCCTTGGGAAGGACATGAGAAAAATTATTTCCTGAGCATCTACTATGTGCCGGGGCCATGCTAAGCACTTTCAGAAACACAGTCTCACTCAGTTCTCATTATTACCCTCAGGAAGGCTCAGAGAGTCTAAGGAACTAGCCAGGGTAACACAGCCAGGAAATTGTAGTACTGCGGCAGGCTGTTCTTTCTGCAGCCATAAGCAGCTTCAAGGTCCTGCAGGCACGGCCATCACCCACAAAACCCGGACATCTGAATGGATGACCCCAACAGCTTTGACCCACAGAACCCTCTGGGAGCCTGCCTTTGATGGCTTTCTAGACAATCTAAGATGCTGCCATATTCGCCAGCTCAACAGCCAGGGCACAGGTGGCTGGAGGCCTGTGAAGACAGGAGCCTTAGGCAGCGGTGTCAGATAGAGGGAGCCTTGGACATCACTGAATCCAAACCCCTCAATCTATGGGAAGCACACAGAGGCCCAGAGAGGGCAGGCACTGGCCCAGGCCACAGAGCAAACAGGAACAGGGACAGGGATCGAGAGTAAAAAATACAGCACTGAGGGCAATGGGGAGGGACAGCCAAAGACCTACAATGACTTTCCAGCCCATCACAACTCCCCTTTAAATAAGACTCCCTCCAGGCCAGTCCCAGAGATGCCCAGGCAGGACTCTCTCCTGTTTAACAGGGAAGCCTGGTTGTGGGGAGGGCACAGTGCAGGGGCAGCACATGGCCAGACAGTCGGGGCTTCTTCTCCAGAGAGCTTCCTTTCCCCTGGACTTTGTGACCCACAGGCTGGATACCCAGTGCTCTCAGGCTGGGAGGGTGAATCTCGACTCTCAGTGTAGCAATAGGGGCAGGCACGGTACCTGTGCTCAAGACTGTTCTTGAGGCCAGTGAGCTTGCAGGGGCCATCACAGTGAAGGTCAGCGGCAGGCCCATGTCCTCCTTGATGTTGCAGCTACGGTGCAGCTGGCACATGCCCACCACATGGGACAAGCCCAGGGTCTCACAGGGCCAGTTCATGGCTGCACACAGGTCCTTCCTGCACAGGCAGAGAAGCGGCCTTCAGGCTAACCTAGCGAGTGCCAGGCCCACCTGAGTTAAGGCCAGGGAAGGGTCACCCCCAGTTGATCCCAAGTGAAAAGGATGTCCTTCCCACCATTCTGTGACATGAGGCCAGCACAGTGGCCACTTGGGAAGGAGGTATTCTCATTCACACACAAGCCACTGGGCATCTCTTTGGCCCTCAGGAACACAGACCTGCACAGAATAATTTTGGTTACTATCCAGCAGGGGCACTGACAGAAGCTGCCAGAGTCCAGCAGAGGGAAAATAACTGCCTCTGGACAGATCAGCAGTTGCCGGAGGTTAGGGGAGGAGGGAGGAAGGTGGCTGTGACTATAAACGGGTAGCACGAGACATCCTTCTGATGGGACAGATCTGTATCTAGACTGTGGGGGTGGGTAGGTGAACCCACAGTGATGAAACTGCACAGAACTGAATACACACACACACACACACACACACACACACACACAGGGAAGTACATGTGGAACCGATGAGACCTGAGTAAGTCTGTGGATGGTATCAGTGTCAGTTTCCTGATTGGGATACTGTGCTGTAGTCATGCAAGATGTTACCACCGGGGGAAATGGATGAAGGCTATACAGGCCCTCTCTCTATTATTTTTGACAAGAGTGTGAGAATCCACAATTATTTCAAAATAAAAAGACCTCCCTAAGTGCGGACAGAATCCAGCCTTGGGCCAAAGGTGCGCAAACTCTCCTCAAAATGGGGCTCCCTGACAGCACGGCCCCCTCCTCCACCAGGGCTTCTTCCCTAGGGCTGGGAAGCACCTCCCTGAGATGCAGGCTCCCACCCTCCTGCAGCTGCAGTACCTGATGAGCAGGATGGCAGTGTCATGCTGCAGGGGGTGGGCGTCTCCCTTCATGTTGATGCTTTTCTGCCACTTGCAGAAGCTCTTCAGGGTGTTGTCTGCATGGTGCATGATCTTTAGGTCCTCCTGGGGGCAGAGAGAGTGACTGCTCATGCCTCCCCTGAGTTCCAAGAAGGTCAGGCCCAATTCTCCCCCATACAAAGGCAGGAGACAGAGGCCCAGCAGGGCAGTGGGAGGCCCGCAGGCACCAGTCCAGCTTCCGGCCTGACCATCCCTCCTGTAGGAACCTCCTGCAGGAGACCTGGGACCTGAGAGAGGGTCAGTCAGGAACCAGGGAGTGGCAGGGGACACAGTCCAGTCCAAGGAGGCCTTCACTGTGCCCTTCCATACAGAGCAGCACAGGTCATGGGGCAGGAGGGCTCTGGCAGCCGAAGCCATTGCCAGGCAGCGTGGGACCACATGACCGCTCACCTCCTCATCTTCCAGAAGGACCAGGAGCACAATGGTCATGTGGATGGGGTTCCCAATGCTGGGGTCGTGAAACAGGCCAGCCACCTGCCCAAGAGATGAGGGGGTCAGGCTGTCACCAGGATGAAGGATACAAGCAGCCAATGCCCACCCCAAGCCACCCACCCACCCAGGGCAATGCACACCTGTGCTCACACACAGGGACGCTCACACGGGTGCACACAGGCTGCACAGCGGATAGGCAATGCACATGCACCAATGCATGAGTGTCCCCACACCTCACACGCACTGCCCCAATGTGGCAGCAGCAGAACCTACAGAGGACAAGAGGCCTCCGACGCCCCTTCCCAGACCACAAATCTTTCCTAGACCACAGACAGGTAAGCTTGGTATCAGTCCCCAGCAAAGTGGCTCCAGAGGACCAGAAGCCCCTGAGGGTCTGCTCTGCCTGCCTGAGGACTGACCCAAGCTATATTCTGAGTCAGGGCTAGGGGCAGCTTAGTGCCACCACAAAGGCCTTCCCTCAGCATATATAACCTCACTGTCTCCCAGGAGCTATGGGGGTAATACAGGCATTGGGAGATGTTGGAGGGAGGCAGGGTCTTAATTGGCTGATCAACTCAACCAAGTAACATTGGTTAATGGCCCAAGGTCAATGTGGGGTGTTTCAACTGGATAAATGATATCCAGGGAAGCCCAGCCCTGTTCTGCTGCAGGTCTGGAGAGCATGCCAGAGGTGTGCAGTGTTTGTGAAGGTAAGATCTGGAGGTTACAGATAACCACAGGCTCCTGGTGAGCTGAAAGTGTGACAAGAGCCCCTCGAAAAGGGCTTGTGGCCTCAGAGAGTAAGAACAGAATTGGGGGTGAAAATGGGGTGAAACTGGCTGAGCACGGTGGCTCATACCTGTAATCTCGGCACTTTGGGAGGCTGAGGTGGGCAAATCACGAGGTCAGGAGCTCGAGACCAGCCTGGTTAACATGGAGAAATCCCATCTCTACTAAAAATACAAAAAAATTAGCTGAGTGTGGTGGCATGCGCCTGTAGTCCCAGCTGCTCAGGAGGCTGAGGCAGGAAAATCGCTTGAACCAGAAGGCGGAGGTTGCAGTGAGCTGAGATCACGCCACTGCACTCCGACCTGGGGGACAGAGTGAGACTCCATCTCAAAAAAAAAAAAAAAAAAAAAGAAAATAGGGTGAAAAGGGACCTGTCTTGCTATCCTTGGGACAAACCCACCCAAGCTCTAGGACTCAGATCTGAGTCTAGCACAGGGAGAACACGGATAAATTGGGGTCTGTAGGTGGCGTTGGTAAAGAAAGATGAGGCTGTCCTGAAGGTGGCTGTGGGTCAGATACTGCAGCAGCCAAAAAAATAGCCACAGCCAACCTTGATCGAGCCTAACATGTACAGTCCCTGTGCTGGGGGCTTAGCATGCATTATCTCATTTAATCTTACTTCTGAGGTAGGCACAATTATCCTCATTTTACAAATGAAGTAACTGAAGCTCAAAGAGAGGGTGAAGCTGGGCTCAGAACCCAGGTTTCACTGCTTCAAAGCCCCTGCTTATTTCCTAAATTTGGGGAATGCTGCCTGCCTATTCTGTTGGGGATTCTCAATGAATATTTACTTTGAGGGCTCTGAGAAGTCCTGTAGTAACGAAGTCTGTTTTACCTTTTTTTTTTTTTTTTTTTTTCGAGACAGTGTCTCACTTTGTCATCCATATGGAGTGCAGTTGCATGATCTCAGCTCACTGCAGCCGCTGCAGCCTCGACCTCCTGGGCTCAAGCAATCCTCCCACCTCAGCCCCTCAAGTAGCTGGGACTACAGGTGTGCACCACCATGCCTGGCCCGTTTTACTTTTTTTAACCCTGTGTGGCCAAACTTATTCAACAGCAGCATCTTTTTTTTTCACAGTGCACTACTGGCATTCTTTGGAACACACTCCCTGAAATATTCCTTGGGAAATGCTACAATGAGACAGAGTCCCCACATGCAGAATCATGCTCTTCCACATCCATCACCTTATCCCAGGTAGAGCGATGGCTCTCAACAAGTCAGTCTTAAATAAACATCTGATCCTGAGGGAACATCTGTTCCCCATCCTTCTGGCCCATCCTGGCCCAGGGCACACGTCTCCAGGGCTTCTCCTCAGCGAGTTCTCTGGGGCACTGGGAACCACACAGGGATCAGAGGCGAGGGGCCTGAATTCCCCTCCTGGCTCTGCCCCAAACCTGTGCTGTGTGGCTCTGCCTGACCACTTTCTTTCTTTGATCTTGAGATTCCCTGACTAAAAATAGGAATAAGTTGATCTGCCTCATGGGGGGACCTCAAAGGGTAAATGAAATGGTGGATATAAACGCAGTAAAGTACTGTGTCCATGGGAGGGGAACTCCTGGGCTTGACAAAGCTGGCTACTGGGCCCCTATCTCCCCGTGTCACTTCCTCCCACCCTGGGGGCTTAGTGCATCTCAACACTGACCCCTGACCCCACCCTCTAAACCCCAGCCTGGGGAGGCTGGCCAAGACCCAGCCCAGCTTGCCCTACTGAGCCTGCTCCCCTGACCCAGGCTGCTCCAGATCAGAAGAGGAAGCACATCTATGAAGCTGGGGAAAATGAGGCCAAGAAGCATGCCTCTGTGGATATGTGCTCCAGCAAATGGAGTACCAGAGCTGTGGGCAGCCTGAGATTGGCATGCCAGCCAAGCATTCCCCAAATCCCAGCAACCCTTAGCAGGCAGCTCTTCACCTGGACTGGCCGGCACTACTGCTGCTCTGCAGAGGAGGCACTGGGTACCACACTCCAGGTCCCAATAATAGAGGTTAGTTATTCTAGGGTGGGAGCAGGGTGGCATGGGGAGGGAGGTTCCTGGCTAATGGCCCTGTTGGAGCTGGGCATGGCTCACCTGGTCTGGACACTGGAGGGAGAATGGCTGGCAGAGCCAGGTGCCATAGGCTTGGTGGGGAGGGAGCAAGAGGGAGGTTGAGCCCCAAGGTGGGAGAAGTAGGTGAGATGGAGAGAGGGAGGTCAGTCTAGGGGACTGACTGGGACAGGCCTGAAAGGCAGAGGACACAGTCTTGTGGCACAATTAAGGGCACACGCTATAGTGATGTATCCGTCTGTCTGTCTGTATCCTCTGGTCTAAGGGACACCGAGCATGGGCATGTTACGAGGGGCTTCTAGAAAGGCCCCTTCATGTCCCCAGGCCTAGCACCTGCCTGAGAACTGGGAGTAGAAGAGCATACCTTGCACCCCACAGGTACTTGGAGCACTGGAATCACCCCGCTGTGCCAGCCTCTCCGGGGCCGGATGCTTGTACACCACATGGGGCTGGGCATGGCTGGGCCAGGCTGGGGCACCGTCCAGGGGCTGAATGAAGTAGTCCTTGTTGGAGAGCAGGAACACACCTTTCTAGGGAAGAAGCACCAGGGTCACACAGGGAGGGCTGGCCCTCAGCTGCTCTTCCTGCACGTCCCAGAGGCCCATCCTGCTCAGCTGAGCCCCCACTGCCCACATCATCTGTGACTGCCCACAGACACCCTGCACTTTCCGCCTGCTGGGCCTTTGCTCACTCTGTAGCCTCCATCTGGAAAGCCCTTCTCTGCCATTTCACACACAGCCAAACCTTCAAAGCGGAGCTCAGAAGCCTCCGCCCCTGGGGATGCTGCCCCACACACCCACCCTATTAGGAGAGGAAAACGGGTCTGCACCCAAATCTGACAAAATGGTGTCTTCCAAAGTCCCAGACAGCTGTCCTGAGCAGGGCAGCTTGTGCCCAGGCCTCCAGGCTATTCTGCGTCTTCTCTGCAGGCCAGCCATTTCCAGCACTGTGCTCCCTCCCAGCTGGCCAGGGCTTCTGACCTTCCCTCTATCTCCCTAAGGCAATGAATCACTCCAAAAGCATCCACACCCACACCCGAGTGGCGGAGATGCCCACGGCCACCAGGACACCCTGTTCTCTGGGCCCAGGGCTGCCCAGAGAAGGGAAGCTGGCAGGAGTGTCTTGGACATGTCCGCCAACATTCAGAGTCCAGGGAGGGGAGGGGCCCCAGGAAGCATCTATGATGCCCACTACCTCCTGAGGAAGCTCAGGGCTCCAACAGGAAAGAAGGTTTTACATCCCTCGGACTTCCCCTCATAGGCACCAATTCTGCCCCTTGAGTCACACAGGACCAGGGGGCCTGGAGGGAGGGCTGGAGAGTGCATCAGCTCTTGGGTCTGGAGACCTGGGTATGAATGCGAAGTCCCCCCCTCCCGCCCACCACTCACTGAATGACTAGGTGAGCCTGGGCAAGTTCCCCTCTGAGCCTGTTTCCTCATCTGTGAAATGGGAATGATGCCCCATGTGCACAGCTGTGGCACAGGCTCAACAAGATCAATTGTACATTAAGGGACAGGCACAGGCTCCATAAATGGGAATACTGTGCAGGGCAGATGGGCCTTCAAAGGTCCAGACGTTGTGCAGCTTGCGTTGTGGGCTGCCCTGTCATTAGGCCCTGTGCGGCCACAGCCCATGGTTTTTGCCTGAGCAATCTAAGCTGAGGGCCTCCTGGGAACAGTGGACGCTGAGAGTGTGCACACATCCCCTACTCCTCCCAAACCCCCACCCTCCAGAGCTGGGAGAGTGGGGCTGGTCACCTGAACACGAACAGAAAGGGGCCCTACTCTGCCTGGAGTGGAAGCTGCTCTAATCAGCACCCAATCAGGGAGCAATTAGGGCTGCAGTAGCCAGCACCACCCTTCAGCCAGTCGAAACCAGGAAGCTGAGGCCTGCTTTTCCCGGAGCTCTGATCCGAGCAGAGGGGCTGAAAGGGGTTCCTCACCACACCCTGCAGAATGGCTACAGGGTGAGGGGTGGCTTTCCTGGAGAAAAGCAGCCTAAAGGGACCTGTGAAGGAACAGTCATAACTGATGCCCCAAGGAAGAGAAGTCAACTGCTTTTTCAGTTACTTAGTCCAGTCAAACAGAGGTTCTCAAAATGGGATCTCTGGACCTGCATCTTCAATATTACCTGAGACGTTTTCAGAAATCCAAGTGTTTGGGCGCCATTCCAGACCTACCCTGCAAAAATTCTGTTTAAACAGGGCCTGCAGGTGATTTGAGCTCATATTAAACTTTTCTTTTCTTTTCTCTTTCTTTCTTTCTTTTTTTTTTTTTTTTTTAGTGCCTGGGGTCTCGCTGTGTCTCCAGCTAAGCGCCATGATCACACCCTACGTCCTACATCCTTTAACTCCTGGGCTCAAGTGATCCTTTCGCCTCAGCCTCCCAAATAGCTGGGACTACAGGTGCACCACCACCCGGCTTTCACATTAAACTTTGAGAACTGTTGTCCTAGAGATGAACGAGGCCTGCGTTGTCACTCCCACTTTACAGGCGTGAATACCGAGGCTGGCAGAGAAAAAGTGCACTGGGCAAAGCCACCAGACAAGTGCGTGGCAAGGCTAGAGCCAATCTCCACATCCCACCACCCGAGACTGCCCCAAGTATACATGTCCCAGCTCACTCACCAGGCCGTCGCAGGCGCTGATGGCCGCCAGGCCACCCTCGAGCTCGGAGTCCTGCACCTCGCCAAGCAGGTGGCAGGCGGGGGTGTGGGCCCGGATGTGCGCGCGACCCAGGGCGCCGCGCCGCGGCATCTCGCTCACAAAGCCGGGCGCCAGCAGGTGCTGATTGGCGGTCAGGTTGAAGCGCAGCTCGCGCCTGCGGTATTGCAGCGGGTAGAAGGCGGGCGCGTCTCGGCGCACAGATACATCCCGCTTGCGCAGTGCGCGGGGCCGCAGCTCACAGGACAGGAAGGACCCCCCAGCGTCCACGCGAACCTGGTGCACGATATCCGGTGCCGCCCGGCCCTCGGTTACACTTCCTGCAGGGAGGGAACCACAAAGGCCTTAGGCCCAGGGCAGACCGGGGTCCTTGCTGGTGGCCAGGGACCAGAGGGGAGCGGCCAAGAGGGGGCTGCTGGAGTCAGAGTATCTGGATTCAAATCCTCGCTGGGCTATCTACTAACTCTGCTATTTCATCTTTCCGTGCCTCAGTTTCTCCATCTGGATTGTTGCAGTAACTCCTTTTGTTGTTGTTGTTTGTATTTTGGGTTTTTGGTTGGTTGTTTTGAGATAGTCTCGCTCTGTCGCCCAGGCTAGAGTGCGTGGCGCGATCTCGGCCCACTGGAACCTCCGCCTCCTGGGTTTGAGCGATTCTCCCACCTCAGGAGTAGCTGGGACTAGAAGCACGCACCACCACGCCCAGCTAATTTTTGTATTTTTAGTGGACACAGGATTTCACCATGTTAGCCAGGCTGGTCTCAGATTCCTGAGCTCAGGGGATATGCTGGCCTCAGCCTCCCAAAGTGCTGGAATTACAGGCGTGAGCCACTGCTGCCCGGCCTGGATTGCTGCGGTAACTTCTTAACAGGTCTCTCTGTTTCCACTATTGCCTACCCCAGGTGCCCCTCCCCTCATGTTTTCAATATAGCAGCCAGAGTCATTCAAAACCAGCCTGATCATGGTCCTTCTCTGCTCAAAATCCTGCAATGGTGCCCATCTCACTCGAGCAAAAGACAAAGTTCTGGCCTGTATGAGACGCTAGGCAAGGTGACCTGTCCAATCTCATTTCCAGCTACACCTTCTTAGTTCCCTCCACTCCGCCCACTGGCCTCCTTGCAGTTCCTCCACAGGCCAGACATGCTGCTGCTTCAGGATTTTGCATTGCTGTTCCCTACACCTGCAACACTCTTCCCTCTGTTTTCCACGTGGCTAAACCACTCACTTTTGAGTTCTTGCTCAAATGTCTCCTTCTCAATGAGGCCTCCTATAATGACTTTATTTTAAAATTGCAACTCCCTGGCTCTCCGTATCCCTCTTCCTTGCTTTATTTTTCCCCATAGCACTTCTGACATACCATATCACTTAGCATTTTCATTATTTTTTCTATTTATTTGTTTTCTCCCTCCCCTCCCAATGTAGTCTAGGAAGGCAAAAATCTTTATATTCTTTGCCCCCAGCTTTTTTGGAAACAGGGTCTTGGTCTGTCGCCCAGACAGGAGTGCAGGTGTGCAATCATAGGTCTCTGCAGCCTCCAACTCCTGAGCTCAAGCCATCCTCCCATCTCAGCCTCCCAAGTAGGGAGGGACTGGGACTACAGGTGGGTGCCACCACACTTGGCTAATATGTTTTTATTTTTAGTTTTTTTAAAATAGAGATGGGGTCTCACTATGTTGCCCAGGCTGGTCTCAAACAAACTCCTGGGCTCAAGTGATCCTTCTACCTCGGCCTCCCAAAGTGCTGGGATTACAGGTGTGAGCCACTGCAGCTGGTCCTGGATAATTTTTTTGTGTGTGTGTGGAGATGGGAGTCTTGCTATGTTGCCCAGGCTGGTCTTGAACTCCTGGCCTCAAGCAATCCTCCCACCTCAGCCTCCTAAAGTGCTGGGATTACATGTGTGAGCCACGACACTTGGCCCTTTATATTCTTTGTTGAAGATTTAAGTGTCAGAGGAAGTGTCCAGAACTTAGTCCTTTTTTGGTATTTGTTGAATGACTCTGTAGAATGTGGATAACCACAGCACTTACACTCTTGATGCTGCTGTGAGGATTAAACCAGGTGAGCTACTCCACATTTAGCAGTGCCTGAACCACTGGTTGAATATGATGGCAATTATGATTGTTATGATTATTATTAGCCTGATGGATTTAAAAATGTGCTCTCAGGTGCGTGAGCATTCTGCAAGTGTCTCCAGGCCTCCTGGAATGGGGAGACAGAGAAAGACCACCCCAGTGGGGCTGCCTGGCCCCTAACTGCCACTTCAACAGAGTGGCTCTGGTTTCTTTCTTTTACATGGAAGAATTCATTTAAAGAAAGGTTCCAGGGATGGAAAAAATTGGCAGACCTCTGCTCAGGCCCTTGCAGTTTAAAAACCCCTCTCTGTTGCTCTGTCCTCTAGGATTTCCCAATAAGGCCTGGATTCTTATCCTTTTTTGCCACAAACTCCTTCTCAGAACAATATTTTGAAATGCAGAAAATAAAATACATAGGAGTGGTTGGGCCCGGTGGCTCACGCCTGTAATCTTAGCACTTTGGGAGGCCGAGGCAGGCAAATCACTTGAGGTCAGGAGTTTGAGACCAGCTTGGCCAACATGGTGAAACCCTGTCTCTACTAAAAACACAAAAATTAGCCAGGCGTGGTGGCACATGCCTGTAATCCCAGCTACTCAGGAGACCGAGGCAGGAGAATCGCTTGAACCTGGGAGGTGGAGGTTGTAGTGAGCCGAGATCGCATCACTGCACTCCAGCCTGGGTGACAGAGGGAGACCCTGCCATAAAAAATAAATAAAATAAATAAAATAAATGCACAGGAGTACCAAGGAAATTGATTATATTGAAATACAGTTATCAAAATAATTTAAGACCAGGCAAGGTTGTTCATACTTGTAATCCCAGAACTTTGGGAGAACAAGGGGGGAGGATCACTTGAGCCTAGGAGTTCAAGACCAACTGGGCAACATAATGGGACCTTGTCGCTACACAGACACACACACACACACACACACACACATACAAAATTAGCCAGGCATGATGGTGCACACCTGTAGTCCCAACTACTTGGAATGTTGAGATGGGAGGCTCTCTTGAGCCCAGGAGGTCGAGGCTGCAGTGAGCCATGATGATGCCACTGCACTCCAGCCTAGGTGATAGAGTGAGACATTATCTCAAAAACAAAACATAACAAAACAAAAAATAATTTAAAAAGTAGGGTGTGGAATTATACTTTAAACAAGATTTTCTGGCAAATTAAACAACTATGGTTTTTTTTTTTTTTTTTTTTGAGACAGAGTCTCTCTCTGTCACCCAGGCTGGAGTACAGTAGCTCAATCTTGGCTCACCGCAACCCCTGCCTCCCAGGTTCAAGCAATTCTTGTCCCTTAGCCTCGCGAGTAGCTGGGATTACAGGCACGTACCACCACACCCAGCAAGTTTTTGTATTTTTAGTAGAGATGGGGTTTTGCCATGTTGGAAAGGCTGGTCTTGAACTCCTGGCCTCAAGTGATCCACTCACCTCAGCCTCCAAAAGTGCTGGGATTATAGGCGTGAGCCACTATGCCCAGCAACTACGGAAATTTTGAAGTAGTGATGAACGTAAACCTTATTTCAAGATACATGCAACAACTGTAATGAGATAGAAAAATATTTGGTTTGTTCTATTGGTAACAAAATCACAGGTGCTGTTGGGATTTGCTAATAATATTCATAATTGAGGGAAATACTAAATTTCATTGAGAGGTTACAAAAAGTAAATATGTAATATTTTCCCATTCAAGCTCATGGATCCCCTCAGTTCACGGTCCCTTAGGCTGTGGACCCCAGGTTAGGACACCTGCAGTAGGGTGTCCAGACTGCTTCCTAGGTGAGAGAGCAAAGGGAGGCTCAGAGAGGTGGAGAGATTGGCCTAGAGCCACACAGTGACAGTGAGAGTGGCAGTGCTGAGACTGGGACTCAAGTCCCCCAAATGGTTTCAGTCTCTTCAGTAACATTGCTTTATATTCTCAACAGTCCATCCCTTACTGGGCCTCAGTTTCCCCATCGTTAATGTGAAAGAGTTGAATTAGATCACGTTTCTCAAATCTCTTTGGCCACCAGGTCTAGTCTCAAAAGAAATCTCATGTGCCGGGGGTGGGGGAGCCCTGGCATCCATGCTTTTCCCACTCTTTTCCCTCTCTGCAGTTCCCAGGCTCTAAAGAGCACAGTTAGGGAACTTGGCAATCTGGAGTTTCTCGATTGGGTTTATACCCAGCTCCCAGGATCCTGGCTGTTCACGACAATAGACTCCACGGGCTCACATGAATGCCTGAGTGCCCTGCTGACATCCCACCAGGATTCCTTCTGCTGCTGCCCAGCCCAAAGCTCCATCCCAGCAGGCTGCGGAAACCAAACCCGCCCTCCAGTCTGTCCCCTGCCAAACTGCATGTAGAGTGCCCTGCACACGTCAGTGCTGTGCCCCTGCTGAGAGCATCTCCCACTGCTCACAACTGCCCCAGCAGTGCCGGCCTCAAAGAGCTTTCTCTGAGAGTCAGGAGGTTGGATGGGCTGGGGCAACGTGCTATGTGGCTCTGAGCAAGTCTTCCTCATCACTGAGCCTCAACGGGCCACTAGTGCAAGGATTTTCCAGATCTCACAGATGAGTTTCTTAAAAACAAATTCCCAGGCCCCATCCCAGACTCACTATACCAGCATTTCCAGGAAACTAGGACTAGGGACTAGGAAGCTGTTTTTACCAAGAACCTCCGGGAGCTGTGATCCTCAGGAAAGTTAGGAAATCCCCCACTGGGAGTGAACCTGGCTGGTCATCAGCAGTACGTGGAGAGCTCTGAAAAACTGCAGATGCCCAGGACCCAGCCCAGAGATTCTAGTTCCACAGATCCAGGGCTCTGGGGGCCCTAGAATGTGTATTTTCTGTGTTTTTCTAGACCTTCCCAGGGATTCTGATCTAGCCAGTTCAGAGGCTGGCATTCAGAAACCACCGGACTGGATGATTTAAGGTGACTTCTTGCTCTGACATCCTAATAAGGACATATGGGACTACAACTCCTCAACCACAGCGTGCAGATTTGCTTGTGTTGATCAGTTATTGATTTTTTGGTTTGTTTTGGCTGACACAAATATTGAAAAATGTTTTAGTCAATTGCCAATGTTTAGGAATCACATGATCTTGTACAAAAATCTCAATTTTCAGCTTTTCTTGAAAAGTCTTATCATCCATCCATGTCAGGCTTAAATTGCTCCCTGGCAGAAGTGGCTGGGGTGGAGCAGTGAGTTCCCTTTAGGAAGGGCCTATGCTCCCCGGTCCTCAGTCCCCACCACTCCCTATTCATTCCCAGCACTGTGGCTGCAAGTAGGCTCCCTTTCCCATCATGCTTGTGTTTCCTTTCACTCAGTAAAGAACTGAGTCTCTAACAAAAGTGGGAAAACAAGAGATGGGCCAAGAAGCCCCATGTTTCAGGAAAAATCTGTCTCCCTACCCACCTCGTTTGCTCATTTATGTTACCTGCCTAGTCCATGGCATTTGGTATGTGACCCTTGGCTACTAACTGTGAGGGGGCACTAGGTGCTCCAAAGTCCAGGACAGTGGATAAGACACCATCCTTGCCTTCAAATGGAGAAATGGCCGGACGCAGTGGCTCACACCTGTAATCGCAGCACTTTGGAAGACCGAGGAGGGCAGATTGCTTGAGCTCAGGAGTTCCAGACCAGCCTGGGCAACACGGTGAAATCCCATCTCTACAAAAAATACAAAAATTAGCCAGGCGTGGTGGTGTATGCCTGTAGTTTCAGCTACTCTGGAGGCTGAAGTGGGAGGATCACTTGAGCCTAGGAGGTGGAGGTTGCAGTGAGCAGAGACTGTGCCACTGTACTCCAGCCTGGATGACAGAGCGAGACTCTGACCCCCACAAAAAAACAGAAAACAAAGCAGAAAAATGGGTGTGGTAGACCCAAGACCCCCACTCTGGCACAGTGCTGACAAGGTCCAAGCAAGGGGAAGGGATGGCACCTTATGAATGCGTTGGAATGAAGAAAAGTTTCATCAAGGAGGATGCATTTGAGATGTCCCTTAACATATGTTAATTCAACAGTGAAGACAAGGAGGGCCTCTTGGTGGTAGGGGCACTGTGTGGTAAACCCTCAGAGAAGTGGGGAAAAGCCAAAAGTAAGAATGGGCAACAAGAAGTTTAATCTTGGCCCAGGCATGTGTTTTGTAAAATGGGAGACAATGGATGGACAAAATAATGCACTGTCAAGAGCGTGGGCTTTGAAAGTAACAAGACCCAGGGCAGGCCCAAGTGGGCCGTTTAATAGTTGTATAATCTGAGTCACTGCATATTTGTGAGTTTCAGTTTCCTCATCTGAGAATCCAGGCCAGAAAACATAAGGAGGGGAGCCCAGGTCAAGGAGATGAAAATAACAGAGATAGGGAAGAACTACTTCCTAGGTTCACTCCCAGTGGGGGATTTCCTAACTTTCTCAAGGATCACAGTTCACGGAAGCTACAACTCCAAGACTTGTTTTTGTTTTTGTTTGTTTGTTTGTTTTTGTTTTTGTTTTGAGAGAGAGTTTCATTCTTGTCACCCAGGCTGGAATGCAATGGCGCGATCTTGGCTCACTGCAACCTCTGGCTGCTGGGTTCAAGCAATTCTGCCTCAGCCTCCCAAGTAGCTGGGATTACAGGTGCGAGCCACCACGCCCAACTAATTTTTGTATTTTTAGTAGAGACTGGGTTTCCCCATGTTGGCCAGGCTTCTCTTGAACTCCTGACCTCACGTGATCCACCTACCTCGGCCTCCCAAAGTGCTGGGATTACAAGTGTGAGCCACAGCACCTGACCTACTTTGGATTTAATTTGCCCTTCTTTTCTATTTTCTTCAGGTGTAAACTTAGAATCCTGATTTAAGATCTGTCTTCTTTTCTAATATATGTATTCAATGCCTTACATTTCCCCATAGCACTGTTTTTACTGTATCCCACAAGAAAGAGAGAGAAAGAAAGAGAGAGAGAAAGAGAGAGAGAGAAGGAAGGATGGAAGAAGGAAGGAAGGAAGGAAGGGTAAGGGGAAGGAAGGAAAGAAGGGATGAAGGAAGGAAGGAAAGAAAGAAAGAAAGTTGTTTAATTTCCACATATTTTGGGATTTTCCTGTTACCTTTCTGTTATTGATTTATAATTTAATTCCACTGTGGCATAAAAGCAGACATTGTATGATTTCTATGATTTTAAATGTGTTAAAGTGTGTTTTATGGCCCAGAATGTGGTCTATCTTGATGAATGTTCCATGTAAGCTTGAGAAGAATTGTAATCTGCTATTGTGGGATGAAGTTGTCTATAGACATCAATTATATCCAGTTAATTAATGGCCTTGTTAAGTCCTTGTTGATGTTCTGCCTGCTGAATCTGTCCATTTCTGATAGAGACGTGTTGAAGTCTCCTGCTATGATAGTGGATCCATCTATGTTTCCTACACTTCTATCAGTTTTTACCTCAGGGTGTTTGATTCTCTGTTGTTAGCACATACACATTAATGATTGTTATGTCTTCTTGGAGAATGGATTCCCATTGTCATTCTGTAATGCCCTTCTTTATCCTTGCTAAATTTCCTTGCTTTGAAGCTGCTCTGTCTGAAATTCATATAGCTATTCCTGCTTTCTTTTGATTAGTGTTAGCATGGTATGTTTTTCCTCTATTTATTTACTTTTAATCTATATGTATCTTTATATTTAAAGTGAGTTTATTGTAGGCAACATATAGTGTATAGTTGGGTTTTGTTTTTGATCCACTCTGACAATTTCTCTCTTTTAATTGGTGATTGACCATTGACATTCAAAGTGATTATTATATCAATATAGTAAGATTAATATCTACCATATTTGTTACTGTGTTCTATTTGTTGTCCTTGTTTTTGTTTCTATTTTTGACTTCCACTCTGTTTCCATCTTTTGTGGCTTTAATTGAGCATTTCATGATTCCATTTTCTTTCCCTTCTTAGCATATCCATCAGTTATACTTCTTTTTGTACTGTTTTCCCTAGGATTTGCAATACGTTTACAACTAGTTTAAGTGCACTTTTAAATAACACTCTACTGCTTCACAGGTAGTGTGAGTATCTTATAATAACAAAATTGTCCTAATTCTTCCCTCCTGTCCCTTGTATCATTATCATTCATTTCACTTATATACAAACATACACATCATTTATATACAAAAAATATATACATAATCAAATATATTATTGCTAATTATTATTTTGAACAAATGATGTTTGATCTATTGATCAGTTTGATCTGAATTGATCTATTAGATAAATTAAGAATAAGAAGAATAAAATTTTCATTTTATATTAACTTATTCCAGTGCTCTTCCTTTCTTGATATACATCCAAGTTACTGACATGTATCATTTTCCTTTTTCCCAAGGAACTTTTCTTTAACATTTCTTTCAAGGCATGTTTACTGGCAACTAATTCCCTCAATTTTTGTATGAGAAAGTGTTTATTTCTCCTTCACTTATGAAGAGTAATTTCACAGAATATAGAATTCTAGGTTGGTGGTGGGGTTTTTTTCCCCCTCTCTCAACACTTTAAATATTTCACTCCAGTCTCTTGCTTATACAATTTCTGAGAAGTTGGATGTAATTCTTATCTTGACTTCTCTGTAGGTAAGGTGTGTTTTCTTTTCCCTCTAGGTTCCTCCAGAATTTTCTCTTCATCTTTTGATTTTTTTTTTTTCATAGTTTGTAACTTAGGTGGCTAGATGCAGTTTTTCTGTGGGCATTTATCCTGCTTGATGTTTTCTGAGCTTCCTGGATCTGTGGTTTGGTGTCTCACATTGAGAGAAATTCTCAGTCATTATTGTTTCAAATATTTCTCCTGTTTCTTTCTCTTCTGCTTCTGGAATTC